>NC_000002.12:47160049-47463079 GCF_000001405.40 Homo sapiens
CTTCCCCACACGAGAAAAAATTATCTAGACTATACCAAGCAGAAACCAATGCCATATTTTATTTTCAAAATTATTAGACTTCAACAGTTAAATGACTCAGATGCAGAGCAACCATTGGGTAAATTGTAATTTTTTTATTGGAAAACAAATATACAACTTGGAATGGATTTTGAGGCAAATTGTGCCATAAGCAGATTTTAAGTGGCTAAACAAAGTTTAAAAAGCAAGTAACAATAAAAGAAAATGTTTCTGGTACAGGACCAGCAGTACAAAAAAATAGTGTACGAGTACCTGGATAATACACCCGTTTTGCAATAGTGCAACTTTTAAGTACATATTGTTGACTGTCCATAGTCCACGCAGAGTTACAACTCCACACTTCAACAACAACATGCTGACAGTTCCTAAAGAAAACTACTTTAAAAAAGGCATAACCCAGATGTTCCCTCATTTGACCAACTCCATCTAAGTTTAGATGTGCAGAAGGGCTTAGATATATCCAGAGTAAGCCACATGCAACATGTTACTTGATCAATTTTCTAAAATAAGGTTTTAGGACAATGACAGTAAGATAAGGGAAGAAAACATGGAGGAATGAAGTCCTAATTACTATACATGCATATTTTTTTGACAGTAGGGAGAAACCTTTTACAGATAAGTTACAAACAAAGAAAAGGCAAATAAACAATTTTGTACAAGAAATTTAACACATTCTGTACAAGGTCTTCACTTTGCTGTCATCATTTGTACAAACTCTGAAAAAGAAGAAGTACACAAAAAATGAGTCAATAGCAAAAGACCAAAAAAAAAAAAAAAAAAAAAAAATCACATTTACTCAATTACTGAGTACTCTTTCCATTCCTCTCTTTCCTCAGAATTACCATTAAGTACAGAGGGAAGCTAGTTTATTGCCCAGGCTGGAACTTCATTAACCATAACTATTCAGGTTTATTAGTAAGAGCCAAATTAACGCTTTAGATAGGCCAATATAAAAAAGAGCATTCTTGGCTCTTAGTTTAGACTTGAATTTTAAGTCTGCTGGATTACAAGACAATATTGTAAATTCAATGCTATGGGCTAGGTTTAATTTTTATAACATTACATTTTATGCTCTTTTCTAAGTTAAGTAGTTACATCATGAAAAAAATACAGAGTTTTACTCAAAATCCTTCAGTTTCATATGCCTTGCTTCCTGATATGGCCATCTTAAAAGTTAGTAGATACGATACTTTTGAAGCACATGTAAACTTCAGTTTCAGACTAAAGCCAATTAAAGAAAAAAGACAATACAGTGCGGGGAAAGAAAGTCACATTAATTTCATTTTAGGAAACTTGGAATAAGTTTGCTTTCCACATTGTTCCACAATCACACAAACACTGAACAGTGCTTCTCAAACTTTATACATGAATCACCCAAGAATCCTATTAAAATGCTGATTCCAGGTGTAGGGATAGAACCTGATAGTAAATATTTCTAAATTAAGTTCTCAAGTCAGAGCAATGTTACCTAGTCTGCAGACAACACTCTGAATTTTAAGAAGGTTAAATGTAAGTAACTGTTTTAGCAACCTAATTTCAGGGGAAGGGTCACTAATTTCGATCAGTTCCCTAACAAAGAGCCTCTTATCTTAAAAATCAAAGTGAAGAATGAGGCGTGAGACTGAAACATTTACCTTCATAGTTTACTTGACCATCACCATCAATATCTGCTTCCCTGATCATTTCATCAACTTCTTCATCTGTTAACTTCTCTCCAAGGTTTGTCATCACATGGCGAAGTTCTGCAGCACTAATATAGCCATTGCCATCCTAGCAAAAAATTTAGTATAGTTTCTGAGTCAAATTACAGACTTGAGAGTTGGAATGGAAATTTATTAAGTTTACTACTAAATTTCACATTGGGGGAAAAACATACTTTAGAAATGCATACAAATCTACACAGTTGACCTACAAATGTCATTAAGAGCCAAGCAAAATGTCCTACATTGAAATCATTATTTCCTAGTCCCAAAGTCAAGTGACACCTCCTTTGACAAGATGAACGCAATACATATATTAGAAAGTCTATACTGAATTCTTAAAAAGCTTTTGCTTGGTAATTAAAATATGTTGGTAAATCATCAAAAAAAAAAAAAAAAAAAAAAAAAAAAACAACCAAAAAAACACAAGTCTTCATAATGAGTCCTGGTATCTTCATTTCATCCTCAAAATTTAACATATCCAGTCCTTGACGTACCTTATCAAACACACGGAATGCTTCTCTAATTTCTTCTTCACTGTCTGTGTCTTTCATTTTTCTTGCCATCATTGTCAGAAATTCAGGGAAGTCAATTGTGCCATTACCTGAAATGGTTTAGTGGAAACATCAAAGCTTTAGTGGAAACATATAAGCAAACAGCAAAGGTTTAGTGGAAACATCTAAGTATCACTTCTTCAACCCCTCCCAGCCCCACAAAATTGAAGACTTACCATCAGCATCTACTTCATTAATCATGTCCTGTAACTCTGCTTCTGTGGGATTCTGCCCAAGAGATCTCATTACAGTTCCCAATTCCTTTGTTGTTATAGTTCCATCACCATCTTTGTCAAATAGTGAAAAAGCTTCTTTGAATTCTGTTTGAAAGAAAGACCACAATCCAAATACACAGATTAATAATAAAATGTAACCTAAATGAAACGTATTAACTCTTAAAGCCTACTCAGTGGTGGGATCGTGCCAGTGAACAGCCACTGCACTTCAGCCTGGCCAAACTGTAAGACCCCACGTCTCAGAAAAACCCAAAAACTTTTAACGGAAAAATACCAATGGAGGTAGCAATTGAAATGTGACTTTGACTCCTAAAGATTAACCAATCTTTATGATACCTTATGATAATATTTCAAATATATCTTTGACCAATCATACCACTGTACTTTCATGCTGACCTAAGTAAAATTATCCTAGGTTTACAGAGGAAAAGAACCAAATCCCCAAATGACTGGCTCCTCTGTCACTGAAGCTGCTCTGTGGAACATAATTCAAAATTACAGACCTAACCTACACTCACAAAACAAAAATAAGACTACTGGTACCCAAATACGTATTTCTACAGAGTAATTAAACTGTTTCTGTATACTGTGTTTAGAGTTAGCCACTATGTCTAAATCAATCACCTACTAAATTAAAACAGGCTACTTTCCCTTTCTAGTAAGGCAGGAGAAGGGACTATATAAAGAGTCTATAACAATGGGCTGATCAAGATATAAATGTCCAGTTTTAGCTAAATGCATGTCACTGAGAACAAAGATCATTTTGAGCTTTCTTTGGAATATTAAAACCCCAACCTTATATAGTGAAACTGATTATTCCTCAACATCTTGTTGTGATAGTATGTTCCTTCCTGCTGTTGTTTTTTTTTTTGAGATGGACTTTCGCTCTTGTTGTCCAGGCTGGAGTGCAATGGTGCAATCTCAGCCCACCGCAACCTCCTCCTCCCAGGATCAAGCAATTCTCCTGCCTCAGCCTCCCGAGTAGCTGGAATTACAGGCATGCACCACCACGCCCAGCTAATTTTCTATTTTTAGTAGAGATGGGGTTTCTCCACGTTGGTCAGGCTGGCCTCGAACTCCCAACCTCAGGTGATCCGCCTGTCTCTGCCTCCCAAAGTGCTGGGATTACAGGGCATGAGCCACTGTGCCCGGCTATATGTTCCTTCTAATACATCACTAGATTACATGGAAACCTCCTGCTGGTGCAACACTCCAGACTACCTGGCTTCATTCACCATTTACAGATAAACTAAAACAAGCCAGGTGCAGTGGCTCACACCTGTAATCCTAGCACTTTGGGAGGCCAAGGTGGGCAGACTGCCTGAGCTCAGGGTGAGTTCCAGACCAGCCTGAACAACAGGGTGAAACCCCGTCTCAGGCCGGGCGCGGTGGCTCAAGCCTGTAATCCCAGCACTTTGGGAGGCTGAGGCGGGTGGATCATGAGGTCAGGAGATCGAGACCATCCTGGCTAACACGGTGAAACCCCATCTCTACTAAAAATACAAAAAAATTAGCCGGGCGTGGTGGCGGGCGCCTATAGTCCCAGCTACTCGGGAGGCTGAGGCAGGAGAATGGCGTGAACCTGGGAGGCAGAGCTTGCAGTGAGCTGATATTGCGCCACTGCACTCCAGCCTGGGCGACAGAGCGAGACTCCGTCTCAAAAAAAAAAAAAAAGAAGAAAAAGAAAAGAAACCCCGTCTCTACTAAAACACACACACACACAAGCTGGGTGTGGCGGCGTGTGCCTGTAGTCCCCCGTCTCTACTAAAACACACACACACACACACACACACACACACACACACACACGCTGGGTGTGGCAGCGTGGGCCTGTAGTCCCCCGTCTCTATTAAAACACAAACACACACACAAGCTGGGTGTGGCGGCGTGCGCCTGTAGTCCCAGCTACTGGGGAGGCTGCAGCAGCAGAACTGCTTGAACCCGAGAGGCGGAGGTTGCAGTGAGCCGAGATCACACCACTGCACTCCAGCTTGGGCAACAGAGTGAGACTTGTCTCAAAAAAAAAAAAAGAAAGAAAGAAACTAAAACAGACTAACTTTGATACTGCAAAGTTATACCAATCAGTAAATAATAAAGCTAGTATTTTCCAAGTAAGTCATTTCCCAGAAAATATTAGACCCTATCAGCAAATGAATACAAAAAGTTTCCAAGTTCATTGGGCCATTAAGCTTTCCCAACATAGCCATACATTTGAAAATTTATGTGACACATGTGTAAGAAATGGTGTACCTTCTTTACGGTCCAAGGCCAATTTATTCCCTGCCTGCTTATCCCTAACTCCAATTCGCGTACACCTTCCAGTTTCATTCCGTATTACCTCTTCCCTGGACTCAACTATTCTTCCACTAATTTGCCCATTACCACATAAATATCTTCACATCGCTTAGCCTAAAACTAAATTGAAACCTTAGTTATATTTTAAATGCTTGCCCTTATCCCTCCCCAAATTTTGGAAGGCACTACTACTCATACCAATTTCCTCTCTCCAAACAATCCACTATTTTAAAATGACATCCAGCTCCAACTCATCACCTGAAAATGCTGAGTTTACCAATGACTACTAGTCAGTCACCCAATCCATCAAGCATGCTTCAATGTGAAGCCATATGGCATAGAAACTAAAATGAGACTTTGTAACTTGACTACTGGGTTAGAATTTCCTAGCTCTGTTTCTTCTTCTGGCAATGCAATATGGACAAGCTACTAAACCTTTTCTGCCTCAGCTTCCTCATTTCTGTGAAATGACATAAATGTGCCCAGTAAGTGGGGTGACACAGTATACCATGCCCACAAGGGGTATTCACCTGGTCACCCCCCATAAAAAAATTAGTATGTGTCAAACACTTAGAACTATGTCCAACAAATACATACTTAATAAATGTCAAGATAAAGACTATCTCATTTTTTTGCAGCATCCAAAACTGCATGGAAAAACTCTCAAAATTTTTCTTGGCCTTCGTAACAGTACTTTGATTTTCCTCCTACCATATACTGCCAAAGGCTCTTACTCCTGTCTCTTATGTCTAGATGTGACCAATTTTATCCTTTTTTTCCACTCCTTGGCCACTTCATCTATACCCACTTACAACGAAGATATCTTTAGTCTACCCATCTCGCTCAATAAATGTCTTTATTTCTGGCTGTCTACAGGATATAGCTCCCCTGGCTGATGACAAGCAAAACATATGAAAATGAATTCTATACTCCCAGGCAACCCTAAAGGTACTAGCAAAAGCCCAAGAGCCACTTTTAACTCTTTCAGTCTGAAATCTGTCAACAGGTCTCGAATTCTATCATTTAAATACTGCCTGATTTTTCCTCCATCTCTACAACCAGTATTTTGGTTCAAGGCTCCATCGTCCTTTGCCAGGGCTATTACAATTGCCTCCTAACTGCATTCTTTCTTATTTAAATATTACTGGTTTATAGAGGAACTCATCTAATACCAATCAGAAGGTTCATACCACACTAATTGATTTTATGAAGATAGTATACAGTGCTAACCTAGATCAACCTAATGACAAAAATAGATCAGGGAGTCTCCACCTACAAATAGCACAATTGATAAAGACATTTCAATTTTACTGTTTTTAAACAGAATGTAGAAATATCTAGAAATACATATATTGGAGTTCAGACACATTGCACCTTTCACCTAATTTAGGTTACAAGAAAATTAAAGGACTTTGAGGTATTTGTTTATATTACATTCTCTGCTATGGGTATCTTTTAACACCACCATTAGGTGCATAAATTCCCAATGTTTAATTAGCAGTAATCACCTTTCTATTACATGATTTAACAAAAAGCTAAATACTGGAAGATGCATAGTGTAAGACTATGTATAACTTTCGAGAAATTTAAAAATCTAATAACACTTAAAATGTTTGCTAGAATAAGTAAAATGCAGAAAATAAAACCGTATCTATGCTAATACCATTTGTTATTCATTCAAGAAAGGAACAAATAACATTTCTTTTAAAGGTCAAGGTTTATTCCAAATTTTTACTTGTATTTTTATACTAAAGAGTAAAAAATACCTGTAAAAACTCAAAATAATAAACCCCAAAGTAAAATTTTAATTCACCTGCCTTTACAGTTTTCCTGTACTTCAGAACTAGCGTAATCTTTATGTATAGAAGCATATAATTCTAAACTGTAACTCCCAGGAATGACCTGAAATTAAATCCAAGAGTCAAAACCTAAACACACAATAAAGAGAACAGGTCCTGAATGCCACAGAACAGCTATCTTCTACATAATTGATAGATATAAGGAACCTACCAAAATCCATTTTAGCTGACCAAACTGAAACTTTCAGAAAAATCTATTACTCAAGTTTTATTTGTTCATTAGCAACCCCAAGGCCCTTCCCTAATTAGTTTATTACCTAAACATATAATTTTATTAAAATAACATGTTTTAAAAATTTTATTAAAATAGGTTATCACAAGACAATTACAAAACAAATCAAATGACTGTTTATTAACTTCTATTTCTTCACAAAATTCTGAACTTAATAATCCCTTAAAGATCATGTACTGGAACTCTTTTGGCGCTTCATGCAGTTGTTGCTATACATTGAGTAATATTAATATTTTTCTCAAACAAATTTGGACCTTGAAAATTTAATGAAAGTTTAGGTACAGACTTCTTAAGGAAAAAATACTGTACATTTTTCCTATCAGTCTTCCAAAAGTCAAACAGCAACAACTAATGACATCATGGCAGAGTTATCAACAAAATGAAATTGTTAGTGATGTCATACTAGACTGGAATGCTTTATACGACCAAGTAATATAAAAAATTTTAGGCCGGGAGCAGTGGCTCATGCCTGTAATCCCAACACTTTGGGAGGTCAAGGTAAGCGGATCACCTGACGTCAGCAGTTCAAGACCAGCCTGGCCAACATGGTGAAACCCCATCTCTCCTAAAAATACAAAAACTAGCCGGGTGTGGTGGTGCACGCCTGTAATCCCAGCTACTTGGGAGACTGAGCCAGGAGAATTGCTTGAAGTTGGACAGCAAAGGTTGCAGTGAGCCAAGATCATGCTACTGCACTCCAGCCTGGGCAAGAGAGTGAAGCTCCGTCTCAAAAAAAAAAAAAAAAAAAAAAAAAAAAAAAAAAATTTAGTAACTTCATCTACACAAGGATGTTAGCGGTCACCAGCACTTACAACTAAAAAAAAAAAAAAAAAAATTTTTTTTTCTTTTCTTTGAGACAGGGTCTTGCTGTGTTGCCCAGACTGGTCTTGAACTCCTGGGCTCAAGCAATCCCACTGCCTCAGCCTCCCAAAGTGTTGGGATTAGACATGCGCCACCATGCCCAGCCACCAACAATTACAATTTACCAGATTAAAAAATTGCCTTCATCTCAAAGGTAAACACTGAAATATACCAAATTTGGGAGGAAGGGACTTGGAGAGTAGGCAGAAATCTTAGGATAGTAGTGCTCTAGAACTTTTTTGTGTTACACACTCATTGAGAATAAAATTTATTCAAGGAATATTCAATGATTACTATGTGGCAGGTACCGGGCCTACAAAGTAGAACAAAAAGGTCCCTGACCGCACATGATTTTTATTTTAGTAGCATAGAAGTTTTGGTTCCTCTGCCCTAAATCTTAACTGAAACCTGGAGGTCCAAGGAATGGCTTTAAAGAAATCTGTGGTCTAGGAAAAGGCAGGATAAGAAGAGAACCTAAGAACAGATTTTTTTCCCTCTACTCCCATTGGAAACCTAATTTTATGATGAAAGCCAAGAAAAGATAGGATTTAACTTAAAGACAATAAAGAGAACAGGTCCTGAATGTCACAGTTTTGATGAACTACAAGTATTCTTTATAAGAATTCTACCAGGCCAGGCATGGTGATTCACACCTGTAATCCCAGCACTTTAGGAGGCTGAGGCGGGTGGATCACCTGAGGTTGCGAGTTTGAGACCAGCCTGACCAACATGGAGAAACCCCATCTCTACTAAAAATACAAAAATAGCCAGGTGGTGCATGCCTCTAATCCCAGCTACTCGGGAGACTGAAGCAGAACAGCTTGAACCCGGGAGACAGAAGTTGAGCCACTGCACTCCAGCCTGGGCAACAAGAGTGAAACTGTCTCAAAATAAATTAAAAAATAAAAATGCTATCAATCACTGAAGAGGGATCCTCTTATATTCAATAGACACAAACTTTTTTTTTTTTGAGGCAAAGTCTCGCTCTGTTGCCCAGGCTGGAGTGCAGTGGCATGATCTTGCCTCACTGCAACCTCTGCCTCCCAGGTTCAAGTGATTCTCCTGCATCAGCCTCCTGAGTGGCTGGGATTACAGGTGCACGCCACCATGCCTGGCTAATTTTTGTATTTTTAGGAGAGATGGGGTTTCACCACGTTGGCCAGGCTGGTCATGAACTCCTGACCTCAAGTGATCCGCCTCGGCCTCCCAAAGTGCTGGAATTACAGGCGTGAGCCACTGCGCCCGGCCAACAAACTTTCTTTTCAAAGAGTTGTTTAAGAGAGCAGACCATCAACTATGCAATGGCACACTGAGTAACGTTTTCTACCCTAAAGTGAACATGCTGTACTGCATACAGTTGGTACCTGTACCTGACTGGGAATATTAAGAAATGTATTACAGAAGGTCAGAGTTTAAGAGTGAAAGTATTAGACAGCCTGAGACAATTTGGGAAGGAGACAGTATATTTATAAAAAAAACTACTTCAGAAAAACATTTTGACGATACATTTACTTTGTAGAGATGGGGTCTCACTATGTTGCCCAGGCTGGTCTCAAACTCCTGGGCTCAAGTGATCCTGCTGCCTCAGCCTCCCAAAGTGATAAGATTACCAGCCATCAGGCCCAGTCTATTTTTTTTGAGGAGACATGAGATCAAATAGGTGATACCTTTAAAACAGTGTAACTCAACAAAAAAAAAATTATTCCCAAAACTGTTTGCTTTTTGTTCATAACAGTCAATACATGTAATTTACCAACCTCAGAAAGTAAAAACTAAGTTTAAGTCAAATTACACAATAAATAAAAATAAAACCTGCTTAAATTTGTCTTTAATACTAATAGCTTTCTACCTACAGTCCTATCAAATAGTATTTGAGGTGACTAGTGTAATTCTGGTATCCCCCAAACTTCTATATGCTTATGGAAGTGGGGAGCTTGCTTTAAATGGGCTATATAGTTCCAACTGGGCTTCTCAGTTTTCTCCAGCCTAAGAAAAAGTGCTCAAGTGCTTTTGAGCTCTTATCAAACCCTTCCTGCTTACTGTGAAAACTGTGGCAAATAAACTGCTTGGTGCTCATGCTAATAAAAGTGTCTAATGAAAACAAAGGAATAGTTTGCAAAGCATTTCAACACTACAATAAAAAAAAAAAACAACTCCGGCAAGGGGGGAAAAAAAAGTTTCCCCAACATTGACATTAACCAGCCATCTCAATGTACAAGGATAAATCAAAAGTATTAATGTTCTATGGCATGGCATAAAGAGAACATGACATCAGGTTTTATGTAATAATTTTGCATACTTCCATAGCAAACTAAAAGGGACAAGATTTAAGCGGCTTCATTTCAACAGCTGTCACTGTTTTTTAAGAGAAAAATCCACATTGCTACAGTGACATTTATAGAATAGAATGCCAACTTCTTAAATTTTTTCACTTGAGAAATGGTTATTCCCTGACTGATTATATATGCAATTCTTAGGTTAAAATGTTAGCTAATTTTAACTAGGGTAAATTCAATTGTTCCTTTTTTGATTCTCCATTTCAAGTTGCCTTAGTTACTTCTTGGCCTCCTTTTCTAGCGTGTTAGCTAGCCCAGAATTCCTGTTTTATACTAAGGTAGTCTTCAGAAAACAAAACAAAGACCACCACTACACCACAAGGCTCCAAAGTATATCCACGCAGACTAAAATACATGTCTTTAACTACAATTAGCCCTGCACATCTTCCATCGGCAAGTTTACAATCCCACTTGCCAAAGCAGGTTGAATTACTGTATTATATTATACCCATATGTTAGTATCCATGACATATACCAAAGTCAATTATTTCATACAAGTCTCTTATTCTGACGTTGGCTATTCAATTTATAATAAGAATCTAATGGGTACAATCTAGCTGAGTATTTCTCACCTGCAATCTGCTCTTCAGTCAGTTGGTCAGCCTACAAAGAGATCAAAGAGGAAGGTTAGTGACTTGAGAGTATGTAGATTAGCAGTTACAGAAACAAGTTTAAAACCTTTCAAGGGTTACCATGTACTGTTTCATTTAGTTCCAGCAACAAACACATCTGGATAGAAAATGCACACATCTAGTTTCTCTTATCTTCAAAGCTAAGCTGTCTTAACTCCAAGTTTAAGATATACAAATACTTCAGAATATTTTTGAAAATATACTTTAGAATCCAATAGAAACATTGCTTCCTTTTTCAACGTTAGAATAGCTAAACTTAAGCTCACTTCTATTCCAGATATAAATCACCAGAAATTCCCACTGAATCAAAATGCTTCAGGCTCACAAAATGAAAATTACTCCCACAAATGGTTAAACACATTGTTTTGAAATTAAAGTGATTAAAAAAAAAAAAAGGCACAAACTTTTATTCCTTCTCACCCAGCAGGCAAAATGCAAAGAATCCAGAGCTCTGAACTACAGTACTATAATATTTACCAAATGTTTGAAAGTTCAGCCATCCATTTTCTCTTGGTTTTTAAAATCCCAAAGTAAGCCCAAGGCTTGTGATGTTTTTTTAATAGCACTTGGTTTTCTTCAGAAAATATTTTCTGCCATTTGCTAAAACCCATTATAAATTTTATCCTTATTCAATCTTAATAATAACCTTACAGTGGTATTATCCCCTATCTTACAGATAAGGAATGAGGCTAGGGTTAAGTGGGATTGGGGCACAGAAAATTAGTAGAACAAAGATAAAGCACTAAGGTGTCAGACATACCCAGTAACTTTTAGCTTTTAATTCAGAGCACCGTAATATATAAAGATGATTGCAAAATATCCAGACTCCTTGTTGTATTCTTTGAACATGCACTTTCTTTCACTGCTTATTAGTATATACATCCATGAAGCAACTGCTTATGGGGTATTGAGAAGCACAGACAAGAAATAGCCTCCTATCTAAAATCCCTACCAACATGGGAGTCAAGTATACAATGATTAATCCATTCATTTATTTATAGGTAAAAGAAAAATAAACATTGCCTGGCTTCATTCTTTTTAAATGAACACACCCCTGGAAAAAGTAACACCTTAATGTGGAACACATTTTCTCTAGGGCACATGAGAAAATTCAAGAAGGAATCCAGAAAGCAGTTTATTTTCCCTGCTCAACAATTTTTGTTTGACCATGATGTAAATCAAATTCATTAAAAAAAAAAAAAAAAAAAAAAGCTGGTAACGTAAAATTGAAGAGCCAATAATTAAGTTCAAATACAGAGTTTGTAAAATAAAAAATGTATCCACTTTTATCCCTAAAGTCCAAATCCTCCGCCAACAAATATTTGGTGTGAAGTCAGTCACAGATTGTTTACCCAAGGAATAAGGTTTAAAATCCAGTAAATCTGAGTTATTTACTTTGTATTAATAGAAGCTACATTACTTCAGTTTATTGCATTTTGCAGGACTTCCACCATTTCTGAAAGGAAGGGCAACCTGGCATGCGTGGCGTGGGGGGAAAGCATCAAGTTCTGAGTCACAGGCCAGTATCCCAGCCCTGCCATTTAATAGCTGTGTGACCTTGGACGTGGTACTCCTCCTCTCAGTCAACTTCATTTGTAGCACAAGAATAACAATACTTACCTTGCAGGGTTGTTGTGCAAAGTGAGATGCTATGTACAAAGCTAACCTAAAGAGTTAAATGATAACCATTATTTCATATAAATTAACAAAGAACCTACAATGTTAAATATCAACCTGACTAGCTCAATTTCCACACCGAATGTAGACATGCATGGCATTTATTAAGCCCTTTATGGTAAGCTTACTCTATTCAATGTTAACTTTGTTTAAGCTGAGAAAATTTATGCAAACTAAATCCACAAGGTGCAACCCAGCGACAGATGCAGCGGACATCACTTTAAGGCTAAAAAAAAGTTGAGCTAAATGTGTGGCAGACACTGCAGCCTGTGTGAAAGTTGAAGGATCCCGTACTCTGTACAGGAAGGGAGACAGGTTCGTTCTCTCTACATGGGTTGGGGGGGGGGGGGGGGTGGGAAATGGGACTTTGGGAAGGCTACTATATATGAAACATGAGAAGCCTTAGGAAGAAACGAGGATGTTAGCAATTTAGGAACCACTGTCCAATTTTGCTTGGAAAGTCAAAATTTAGGGACCTCATACCATCTTGTCTAACTCCCTACCTCCAAGCAAATGCAATCTTGGAAGAGATCACAAAAATGAGCTTCAAGGAATGAATTAAGCACCCAAGAGACCAAATTACTCACATAACCTGAAAGCTCTCAATTTTGCTTGGAAGGTTGAGAAGCTTTTTGTATTACTTATCCAGAGTTCAGGTTTTAGAATAAACTTTTACCAGCAATATCCAGATTAAAGCCTACTATAAATCAAGAAGACTTCCTAGCACTAACTTTCCCAACTGCTACAAAGGCGAATAAATTTGGTTCTTCCTTGTTTCCAGGGAGTGCCATTTTCTTAGAAGAACCAGAAGAATTATACTTTTGGGAAAACTCAAGCTCATTAACATGTATGTTTATCTCAGTAAAGTGAAGAAGAATTCACTAGAGAGATGACTTGTTCTTACTCCCTTATTTCTGTAGCTATTGACATAATTCTTCCCACTGCTCTTGCCACTCCAGAGAAAGTTCCTAGGCATTAGTATACTCTCAGGTTCCTCCCTAGACCTCCTGTACTAGAATGTTCATTTTGGAGAACCATAGGTGATCTGTCAACACTAAGGAGCACGACCCCGTATTACATTAGTGACCTGAAGTGAATACATTATGTACCTATCAAACATTTCCTACATGCCATTCAAAAGTATGCATGAATACTGTTGGAGTTTATCTAGTGAAAGGTGGTGTTCTTATCTGAATAAATGTGTGAGCCCATAGGCTTGAAATGGAACGCAAACTGCTATCCTTCATCCATTCCTGTCTGTTCATTCCCATCAGGTGCTACTTTGATACAACAAGGATTCCTATATGAAGTTTTTTCTACAATTATGGAAGCCAGGATATTTGTTTTACCTGTATCAAAAGCAATCTAAATTATTTCATTAGGGTAAAAAGACACCTAATTCTGAAGAATAGTACTTACATAGCATCTCTCACCAAAAGATCACTGGAACAAAATGGCTTCATAAAAATTAGGGCTATTACTAAAGGCCTAAATTCTAGCTGAAGCTAGAGCTTTCTATATTTTAAAAGAGCCAAATCCTTTGATCTTCTGAGCCTAACAGAAACAGGCGTTGGCACTTATAAGAACAATTATTTAGACTCAAGTGACAAAAATTTTCTACCTTTTTACATCTTTTACTTACCTAATCACCCTGCACTCAAAGTCCTCTTGAAGCAATCCCGTTTTCAATGAGCATATGTTGATTACATGTAAACTCAAGAGTTACATGAGCAATCTTACTTTACTTCCGTATAAAATTTTTTATACTTTAACTTGGGGTCCTAATTTTTTTTATTTTTTGAGAGACAGGGTCTCACTCTGTTGCCCAGGGAGTGCAGTGGTGTGATCATAGCTCACTACAGTCTCCAACTCCCGGGCCCAAGATGATCCTCCTGCCTCAGCCCATTGACTAGCCAGGACTACACGCACAGGCCATTATGTCCGGCTAATTTTTTTTAATTGGATTCCTAATGTAAAATCTCAGTCCTCTAATTATAAAGTTATGTGAAGGCAATTTTCAAATTTACTGTATCTGTCACAAATAATGATATCTGTCAATTTTTATTAAGATTTTTTTTTTCGACTTTGTCTCTTATAGTAAGAGCTGTCAATTTAACAGAAAACCCCCAAAGCACCAGTGATGCAAACAGTAACTACAAAAGCTTAACACTGGGCAAGGGACCACAAATGCGTAGATACCAACTCTACCAAGAAAAAATCTATTCGAATTACTGATTCAATTATCAAAACTGATTAAAGAAAACTTTACCCTTCGTTTATTTAAAAAAAAAAGCTTACTCCACAACTTGTAATGTTTATTACATATGCCTGTAACTACATCTTTAAGAAAGCAAATGTAACCAGCACATTCAAATTCAGAATAACATTTGAAGCATCAAGATGAAGCAAATCCATCAAACGTCAATGAACGCTAGTTTTATTTAAGGTGAAATCGTCTCCCCACACCCATACAGGCTGGAGGTTTCAGTTGGCAAGGATCCCTAACTCCTGTTTAAGATGTCACCTTGCCTCCTGGACACACCCATCGCTGTAACCACTTGGCAGGAGGAACCACAAAGTAAGTATCACAGATCACCGCCCTCATTAGGTGTTTTTTTTTTTTTTTTTCAGGAAAGAACATGATCTCCCAGTCTGAGGTGACCGGAAAATGCTTTTAAAAATTCCCTGCTCCTCCCCCGCATACACTCTTCCATCACAGTATTTGACAGACAAACATCATACAAACGAAGTGTACGTCAAGACGACCTGGCAACTTCTACACGGAATTTAGGGGTCGTTTTCAAAGCAGCAGAAGGGGAGCAATGTTTTTATGTGGTCGTGGTTCTTGAACATTAGGACTGCACGCTGTTTTCAAGCATAGAATAGGGACAGGGGCTCTTCAAAGGCATCCATCCAATTGTTACAAGACCGACTTTCAGAAGGCAGTCACTCCGGAGCCTGCTTCCCTCCGGCGGTGAACAAGAAACGCCTTGTAGAACCCTAGCTGGAGCCGAACACTTTCCCTAACAAGATGTGTATTGCGAGGACGCGCCCCTGACTTCAAGGGTAAGACTAATTTCTTTCAACGACAGACACTTTAAAAAGCAATTTTTTTTAAAGCATCCGGCCTGGGTGGTGGAAGACGCCCCAGGGCCCAGATGGAGAAGGAAGATTAGGGTTGCCAGAGGGGGATGGGAAACCGTCGAGGCCCCCCTCCCCCGCCCATCCCCGCCAATGGCCCCGCAGCGCCAAGGAGATCTCCGCAGTCCTGCAGGTGCCAGCAGAGCAGCTGGAGCTCGAGCGGGGCCGAGCGGGGCGGCGGCTCCGGGTCCCGCGAGGCGCTCGCCCGCCCCGCCCCCACCGGCCGCTCCCTGCGCCGCGCGGGCTCGGCCCACACAGCGCGCCGCCCGCCCGCCCGCGCGCCCCCTGGATCCCGGCACGCGGAGGACGCGGGCTAACTGCGACGCCGACGCTCGCCCCAGGGCCCCGCGCGCTCCTCCCGCCCCCTGGGCGCATGGCGGCCGCAAGCGGACAAAGGCGCTTCCTGGCGCCCGCACTAACCGTCGGTCGGGTGGATTGAATTCGCCCCCTGCTTGACCTTTCCAGACGCCCGACAGAAGGCTCTCTACGCTCCCTCTCTCCCTTCCTTCACTTTCTCTCCTTCCCGTGCACTGGGCTGTCCCTCATCCCGGACCCATCCTCCTCCAGCCAAGCCCCCGAGGAGCTTCACCACCTCGGGAACTGTGCGTCCGGCCCTCAACTCACTAGAGGAAGCCCCCCTGAAGAGAATGGGGGTGGGGGAGCACCTGCGACACAACCGTCGCCGGCATCCCTGGCCTCTTTCGCGCCATCCCTCTGGCAGAAACCACTCCTTGAAGGTGTAAGGGAGGCGAGTTTCCTTTGTTTAGTCAGTTCGCTCCAGTCTCTTCCCCCCACAGGCCCAGCGCCGGCAGCTCAGCGATGCACTCACCATGCTGCAAGCGCTACCGGTTTCCGAGACGCGACCACACAACCACTCAGCTCGCTCTCTCCACTCGGACTAATTCGCCTCCTCCGCCCCCAGCGCCTCATAAACACCTCCCTCCGCCAGATCCCTCCGCCGCATCCAGATAACGGAACATCGCAAACGAGTCCCGGCCAACCCCCTCCCCTCAAACTCTTCTCGGGACCCCTTTCTTCACAGTTATTTGGTCGATGAGGCAAGAGATCAAGGAAAGTGGGCGAACGGATGACGTAAGTGGGTTTCATTTCCAGCGAGCCGTTAAAAGGCCGGTGGAGCGGCCCCTGAGGGGCGCTACTTTGCGGCGCGGAGGAGCATCGTGGCGGCGATGCGTCCCCCGTTGGTCGTTGAGCCTGCCTCTGATTGGCTGGTTTGTACCTGCAATGCGTCACTGGGACTCGCAGCCGCCGCCGGGACGCGGTGCGGCTTCTGCCGTTGCTGCTCGGGCCGCGCTGTCCTGGCAACTGCGCCAGGCGGCAGAGTCGCCTGCTTTGCGCTTGGCTGGAGAACCTTCCTCTTCCACGTATCCTTCCCTGCCACACTCACCCACTTTCCCGCCCCTTATTGAGGGGTAGACGAAAACACCTTAAGCCGATAAAGAATGAAGCTGAAAGATTCCGATAAACGCGTACCCTGAACTCAGCTTTTTAACCTAGTGTTTTGGCCTCATGGAAGCCGCACGTTCTTCATTTCACGCCCTCACAAAACCCATGTAAATCTGGACACGGGCAAATGTAGCTGTTCAGCTGACAGGCTAATCTCAAAGGGTATTTCGTTTATACTTCCTCTTCGCGTTCTTTGCCAAGGGTAATTTACCAGAAAAGAAAAGTAACTCAAAAGTCACAGTATCCGAGCTTCAGTGGGATTAGTATCTCGAAATGGCCCCTTGTTATCGTGGGGTTAAAGGGTTCTGGATTGGACAGAGCTGGGCATGAGTTAGTTGGGTCCCTCTCTCAGGTGCAAGACCTTGGGTGAGTCATTTAATTTTTAGCCTCACTTGTAAAATACAGGCAATAAGACCTATCTCGAAAGAATATTGAGGAAATTAGAATTATGCAAAGATTAGAATTAACAAAGTGTTAAAGTACCTGGCACAGGGTAGGACTCCAACAATTGGTCACTATAATATGCCTTCCCCTTCATAGGAAATTTGCCCTTTTGGATTTCTAACTCCACAGATTTAAATGAATATTTTAAAAACCACATAAAAACTAACTGCTTGGTCCCATCCAAAATAAACAAAGGCGTACATACCTGAAATATTTAACAGGTGGATAGTGAACACCTACTGTGTAAACTCGGTTTGATTATAATTGTAACTATAGAAGGGCTTACGAGATGCAGAGGTGAGGACCTTAGTCCTCTATAAGAGGTTCCAAAAAGGGTTCCTAGAGAAGGTAACTCCTAAATTGTCTAATGTTATAAAATGGGCTAGGAAAAAGCAGGGAGGAAAGAAGGGAGCAAGTTCTGGGTGAAGTAAGTAACAGCAAAGGCCCGGAGGTGTGTAATTGCGTGGTATGATGGAGGAGTTGCAAGGGGATAGGCATTACTAAAGCCCAAAGTAGACAGCCAGCCTCGTTAGGCAGAGAGGACGCTGGGAAATTAAAGAGGAATAAGGTTTAAATCTCAAAAGGCAGTTCCTTAAGAAGATTGTTGGTAGAATCCAGCTCAGAAAAAAAAAAAAAAAGAAATCATCACAGGCCATATCAAGGTCTGAGAATTTTCCAGTAAAAAGCACAAGCATGTAGACCCTTAAAACCCAGTGAACAGCATTTTTTGCAAGCCAAGGTGAAATCTTGCCTACTGAAGACAGCTCCCTAGAGAACATTGCCCTGCCCAGCAAGACCATTTCTGATGCTAACAGCTACCTGCATCCACTTGGAAGGCTTCAGTGGAATTTAACCTCCTTTAGCCAAGTTAGACATTTTCTCACACCATCAAAAATCTTTTCTTTGCCAGGCCAGAGGTGGGTCCTCTTTCTTTCAGTCATGCAAACCAGGCATTAAATGCTCTTCCAATTAGCATTGGCAACCCTGTGACCTTCTTTTCAGATGAATGACCAGTCAGTGCAAACTCAGGACCCTGTGCTTCTATTGTCCTCGCTAATGTGGTGACGTAATGATGGTGGGGGGAAAGGAGATTTAATTAACTTTATCCTGTGAATGGAATACCATCGAGACAGAATGTTACTTAAAAGCGGACACCTCTGCTTCAGAATCTGAGCTGAAAACGGAGCCCTAAGGCCTCCGTTTCATTACTCTGCATTCTGGTAGCTTCCAGGTCTTTCCAAGGTATTCCTCAGAAATTTGTCTCTGATTACTCCTCAAATCCTCAGATGGAAGAGCCATCAATGATCTTTTCTTTCAACTTAGTCACTAAAAATACTCTCTTTACACAGTACCCCATTAGTATGCAGTGATTTTACTGCATGAAATTTTTAATGATGGGAAATTGAATGACAAAATGAATAATCACCTCCTCTAGAAAATGAATTTTTAAAAAGATGGATGTCTAGCATATAACAAGTGCATCGTTAAGTCTGAAATACAGGTGCATGCTCAGAGATGTATGTATCCATCTCTGGAGTTTAAAGCCTCCAGGAGCTTTTAAACAAATATTTAGGTGTGAAATATGTTTGTTAAAACAGATACATAAAAGTCCTCCCAGGTTTCTTAGGTTGGATTTCCGTAAAGCCTCTCTTGCAGAACTTTCCTTGCTGACCTCTCTTAGAAGAGAAAGAAAATGAGAAAAAAGTCAAGAGTTACATTTAAAGCCATTGTGGTTTATGTGTATTTGAGACTGTTTCAAGTCAATTTATTTATAGAGCATTTGTCTTCCACAACATGACATACAGTGCTGCCTGACTTTGGCAATTGCCACTGAGAAGGTTGGTGATGACCAACATGCCAAGGCCAAGAAGGTGGTTGTCCTTGAATTTTCCTGTCCTGACTGGTAAAACCTTACAGCTCTCTGCCTTTGCCCATGTTGGGAAAGTGAGAATGTACTTCCTCTCCACACCTCTTCCTCAATTTGCAGGTCAGAGATAACACAAGCCCTATCCTTTGACACTTCCTTCCCATAGCTTCCCTCCTCCAGCCATCTGTGCTAATGACCAAGGTGAAGGGCAAAGGGACAATCACAGTAGCTTTTTTTTTTTTTAAGACAGGGTCTCATCGTCACCCAGGCTGGAGTACAGTGGCGTAATCATAGCTTGCTATAGCCGCACTCTTGGGCTCAAGTTATCCTCCCGCCTCAGCTTCCTAAGTAGCTGGAACTGCAGGCACAAACCGCTGCGCCCAGCTAATTTTTTTTTTTTTTTTTTTTTTTTTGAGACAGAGTCTCGCTCTGTCACCCAGGCTGGAGTGCAGTGGCACAATCTTAGCTCACTGCAAGCTCTGCCTCCTGGGTTCACACCATTCTCCTGCCTCAGCCTCCCGAGTAGCTGGGACTACAGGTGCCCACCACCACACCCGGCTAATTTTTTGTATGTTTTAGTAGAGACAGGGTTTCACCATGTTAGCCAGGATGGTCTCGATCTCCTGACCTCGTGATCTGCCCACCTCGGCCTCCCAAAGTGCGCCCAGCTAATTTTTAAAATTTTTTGTAGAGACAGAATCTTGCTTTGTTTCCCAGGATGGTCTTAAACTCCTGGCTTCAAGAGGTCCTCTCTCCTCAGCCTCCCAAACTTCTGGGATTAGAGGCATAAACCACTGTGTCTGGCCCCCAGTAGCATTCTTGATTTTAAGGCCTATGTGTTTCTCAACAGATAAAAGAAATAAATCCTAAATATCCTAAGGCATTGAATTATGTATTGAATCAACTTCTATGCATCTAGAATGGTACTAGTTATGTACCAGCCTTGAGAGAATAGTACTGAAATCAATTTCTTGTTCTGTGGTTCAGATAAAGAGCCCTGGTTCAGAAAGTTAAACTATCCTTCCTCCAAGATTATGGGAAAAAACGGAGCTGGGTCAGGAATCCAGCCAGGTCATGTTTTGCTGAGATGGGAGTTGAAGAGTACAGAGAAGGAAATGAATCCCCCAGATACCTTGAATGGGTTTCTGCTCACATACACACAGGAAAAATTGGGTGCCTTCAGCTTTGATATTAACAATCATTTATTTGCTCACTCAAAAAATTTCAGATGTCAGTTTAAGGGTGATCAATCTCCTGGATTTGCCTAGGACTGGAGGTTTTCCTGGAATGCTAGACTTTCAGTGCTAAAACCAGACAGTTCCAAGCAAACCAGGGTGGTTGGTGGGTCACTCTGGAAACCATGACCACTCATTCTATAAATACCAGTAGCCTATGAGGTGCTAGAAAGGTGCTGTGCTAAAGATGAACGTGGGAGACCATGGAAGCACATGGTGACAAGCTAATGGGTAAGTAGGGAGCTTCCTAGAGAATGTGATCTGTAGAAGTTTGGGCAAAGGTGGAGAAAGAGAAAAGAAACACAAAGGAACAGAGACATCATCATTACCATCTCCATTGTCAACATCATCCTCAGGTCCACTCTCCACACTACACCTACTCCACAGGCCCTGGAAGCAGGCTCTGGGCTGTTTGAACAAGGAATTCTGTGGTCCTGGGGACCTGGTATAGTCTAGAAGGGGTAGGAGTGTGTGGGCTCTGCGTGAGGAAGTCCCCTTGGCCTGTGTGTGGAGTACACCTGGAGGAAGGACAGAACAGAGTCCTCTAAAAGGAGGCTAAGGGAGCTTCTCTCTTACCCAAGTCTATAGACAGTGCTGAAAATGCCTGCTGGCAACACCTCCTAGAGGCCCTCAGGCATCACATCCAAAACTGAACACATGATCTTTTCACCCAGACATCCTCTCCTCTATTCTGGTCTCATTAAAAAGTGCCTCCCTCACTCTGTCACCAAAGCTACACTGAACCACTCCCAGGTATCTGGATGTGCTGTGCACTTTCCCACTCCCACATCTTTGCGTGTGCTGCTCCCTCTGCCTAGAAAGTCTTTTCCTCCTTTTCCACTGCCTGCTGAACATCTGCTTATACTTGACCCAAGCATCACATCCCCTGTGATGTCTTCCTATCTCCACCAGTGCCTCTCCTTGTGACTCAAAGTGAAATAATCATTATCTCTCAAAATATCCTTAAAGCTTGATGGTACTATTTTCTTACAGGTTGGTTGCCCCAACTAGGCTGAGCTCCTTGAGGGACCTTATTTATGTCTGTACCCTTACCACCTGGCATGATGCTGGGACATAGCTAATGCTAAATACATTTTGTTGAATGGATAGGTAGATGAATGAACGAAAATATTATCATTTTGTACATGCCTTTTTCACATGGCTTTTAATATTCAGATAGTGTTTACAAAGCATATGTTGTCTTAAAAATAATGAAAAAATTTTTTTTATCAGAGAAAGTAGCCAGCAGGGCAATTCTAATCTTCTTATGGAAGTTACTATTTAAATCAATTTGAAAATGGTAAATACGCTGGGCACGGTGGCTCATGCCTGTAATCCCAGCACTTTGGGAGGCCGAGTCCGGTGGATCATGAGATCAGGAGTTCGAGACCAGCCTGGCCAAGATGATGAAACCTCGTCTCTACCAAAAATACAAAAATTAGCCAAGTGTGGTGGTGCACGCCTGTAGCCCCAGCTACTCGGGAGGCTGAGGCAGAGATTTGCTTGAACCCGGGCAGTGGAGGTTGCAGTGAGCTGAGTTTGTGCCACTGCACTCCAGTCTGGTCAACAGAGTTAGACTCTATCTCAAAAAAAAAAAAAAAAAAAAGAAAGAAAATGCTAAATACATACTTGTTCAAATATAGCTTTCATCTTCTTTGGGTTTTTGTATTGTACAATAATTCTGTATACAATTTTTAAATTGTGGTTTTTCTCATCTTATTTAGAGAATTTATGGTTCAGACCATATTAGCTTCATGAAATTATGAATTAAAGCAATTAACCACCAAGTAATTAAGCTGTAAAAATGTTGTGCTTTCACTCTGAATGGTTTCCAGAAACAAGGTGATTGATATTTTGGTGTATTGTTGGCAGCATGGAAGGCTATATGGAGGTGTGAATTTTTGCAAAGGTACCTCAAAGTGTAACTTCATTTTCTTCATATTGGCTTGCTTTTTTAGTATCTTTTGGCAAGTTTGACAGGTAGAAATTGGGATGCCCATTCTCAAGGCTGGGAATTTGGCGTTGCTGAGGACCTCTCTGTCCTTTTTCACGCTGTCTTCCATTCCCGTTTAACTAGCTAGTCAGTATTTCTAGGCTCTGCTTGTGGAACTTGGCATAAATCATTGTCTGCTTTGAAAGATTTTTTGGATGTTCCAAATAAACTACCTACCCATCTTCTTTCTCTTCTCCATATTTCAATATTCTTTGTTCTGTGCTCAGGATCACATTATCTATTTTATCTTCCATGGAACTCTTGGTAACAATGTCAGTTTGGAAGCTCATCTGCCATTTTTGCTCTCTGTTTGAGATGCACTGACCTCTCTTCTGAAGGGAAATCAGGAACCAGGGACCAGACAGTCCGAGAAGGCAGCTGTCACCTTGATGAGGGCATGGGATCAGATGAGTACCCTGTTAAGGCTGGATTGGAAGGGTATGGATTAATTCCTGAACACTGTAAATCCCTCATGTTATTCGTTTTTATTTTTGATGCTCTGAAATCACGTCAATACAAGAAAGAGAGTATATTTGCTGGGGAATTTTCCCCTCTTGTGGCTTCAGAATATCTGCAGAGAGCCTTTCCTGGAAGGGAAGAGCTTAGTTTCCCCTCTGTATGAGGAAATAGGAGTCACTTAGGGAATATATCTTTCTTCTTTACAATAACAGGATTGATTAGGAATGAAAGAGCTTATGTTTTGCCAGGAGTAAGTTTTTTTCTTTTTTTTAGATGGGGTTTCACCATATTGGCCAGGCTGGTATTGAGCTCCTGACCTCAAGTGATCCGTCCGTCTTGGCCTCCCAAAGTGCTGGGATTACAGGTGTGAGCCACTGCACCAGGCCAGGGGTAAGTTTTTAATTTTTTTTATTTTTTTTGAGACACAGTTTCACTCTGTTGCCCAGGCTAGAGTGCAGTGGCACAATCTTGGCTCACTGCAACCTCTGCCTTCTGTGTTCAAGCAATTCTCATGCCTCAGCCTCCCAAGTAGCTGGGATTACAGGCACACGCCACCATGCCCGGCTAATTTTTGTATTATTAGTAGTGATGGGATTTCGCCATGTTGGCCAGGTTGGACCCAAACTCCTGACCTCAAGTAATCTGCCTGCCTTGGCCTCCCAAAGTGCTGGGATTACAGGCATGAGCCTTTGCGCCTGGCCAAGGGATAAGCTTTTTAATGACCAAATATTTCCTTAGAAATTTCATTTTCAATTTAATTTGAAAGATTTCAAATGTACAAAAAGTTGAAAAATAGTATCTTAACCACTCATATACTATCCACCTAGGTTCAGCAATGGCTGATGTTTGTTACATTTGCTTTACTTTCTCTGTCTCTGTCTCTTCCTTTCTCTATACACACATACACATACACACCACATACAGACATGCAGATTTTTTTGAAGTGAATCATTTTAAAGTTGTAGACATCATACATCAGCACCAAATTCCAGCATATTTCTCCTAAGAACAAGGATATTCTCCTGTAAAACCACAACACCGTTATCAAACTGTTTAAAAAATTGCGTATCAGCCGGGCACGGCGGCTCATGCCTGTAATCCCAGCACTTTGGGAGGCCAAGGCGGATGGATCACTTGAGCCCAGGAGTTTAAGACCAGCCTGGGCAACATGGTGAAACCCCATCTCTACTAAAAATACAAAAATTAGCTAGGCATGGTGGTGTGTGCCTGTATTTTCAGCTACTTAGGAGGCTGAGATGGGAAGATCACCTGAGCCTAGGAGGCAGAGGTTGCAGTGAGCTGTGATCGCACCACTGCACTGCAGCCTAGGCAACACAGTGAGACCCTGTCTCAAAAAAATAAATAAATTCCACATCATCTTAGATCTCATCTATATTTAGGTTTCCCCATTTGTTCCCCAAATGCTTTTATAGCTGTTTTATTTTCTCTAACTCAGATCCAACAAGAGCCATACTTTGCAAAGTTATATCTCTTTAGACTTTTTATTTATTTATTTATTTAAGAGACAGCCTTGCTCTGTTGCTCAGGCTGGAGTGCGATGTGGCATGAGCCAAGCTTACTGTAGCCTCGAACTCCTGGGCTCAAGTGACTTTCCTGCCTCAGCCTCCCAAGTAGGTGGGTCTACAGGCATATGCCACCACACCTAGCTAATAGACTCTTTTTTTGTTTTTTTTTGAGACGGAGTCTTGCTTTGTCACCCAGGCTGGAGCACAGTGGTGTGATCTCAGCTCACTGCACACTCCACCTTCCGGGTTCATGCCATTCTCCTGCCTCAGCCTCCCCAGCAGCTGGGACTACAGGCGCATGCCACCACGCCCAGCTAATTTTTTTGTATTTTTAGTAGAGACGGGGTTTCACTGTGTTAGCCGGGATGGTCTCGATCTCCTGACCTCGTGATCTGCCCACCTTGGCCTCCCAAAGTGCTGGGATTACAGGCATGAGCCACCGCACCAGGCAACTCATTTTTTTGAGATGGAGTCTCTCTCTGTCATCCAGGCTGAAGCGCAGTGGCATGATCTCCGGTCACTGTAACCTCCACCTTCCAGGTTCAAGCAATTCTCCCGCCTCAGCCTCCCGAGTAGCTGGGATTACAGGCATCCACCATGACGCCCAGCTTATTTTTGTATTTTTAGTAAAGATGGGGTTTCACCATGTTGGCCAGGCTGGTCTTGAACTCCTGATCTCAAGTGATCCACTCACCTCAGCCTCCCAAAGTGCTGAGATAACAGGCATGAGTCACCACGCCCCACCTAGACTCTTAATTCCTTTAATCTAGATCAGTTCTCCCACCTTTGCTTGTTTATTCATGACACTGATATTTTTGAAGACTCAGGACAGTTTTCTTTTAAAATGTTTACATTTTAGATTTGTCTGATTGTTTCCTCATAGTGTCATTTAACTTGTACCTCTACCTCTGCATTTCCTATAAATTACAATTTAGTCTAAAGGCTTGACAAGATTAAGCTTGAAGACTTTTGGCAAAAATACTTCGCAGGTAATATTTGTGTATTTCACACTGCATAATCTCAAGAGCATCTAATAGCAATTGTTCCACTATTAGTGATGATATATTTGATCACTTAGTTATGATGACATTTACCAGACATCACCATTGTAAAGCTACATTTCCCGCTTTAATTAAGTCATCTTATAAAGTCATCTGTGGGGCAAAGCTCTGTCTTTGTGTGAATATTCTGTTTCCCCAAATCTTTACCTAGTGATTTTATCACCCATTGATGATCCTTGTCTAAATCAATAATTACATTGTAGGTTGAAAAATTATGGGTTTTCTATTCTGTAATCCCTTCTGCATGTACTAGCTAGCATTCTTTTTGTAACGAAGTACTTTCTTTTCCCTTTCTCTCTTGTTGTAAGCATTACTATTGACTGGCAGAATTTTTTTTTCTAATTCAGTGTATTATAATCAGTTACATTCACATTAATTTTTGGTGCTCAAGTTGTCTCATATTTGGCCAGTATGGACTATTCAAGCCGCTCCTGTGTCCTTTTATCTTTTTGATATTTCTCCATCCATTTTTGGGTACTTTCTTGCTTTCTGGCACAAAATGTTCCAGACTCACCTTGTACTTTCTCTGCTTGGACCCAGGATCAGCATTTTATTCAAGGATCCTCAGAGACTTTTAATGCATCCTTTTTTTTTTTCATTCTAAACTTTAAAAAAGTCACCATTTTATATATTTTGCACTCATCCTGTCCATAAACACTTCAATGGCTCTCCCTAGGCCTTCAGAAACATTTCCTCTCAATACAGCCTTTATCCTGAACCCTTGCTCTCAGCACTCAATTCTTCATGCCATCTCTGTGTAGCTCCTTCAGTTCTTCCCCAAGGTGTCATATTTGGGGGTGTAAAAAGTGAGCACTGGATCAAACTGGAATATGGATAATATCATAAAGCCCACTGGGAAGCGGCAGGTGAAAGGTTGAGATGGGCAGGGCCTGGACAAAAGAAAAGCATGGACCCTCAGCCAGCAGGATGCAATTATAACTGCCTTTGGCAGAGAGACCACATCTTCCCACAGCCCCCACTCTGATCCTTACACTTGCTGCTGCTGCTGGTGTTGCTGCTGCTTTGTGCCGCCTTTCTGGGAGGCAGAGAAGCCTTGGAAAGAACAGGAGCTTTGCTTTATTCTAAGAGTTCAATACTTGGTCTCCTTAGGGAGACCCCAAGGTCAGGAGAGAAAAAGAGTGACAGCCATTGCCCCAGTTCCCCATTCCAATATTCATACAAACCCATTAGACTATTATTTGGACTGTTTGTACCCATGTTAATTTTCTCTTGTGTTCAAGTTTCTTTATTTGAATATATTTTGTCTTATATACAGCCATACCACCCTGAATGCACCCAATCTTGTCTGAATATATTTGGTCTAGGTTTACTGTGTCTCTTAGTAGTAAATAAAACTGGAATAATTTTACTTGCCAGTGATTCTTAGTTAACTTTATCGTATTAAAACTTTTAGTTGTGACCAAAAGCTCTCCTTCAGCAGCGTCCTTCTGTGTCAAGTGAAGTTATCTCCAGCAAGCCCTGCGTTCTGTTTCCCCTCCCCAGCAAGCACCTCATGGGCTGTGCTCTCTTCTGTCTCCGAGTCACTTGACATTGTATAGGGGACCCCTTGTTGCACAGGGACTACTCAGGAAGTAGGGATTTGCATCCACATCACCACCAACTAGCTCTGTCATCTGGAATAAGCCCCGCATAGCCTCTCTGGGCCTCAGATGGCAAGTCTGTCACATGATCTCTTGATTTAAAGGAGATTAGTAAAGTCCCTTTGGATAGTAAGAACCAGCATAATATTAACTTTTCTTGCTGTCACTTAACAATATGAATTGGTTTTGTTTAAGAACCAGGTGCTCGTTGGATTAAATTTAGAAAATTGGCCTGCCTGTGATCTTTCTCTTTCTGCCTCTCTCTCTCTCTCTCACCCTCACTAAAAGCAGCACATGCACGCTGCTAGGAATCCTTTCCCTCAAGTTATAGATCGTTTCAGTGGGAAGAGATTTCAGAGGTCATTTAGTGCAACCCTCTAATGAGGAAATTAAGACCCTAAAGTTGGGGTGATTTGCCCAAGATCCTGCATAGTTGGAGAAAGAGTCAGATCTAGAACCCATTTCCCTGGCTCCAAGCTGGTCTCCTATATCATATGAATGACTGACTCCCATTGCTACCCTCTTTAAAATTCTGCTGATTCTCTAACCCAGCCATAGCAACTGCGGTAACCCCCATCTTCCACCCTTATCACCTCTTCGTGTGTGTTTTTATTATTTTGTTGTTGTTGTTGTTTCTTGAGACAGGGTCTTACTCCAGTTGCCCAGGCTGGAGTACAATGGCATAATCTTGGATCTTGGTTCACTGTATCCTTGACCTCCTGGGCTCAGATGATTCTCCCACCTCAGCCTCCTGAGTAGCTGGGACTACAGGAGTGCAATACCACATCCGGCTAATTTTTTGTATTTGTAGTAGAGACGGGGTTTCGCCATGTTGTACAGACTGATCTCAAACTTCTGGTCTCTCTGCCAAAGGCAGTTATAATTGCATGCTGCTGGCTGAGGGTCCATGCTTTTCTTTTGTCCGGGCCCTGACCATCTCAACCTTTCACCTGCCGCTCAAACTTCTGGGTTCAAGCGATCTGCCTCTGCCTCCTAAAATGCTGGGATTACAGGCGTGAGCCACCATGCCCAGGCTGTGTGCATTTTTAATCACTTCTCATTATGCTAATAGTAACTAACTTTTTCAAACACTGTATCCACTATGTTGTTGGAACTGTGCTAAGCATTTTACATTTAGTGTCACATTGAATCCCCATGTGACTTATAGGGGCAGTTCTGCAACCATTCAAGTTTACAGATGGAGTAGCTAAGGCAAAAAGGATTTACATAATTTGCCCAATGTCACACAGCTAGTAGGCCTCAGATTTCTAACTAATTTCTGCCTGAATCCCAGACTCAAACAGTGTGCTTTTCTGCTTGGGAGTACTTGTTTTCTCATTCACTCATTCATTAATCACAGGTTCTTCAGTACCTGCTAGTGCCCAACACTGAAGTAGGCACTAGGAGAACAAAGAAACAAATAGAGGCCAGGTGTGGTGGCTCACACCTGTATTCCCAGCACTTTGGGAGGCTGAGGCAGGTGGATCACTTGAGGTCAGGAATTCGAAATTCTTTCTGATGTCTAAAACTTTTATGACTAAAAACTTTCCGAAGGCAAGATTTAAACCTGTGGTTTGTAGGCCAGGCGCAGTGGCTCACGTCTGTAATCCCGCCACTTCGGGAGGCTGAGGCGGGTGGATCACCTGAGGTCAGGAGTTCGAGACCAGCATGGCCAACGTGGTGAAATGCTCTCTCTACTAAAAATACAAAAAATTAGCCAGGCATGGTGGCCCGTGCCTGTAATCCCAGCTACTCGGGAGACTGAGGCAGGAGAATCGCTTGAACCCAGGAGGCAGAGGTTGCAGTGAGCCGAGATCGTGCCACTGCACTCCAGCCTGGACAACAGAGTGAGACTTTGTCTCAAAAAAAAAAAAAAAAAAAAAAAAAAATCTGTGGTTTCTAGAATATAATGGGCTGCAGACAGAAATAATTCTTGTCAGACAGAAAATAGAGATTGGAGTTGAGAAAGCAGGTTTACTGCTGAGAGGCAAACTAAAGTATGGGTTCATATGGAATTTGCAGATCCCACTAAAATTGTGTTAACAAACAATCAGCAATAAGAAAAGTTGAATACCTACTATATACTAGGTACCATGATGGGCACCTGGAAGATAGAAAGACAAGGAAGACAACCAGAACATTCAGCCCAGTAAGAAGTAAAGCAAGGTTGGGGTGCGTATAATATCTTATTGTGGATGTGATCACAAGTGGCTGAGCTTTAGGATTGTCTGAAGCATCTTGGAAAAGAGAATTATTTTCCATTGGGAGGTAGAAAATGACAAAATGAGATATTCTAGGAGTTTAAGAAGAGGAGACATAGTTTAGGGTTTGAAGTGAGGACATGAAAGTAGGCCTGGTGGCCCTCCAGTCTTTTCTTCCTCCTCTACGTCAAGGGGCAGGTTCCCTTAAGATTGGAGTTTGATTTACTTTAATTGTACTAGTGTAGACCAACTCATTCCTGAGGCTGCTACACACTTATGAGTGAATCATTTAACTATTTTTATTTCATTGCTAGACTTTGGAATTTATTGAGTCAACTTAAAATCTTAAAAACAATACATTTGGTCAGTTTGGCCTGTGGCCCAGTTTAGTTTGAACAGAGATATCCACATCTCTTCATTGGAGACTGCTTCACAGTTATTGAATTATGGAGTGAACATAATACTGTCATTAACAGTACAAAATCATTTCTTCCAATAATGATGTTGGCTAATGACTTCCTCTCCACTAGAACTTTGTATCCTTCATTCTGAAGTTTTATGATGCAGTAAAATAAAAGAAACAGTAACAACAACAAATGGAGTTTCCTGAAGAGAGGTAGAATCTTAATTCTTCAGACAGTTAGCTTTTGTAGCTCTTTAGACATTAGTTTTAATACATTAAAATATGCCAACTAGCCTTGAGGGAGTTAAAATAGATGGCCTCCCAAGGTTCTTCCCAGCCCCAGCATTCTGAGATATTTCATCTAGGTATTGATCCCTTTTTCAGTGATTTCACTTGTGCAGTATGCCTTTATTCCAGTAAGCACTGGGCTGTGAAAGTTACACAATCCTTTTGCAAAAGGATTGAAGTTGAACAGGTTTTTACAATATGGCAGGCTCCTGAAGGGCTATCTTCCTGGAGGTTCCAGCCCAACCAACAAGCTGCCTCTTTATACCAGTCTGTGCTATGTAGTTTTATAAATTGAAAATGGAAAATTTCCCCCTGACTTTGAGGGCAGTATATTTGTAGTTCTGTGGTATGTGATGATCTAATACCCTGAAAGCCTGTTACCATTCGACAAAAGCTGAGGTCAATTATGATTCCCCATCAGTGACCCACAGCATCTCTCATGCTTTTCTCTGCAGTCTATTTTGAAGAGCAGTCACTGTAACATTTTTAAAGGGAACCAGAATTATTATTCCAATGATAAACTGCTACACAGACAGACATTCTTTTATGATTCATTGAAGTGCAGGTCTTAAGAGGTTATGCATTCTGTCTCAGTGTTTATTAAAGAGAGTGAAGACAAATAGATCAGAGAACAAATCAAACATTGCACATCATAGATGCCAAGCACAACAGAATAATCCTCCAATATTAATATATAGGCTACATAATCCCACTGTGCAAAAACATGTTTTATTCAGGAAAACAACAAATCAAGTAATCTCTCTATAGAAAGCCATTTACACTTCATTTGGAAATTGAATTCATAATCTTTAATAAAGCCTGTTTATACCAAAGATGGAGTTTCAAATAAATAAAACAAAACACAATGATAAATTAGCTTCCTAGCCTTTATATGTTTATTGCATTGTAATCATTCAAACCCACTGAAGTCAAATTTGTTTTACCAATTTCCTAAATTCAATCCAATAAGCACCTCATTCTTACACAAAACCAATTTATATTGTTAAGTGACAGCAAGAAAAATTAATATTGTGCTGGTTCTTACTATCCAAAGGGACTTTACTAAATGTAAATAATAGGATTTTACCATCCAGAAATCTATTATTCAAATGTAAATTCTTAGCACATATTCTGATACCCTTAAAATGGCAATGAAATAAAAAGCTGACCCTGGGGAACATGTCATACCCAACATGTTAAATAGGATGCCCAGGGCCTTGGTTAGAAAATAAAGAGCCATGCTAGAATTGTATTGAAAAATCATGATGACAAAGCCCTTTCCATTTAAAAATCACAGTTCATCAACATCATCGAATCAATGGCTGGAAATGAATGGAGAGGTGGTCTCATTCTGCTCTCTGCTTGGCACCCAGCTTTGGATAATGCATTCACGTCACTAGCTACAAATCAGGCCAAGAGACTCTGCTCAGCAAATTCCCTAGGACAGCAGGGTTTCTCCTCGGCAGAGGCCCAAGCTGGGCTGAAGCCTCCCTGCTGCTGCCTGCTGCAGACCTTCCTCCCCCTGATCCACTCTCAGCCTCTGGGATGTCGGCTGTCCCAGGAAATCCAAAATGCTTTCCCTTGTAGGAGCTTGAACACATGCAATCTTTCTCAACACCGGGGCTGCAAAGGCCTTAAAACATTTACTCCTCCCAAGTCTGCCTTATTAAACGATGTGAGAGATTTTTCTTAAGTGGGATTCTCTGACTGAGGTTGCTGTTTGAAAGGAGACCTGTGGCCATGTGGGGCAAGTCTGAGATAGGCTCTATTTAAGCCGAGCACTTCACGTCATTCCACTCTGCCTTGTTTTCAGTTGAGGGAAGGGAGGGATGATGATTCCTCTTGGGGGAATGTGGGAGGAAAGGTAAACAGTGCACGTGAACTTCCAAGAGCTGCCTAGAACCAAGAAAGGCACATTCTCTCCTTCCCATTCATGGGGCAAATATTTACCGAGCCAGGACTCTGCATAGCGTTGCATGTAGCTCGGTAATGGCTTCACAGGACCCAGAGTTTTAGGACTATGGAGGCTCCCTGTATTCACCTAGTTAAGCTTGTATGGGGAATGGGGAAAAAAGTATTTCATAGACAGGCAGACCTGGTTTGAATCCTATGGCACCACTTAATAACTGTTGCCTTTGAGGGAGTCACTTGGCTTCTCTGAGCTTCAGTTTCCTCGCCTGTACTTTACAGGATAATAGCATCTATCTTGGAGTGTTGCTGTGAGAATGAGAGTTAGTGCATGTCAAGTGCCTAGTTCAGGGTCTGGCACTGAGTCAACACATTTTCTACCATCCTGCCCTCACTGTCTGCCCCCTGCCCTCCCAGACCCCTTATCGAAGGGTCTGGAGGCATCCAGCAGTGCAGCCCTTAGTCACTCTCCTCTCTTGGGCAAGCCTTACTTCCATGTCAGAGTTGCCAGGTCTTTGAGAGCAGGAGCTGTATGCTGCTCAGCTCTGCATTCGCCCCAGGACCAGCCGCAGCTCCACGGTGGGCGGTGCTGGCAAGGCTTGCTTGAGAAATGGAGGAGAAGCCAGTCTCTCTCTCTCACTCTTTCTTCCTCTCTCTTTCCTTCTCTGTTACCTTCTCTGCTGCAGTCAGGCCTGCAGCCAGAAAAAGCCCAGATCTCCTGCCATTGTTTCCTGCAGGCTCCACACTCCTGAGCAGCTGAGGAGGGGAGAAAAACAAGGCTGTTAACAGGGGGTGCTTCTTTAGCTTCCTGAGCCAGCCCACATTCCCAGAGGGGAAGCTTTTGGGGGGATGAGGGAAGAGGAGAGGGTATATATCCAGGAGTTCTGAGAGAGTGCCAAGCCACTCCTGAGTCTGTTTCCTCCCCCAACATTAAATCAACACAGTGTCCCCAAATTCACAGCACCCCTCCTCCTTCTGGGTGAGATTAAGGGAGTTAAGTGCCTTTACTGAGCACTACTGTAGCCTAGGCACTATGCATGAGGATTTACAGTTCGGCTTAGTTCATCCTCAAAACATAGAGATATAGAGTACATCTTATTAGCTCTGTTTTACAAATGAGGAAACCGAGACTAAGAGAGATTGAATCGCTCCCCCAAGCTACAGCCAGAAAGTACCTTGGCTGGGATTTGAGGGCCCCAGGCTGTCTGACTCTAGAGCCCACCCCCTCAGCTTCAGCAGGCTGCCTCCCTCCCCGCCACCTGCTAGGGAAGCAGCTGACTCATGGCTTTTGATTCATTCAGTTCTCTTCTGCATTAACATTGCTTCATCCTAATGAACAAATATTGCATTATGCATTTCTCACTTTGCAAACATCTACATGAGGCTGTTTGCCTGCAAGCCCAAAAAATCACTGCATTTTCAGGTGACATCTTGACAGGCTGGCTTGTGGGTAGGTTAAAAAAAGAATCATAGAATGTTAGAGCCCTTAAAGATGGTCCTAAATCAGAGATTCTTAGGCTAGGGTTCAAAAGCAAACCTCAGGGGAGTCTCCAAAGCCCTGAATTTGTACATACATGTATTTTTCGTAGGATAAAATTTCAGTACTTTCATCAGATTCTCAGAAAGGTTTGAAGTCTCAAGGGATAAAAGCTGTCCACAGTTTATCCGAGCAAGGGCCTCACATTCCCAGGCGTGCTGCTGCCACTGTTGCATGAGCCAGCACAATTTGTGATAGAGAAAACCCTGAGCTCAACGCCAGAAGCAGAATCTGAGCTCTGAATCTTCTGGCAAACATTTTAAAGACTCATGAATTATTAAAACGGCTAATTAAGTCAACCTTCACCAGAGAATATTTGCTTTTCCCCCTCATCATTGAGCTCACTGTGAAACTTTACTTCACTCCATGGTTTGCTTAAGCACAAGGTCAATTTCTTTCGTTCCTTCTTTGCTGGTCTCAGAAGGAGAGCTTTGAGTGGCCTGCTGTGGTGTAGAGTAGCAGCCTGCTGTACCTCAGTGTACACAGCTGGGAGGCTCTGAACCCATTTTCTCTTCTCTGCCATCTGTGATTTGGCTCCATGCAGCCTATCGCCCACCTTAGGCCCACACTCTTTATTCCGCCCAGTCACTGTCCTCAGTGGTTCACATCCGCCATGCCTGTTCCTACAGCTCCCCCTCCTACCAGGATCACCCTCCCCTCTAGCATGCTGTAATTGGCCTTGAACCAAAAAATATGCCACGATCATCAAGTCAGCCTAGCCCTCTATTTTGCAGTGCATTAACCAGGTCTCTTTTTCTCCCTTCCCTCCACAACTAAATCCTACTTTCAAGACCCCTCTTCCATTCTACCTCCTTTGTGAAATCTCATTGTTTCATCTATTTTGATTTTATCTATTTTCAACTAGATTTAAGCTCCTCAAGAGCAAGAACTTATTTTCCATTCTTCTATTTACCAATAGCTTATGTACCAAGCTAGATGTCATACAAAAATTGTATTAATCAAGAAGTAGGCTTTTCTCCACCCTGCCTCATCCCTAATCTTTGAAATTGGCCACTTGCCAAGACAGTCCATTGCAAAATGAAAATGTAGGGCCCTAGCTGGGGCAAGAAACTCAATCTCCTCCTTCCCATAGGCCCACTCTCCCAACCCAGGGTCAATAGGTGATTCCTTAAGAGACTACAGCTTCCATGCCAGGATGCAGCAGGTACTTGAATAAGGGATGGGTGAGAGGGCTCCATCAAGTCACCAGCCAAATGCACTGTGGCAGTGCCAGCCCAGGACAGGGATCGCTGCTACCTTGCTCTACCCTGACGTGCCAGGGGGCGCATACCCAACCTTCCCCATGCCTGTGCCCAGGCCCCTGCCAGGAATAGAGGGCAACAGTGGAACACAGGCACCCCCCACTAATGCAACCTGGCTGTCACCCCAGGTGGACAGTGACAGCAATCACAGGGCTAGGGTAGCGGGGAGGCCAGGTGGGAAAGGGAGGCTGGGTGTGGCCCGGTACGCCAGGAAACAGAGGGCAGACTGTCAGTAACCCATCCTGGGGAGATGAGAAGTCCTAGGAAACCAGGATAGTCAAGGTTTCAAGACCCCAGGCACACGCTTCATTGTTCCATTGAGCTTCACTTACTGAATACAAACTCAAAGACAAAATTACTAAGAATTTGAAGGTGGTAATGCAGAGCACTAAATGTCAAGAGTTGCATCAGTGGGGATTGGCTTGTGTTACACTATTGCCCTCTGTGGGCCCCTTTTTAGTGTGGAGCCCTGTGTGACTGCATTAGTCACAGGCCTATGAAGCTGGCCCTGCTTCCCAGTCTGTTTCCTGAAATCTTTGGCATAACTCTACCTGTAAAAATACAGAAGAACAGTGAGTAATTCACTTAGGGAATCACAGAGCTACCCTAATTGCGATGAGTGTCACTGTTTGTCTCTTCTATACTTATATGTACACAAGAACTCATGACTCGGAAATATACCTGTAAGGGGATGAATAAAATTGGCCAGTAATATTAATATTGTAATAATAATATTATTTAATATTCAGCAATCAGATATACAGCTTTGGTAGAAAATTCTGTGTTTTTTTTTTAAGTTAGCCACACCTACCTCTCCTTTCCCCACTGAAGTCATTCTCCTCCTTATCTTCCACAAAACTCGAGAATCTTTGATGTTTGTCAGAATAGAAATGGTTAAAACAAATTTTACTCAATTCCTATTAGGCCTCAAACAGAAGATTAATGCAGCGTCACACTTTGGTTTTAAACCCATTGTTAACCACTATAAGCTGTGTACTATTTTTCTCTCCCTCACATCTTTAATTCATGACTGTAGCTGTATATTTATCCTGAAAAGATTTTTAAAAGGTTGATTGATCCAACTGGCACTGGCCTGGATTGGATCCCATGATGGATAATGTTTTGTTTTTTTTTCAAACACAAGTAAGCAGTCCCTTTCCTCAACAGCTGAAGTCTTGATAGAGTGAAGTAGCCTTCAAGAGCTGAATTTCTGATCATGGCTGGGGCAAGACCTGCTGCCTATTTGCACTGATGACATCTGGGAAAGAGAACTGGATGCTCAGTTGACGCTGAATTTCTCTTTTTTCTTTTAAGCATCCTCAGACTTTGGCTGGATATGTATGCCTTGTCTAGCACCCAGCTGCTAGGTTAACATCTGTGCATTGCTAATTAGTTGGGGAGTTTTGTAGCCCACAGGAGTTAGGTACACTGCCTAATAAATGTAACAGAACAAGAGTCTAAGAATGGAAATGAGCTGCTGGGGATGCTGGATTGTTTTGCATATTGGTGTCCGGATCCTGGGAACAAAGTCCTTCATGGTTGCTAGTTCCTACTCATCTGCAAGCATTTCCAGGGACAGAGCTGGTTTTATTTATCTCTTGGTGTCTACTACATAGTTGGCACTCAATAAATACTTAATGAATTCATACAGCTCTGCCTTCCTTCTTTCTGTCCATCTCACCTCCAAACTCTTCCCCTGGAATTAATGTTACTATCACTGGCTACGTCTTTGTTAGGAATTTTTCCTGTAAGTTTAGTTACCTGGTCTGATGAAGCAACAACACTTTTTTTGGCATGCTTTCTGGACCAATGAAATTCCAATTGATTGCTTCTTTTCTGGACTTCCATACTACAGAAGCAACTTTGAACCCAGGGTTCCCTGGAGAAATGACAGGTGACTCCTTCCCTTACTAGCTCAAGAGTTCACTGATAGGATCTATTAAAATTTTTCTGTGAGTTGTTTCTCTAGAAGTGAGGAATTGAATTATAGACCCAAACCCTCATTAAGCCAATATTCATTTTCCTCTTTTTTTCATGGAAATCAGTAATAAATCTTGATTTGCCTCCTTACTCAGTCCCTCAGCTAATAAAATCAAGGTGTTTCCTGAAATTAGATTAAATAATTTGACTCTCTTCTTTCTAGAAGTTTTAGAGCTCTCACTGACCTTTCTTGAAGAACCAGAAATTATTCTTATTTTTTCTTTCAGTGGCCTGTGAATATCCTGTCATTCAAAAAGCAAAAGTAAGAAGAAGGGGTAAGATAAAAAAAAGGGAGGAAAACTGAGAGTTTCCACTAACTAGTGGTGTGGTTCCAGACTCTTTTGGAGCCTCAGTTTCCTTTTTGTGAAATTCAGGACTCAGATGAAAAAGCTTTCTTTAAATGTCCTTTTTTGGCTCTGAAAGTCTAGGTATCTCAGTGGGATACAGGCTCCATAGATAGACTGTAATTCACCAGGTTTAAGGAAATTGTTTTCTTTGTGATAGAGCAATTTTTTTCTCTTTCTTCCTCTTTTTCTTTTTCTTTAATAGAACAGAACAAAATGAGCTCAGATCATAAGTTCGGTTGATTTCTTTCTAAACCACAGGGTTCATTTTCTGAAATTGCTGTCTTTTCCTTCAAAAGCCTTCCTCAGCCTTGTCAGCCAGCTCTATCACTTTTATATTAGATCTCTGTGAAGTAAGGAAGCCTTTTAGAGTAGGCTTGGAATGTGCAACAACAGGGCACAGGTGTGGCTGAAGAGGGCCTCTGTATGAACCCCCAGGAAGCCAAATTGGCCTCCCCTCCATCATTTCCTAAAATCTAGAACCCTATCCAGAATCTGAATGCACAAAATGCTGTTTGTCAATCAACCCATGGATAATTATTTTTCAAGTGACTATTAAGTGCATGAAACTCTTGATCCCTTATATTTATAACCCAATAATTATACAGGCCTCACTTTTCAAAATCAGAGAAAGCTTTGTTATTGAGATTTAAAGACAACATTTTCCTAAAAGGAGATCATCTCAGAAAACTATAGAGATTAAGAATTTTCAGTAGTCAGATTAGGTCTGAGTTCTAGCCCTTCCATTTACTAGAGGGGTAAGCTTTCAATTCCCTAAGCTTCAGTTCCTCCTATATAAAATAGAGATAATAAATAATACCCCCCTCATAAGGTAGAGCAAGGAGTCACTAAAATAAATTATGAAAAGGGCTTAGCATAGCGTCCAGCACGTAGTAAGAGTGCTCAATAGGTTCAGTTATTATTCATCATGATATGGCATTAATAATACATAAGATAAGAGACCTTTGTTGGACCCAATCTGTGGCCTCAGGCATCATATGCCCTTGTGGATTTCTCTTGGGCCCCTAAAGAAAAGGTAAAGTTGGAAAATGCTAGTATGTTCCAGTCATTGAAAGTAATTGTCAGGCACAGAAAGACAAACTTCATATGTTCTCACATATTTATGGGAGCTATAAATTAAAATAAATGAACTCATGGAGATAGAGAGCAGAAGCGTGGTTACCAGAGGCTGGAAGGGGTAGTTGGGGGTCAAGGGGAAGTGGAGATGGTTAATGGGTACAAAATAGAAAGAATGAATAAAGACCTACTGTTTGCTAGCACAACAGGTCGACTATAGTCAAAAATAATTTAATTGTACATTTTAAAATCACAAAAAGATTATAATCGGATTGTCTGTAACATAAAGGATAAATGCTTGAGGGGATGGATACCCTGCTTACCCTGATGTGATTATTACACATTGCATGACTGTATCAAAGTAGCTCATGTACCCTGTAAATATATACACCTGCTATGTACCCACCAAAATAAAAAATAAAAATTTAAAAAGAAAGTAAGTAATGGTAAATTTCTTTGAAATACCTCAAAATATATTTTAATGTAAAAACTGCTTTCTTCAGGGAAAGAGAGAGAGAATAAAATAACTTAAACAACTAAAAGAATTAAGAAGTTCTTAAAAAGAGAGAGGGGGGAATGATTTTTGGCCCTTTGTTGATGGTACAGGTGCGTTGGAGTTCTCACCCTTGGTTGCGATTGTGCTCTGGCTCTAGCCAATGGAGGAGGGAGTGAATGACAAGGAGAGGAAAGGAGAAGGAATGAGGACAGTCATGGGGCCATGGCACCATATGGCCTGAAACAGCCCAGGACTCAGTAATGTTTGCTGAACTGAAAGCCTCTATTCTTCTATCATCCCCCCCGACTTTCCAGTCCCTGGAAATCAGATAGTGTTATAAACCTGGAGGGCCAAGGCAGATGATAGACAGTGACTCATTGCGTGTAGGGAGGATGGCCTGGGTGAAACAGCAGTCCTAGTTTTTACTTAGGAATTCAGACCCATGTTGAGATGAAGCTCACACAATCCCTTAGGGCAGGGGGTGGCTCAAAAGGCCCAAAGGAATGTGTGCTTGGGTTTGAATCTGCCCTAGCTCCTGACTGAAGCCAATGTGGGGTCAACCACAGCCATCCATGGATCGCTAAGAGGGTTTGCTTATATTACCACATCAACAGCAGATTTCCTCTGGCCCCCAGTCAGCCAGGAATGGATAAACAACAGAAGTGCAGAATGGCTTTACCAAGTCTAGCTCCAAATTATGAGATGTCTCAGTCTAAGGTGTAGCCCAAGCAATCCTTGGGACAAGCTGATCGAGCTGGCTGGCCAGATCCCAAAGGTGGAGATGACCTAAGTGGAGAAAGGAAAATTTTACCCAAACAGAAGTGAAGATAGCAATTAGACCTAGCCAGCCACTCAGGTACAGCGAGAGCCCATTTGAATTGGAAAAGAAAAGAAAAAAAAAAAGAGGTATGCAAACCATAACTAAATTGTTGGCGGGAAGACACAGCAGAACAGGAAATGTGCATGCAGATAAGTGAAGCCTCCATTAATGGCTTCACTGCATTTATCAAAAGGGATTTCAATTAACGTGATGAAGACCAAGGCAATTACAGTAGGAAGAAAAGATGAATTTAAGATTAATCTCCTCTGTTGTTTCCTTACAGCAATTTATAAGGGAAATGCTTCAGGTGAGAGCCTAGTTGGGAATTAACCCAAAGAAGATGAGAATCAGATCTGTTAACAGAGAAGAACCCTAAAGACAGTGACTCCCAAACTTGGCTATACATTTGAACCACTTAGGGAGCTTTTAAAACTTCCAAAGGCCATGGCCCAGACCAATTACATCACAATCTCTAGGGGTGGGACACAGGCATCAGAATTCTCGAAGCTCCTCACTGTGCAGACAAATTTGCGAACCACTGTTAATGAGCAATATGCATGATGGAGGCGTGTTAGGAAATAGCATGCGAGGTTACAGGTAAATAAATACAGCCATTAAGAAATGGCAATAGGCCTGGCACAATGGCTCATGCCTGTGATCTCAGCACTTTGGGAGGCCGAGGTGGGCAGATGGCTTGAGCCCAGGAGTTCGAGACCAGCCTGGCCAACATGGCAAAACCCCGTCTCTACTAAAAATAAAAAAATTAGCCAGGCGTGGTGGCGCACACCTGTAATCCCAGCCACTAGAGAGGCTGAGGCAGGAGAATCGCTTGAACCTGGGAAGTGGAGGTTGCGGTGAGCCAAGATTGCATCACTCCACTCCTGCCTGGGTGATAGAGCAAGACTCCATCTCAAAAAAAAAAAAAAAAAAAAAAAAAAAAAAAAAAAAAAAAGAAATGGCAAGAAATTCACTTGCCTTAGAACAGAACAGGATCTGTGTCTCTTGTTTTCTTTTTTTGTAATTTTAAAAAGTGTTTATCAGTGTTCGAGAAAAATGGATGAAGAGACAGGGGCACTTTCTTTTTTTTTTAATCAACCAGAGTTAAATTCAAGTAATTTTTGAGTGAGGCCCTTGAACTTGATGTCTGGGAGTGGGATAGAAAACAAAGGGGTTCATTGCCATTATGGATAAAGCAATTTATATATTTTTGCTTCATAGAATGTTCATATCCATGACCTAATTTTAACTTGCATCTCTGTGAAGTAGGCAGAGAAAGTATTATTTTTCTCTCCCACTTCCACAGATGGGAAAACAGATAGAGTCTCATGATTTACTCAGCATTACAGAGCAAAGTTAGTGGCAGGAACAGGAGCAGAATTTGGTTCTTCAGAAATTCCAGTTAAATGTCCTTCCTCTAAACTGTGTTGCCTTCCTGCCCTTGAAGAGCTCTCTGTAAGAGTGGGAAATTTTACAATGATAACTGAAACAAGAAAACATGACACTTGGTGAGCCAAACGAAAGAGTTCTGCTATTAGGGGGAAAAAATCTAGAACAGATGCCAAGAGACACATCAAGGTGGTGGCAAAGTGCTGACCACCCTGCCCTTGAGGATGCCTCATGAATATTGGATGATGTTAATATACTGAATTTGCCTCCAAATTACACTGGGTTGGTGGGCAGAGGCAAGGCCGGTGAGGTCACAAGAAATAATTTTTAGGGCAAAAAAATGAAAGCATCCTTATAGTTCTTGTGCTTTGACCAACAGTTTCAGGGCCTTCTTAAGTAGGTTGTGAGTAGCAACGAGTTGTTGCCCTGGTGTTTTCAAGAAACAGAAATTCCCTGGCATTGATTTAACCACAATAGGGTAAAAGGGCAAGTTATAGGCCCTAAAACAAGAATGCAGTCAGGCTTAAGGAAGGACTAGAACTGGGAATTTGCAAACTGTCAGAACTCAGGGGGATGTGTGCTCTGTCCATCTTTCATTTCCTTTTCTCTCTTGAGTATTTGTGTTCATCTTTTTCCTGAGGAGTTCCCTCTGCTGATCTGCTCACATGAGGGGGCAAAGATACTTACCCACAGCTCCCAAGTTCATATTTTAGCCATATGAACCAGGTCTATCCACCAAACCCCTATTCAAATACAGACTCCCGTGGAAAAAAATATTTGGCCCAAATTGGCTCAGGAATCCATCCCTGATCCAATCAACTATGACCAGAGGTCAGCATCACATTGTGTGTAAATAACTGTGGGAGCCACCTTCTACAGATGGTAGTAAGGCACTTACAGAGAGGAATCATTTAAACTAAGCATATGCCTCAAATATATCTACCACTCATACTGACAAGGGTGGTTATACTAAAAAAAAAAAAAAAGAAGAAGAAGATGACAAATGTTAGCAAAAATGTGGAGAGGTTGAAACTCTTATGTAATGTATATGGTAATGTAAGTGTAAAATGGTGCAGCCACTGTAGAAAACAGTTTGGCAGTTCCTTGATAAATTAAATATAGAACTACCATATGACCCAACAATTCTACTCCTGGGTATATACCCAAAAGAATTGAAAATAGGTGTTTAAATGAGCACTTGTACACAAGTGTTGATGGCAGCACTATTTAGCAGCCAAAAAGTGGAAACAAATTAAATGTCCATCAGTTGATGAACGAATAAACAAAATGTGGTAGAGCCATCCAATGGAATATTATTTAGTCATAAAAAGAAGTGCTTTCTCAGTAAACTATCGCAAGGACAAAAAACCAAACACTGCATGTTCTCACTCATAGGTGGGAATTGAACAATGAGAACACACGGACACAGGAAGGGGAACATCACACTCTGGGGACTGTTGTGGGGTGGGGGGAGGGGGGAGGGATAGCATTAGGAGACACACCTAATGCTAAATGACGAGTTAATGGGTGCAGCACACCAGCATGGCACATGTGTACATATGTAACTAACCTGCACATTGTGCACATGTACCCTAAAACTTAAAGTATAATAATAATAAAATTAAAAAAAAGAAGAAGAAAAAAAAAAAGAAGTGCTTGATCAAAAAAAAAAAAAAGAAAGAAAGAAAAAATAAAATAGAGTCTAGTGATTGTGGGCAAAAATAAATAAATAGGCCAGGTGTGGTGGCTCATGCCTGTAATCCCAGCACTTTGGGAGGCTGAGGTGGGCGGATCACTTGAGGACAAGAGTTCAAAACCAGCCTGGCCAACATGGCAAAACCCCGTCTCTACTAAAAATACAAAAATTAGCTGGGCATGGTGGCAGGCACCTGTAATTCCAGCCACTTGGGGAGGCTGAGGCACGAGAATGGCTTGAGCCCAGGAGGCAGAGGTTGCAGTGAGCTGAGATCACACCACTGTACTCCAGCCTGGGTGACAGAGGGAGACTCTATCTCAAAAAATATACATAAATAAATAAATAGAAGAAGGAGTACTGAGACATGCTAAAACACAGATAAACCTTGAAAACATTATGCTAAGTGAAAGAAACCATACACTAAAGGTCACATATATGACTCCATTTATATGAAATATCTGGAATAGGCAAATGTATAGAGACAGAAAGCAGATCAGTAATTGCCCGGGGCTGGAGGAATGGTGCATGACTGCTTAATGGGTATAGGGATACAAATGTCCTGGACATAGAAAGTGGTGGTTGTTGCACAACATTCTGAAGGTACTAAATGTCACTGGATTTATATTTTAAAATGACTAAAATGGTAAATTTTGCATTACATGTGTTTTAATCCCAATAAGAAAATATATCTAACACATTAAAATGCTCTGAGAAGACTGATCACATTCATTGCCCAGGAGTAGCCACGCTGGGAACGATAACAAAATACAGTTGTTCCTCTGTGTCTGTGGGTTCCACATTTGTGGATTCAACCACAAACGGATTGAAAATATTTGGAAGAAAACATGGATAGTTTCGTTCTGTACTGAACGTGTACAGATTTTTTTCTTGTCACTGTTCCCTAAACAATACAGTATAAAAACTATTTTCATGGCATTTACATTGTATTAGGTATTATAAGTAATCTGGAAATGATATAAAGTATACAGGAAGATTACATAGGTTATATGCAAATACTACCCATCTTATATGAAGAACTCAAGCATCTGTGATTTTGGTGTCAGTCGGGGGTCCTGGAACCAATCCCCCACCTATACTGAAGGACAACTGAACATTGACTCATTCATTCAATCAGTAAACATGGATTGAGCATTTAATTGTATGCCAAGCTGTGCCAGGCATTGAGTATGGCTGACAGACTAGTGGAGCACACACAGGTAAATAGATCATTTCTATTTAATATGATAACTGCTAAGACCAAGACACTCTCAGGGTGTTTTGGAAATTCAGATGAGGCATGATTATTATTATTACTATTATTATTATTACAGGATGAGGCAACACATGAGCTGATCACTAAAGATGAATAGGAGTTCTCCCAGTGAGGTGGCAGAGAGGGACGAAGGGCGTTCCAAGCAGAGTAAAGAAACGCACAAAGCCACAGAGATGAGAGAGGATATAGCCAGTGGAGAAGGAGGGTAAATCATGTGCATAAGCCAAATGGAGAAGCCCTTGTCTGCTGTCCAAATGAACCTGGATTTCATCCAGGAGATGGAGGCCAGTGCCTGAAGGAGCCTCAGCAGAAGAGTGCCAGGGAGGAGAGGCAGAGACTATGATTGGAATACAGAGGGGGAGCAGGAGAACAGAGTGTCGTCATAGGGGTCAAGAGAGGGGAGAGAATCAAGAAGAGAACAGGGTCAAGAGCATCATTTCTTGGCTAGATGCTATGGCTCACACCTATAATCTTAGCACTTTGGGAGACCTAGGTGGAAAGATCACTTGAGGCCAGGAGTTTGAGACCAGCCTGGGCAATAAAACGAGACTCCATCTCTACAAAAAATTAGAAAATCAGCTGGATTTGGTGGCACACACCTGCAGTCTTAGCTACTCAGGAGGCTGAGGCAGGAGAATCACTTGAGCCCAGGAATTTGAGGCTACAGTGAGCTGTGATTGTGCCACTGCACTCCAGCCTAGGCAACAGAGTGATACCTTGTCCCCCCCAAAAAAAAAAAAAGAGTGTCATATCTTCAGCAATGTCAAGGCAGGAGCTGAAAGTGGCCACAGACTGGACAATGAGAAGGTCACTCTTGTCTTTTGTGCATTTTACTGTCATAGCAGGCTGTGCCTCACCAAACATGCCCTACCATCACATTTGGCTGGTGATATGGTTTGGCTGTGTCCCCACTCAAAGTCTTATCTTCAGTTGTAATCCCCATAATCCCCACGTGTCAAGGGAGAGACCAGGTGGAGGTAGCTGAATCATGGGGGTGGTTCCTCCATGCTGTTCTTGTGATAGTGAGTGAATTCTCATGATATCCGTTGGTTTTATAAGGGGCTCTTCTCCTTTCACTTGTTCACTCTTCTCCTTCCTGCTGCCTTGTGAAGAAGGTGCCTCACTTCCCCTTCACCTTCCGCCATGATTGTAAGTTTCCTGAGGCTTCCCCAGCAATGCTGAACTGTGAGTCAATTAAACCTGTTTCCTTTATAAATTACCCAGTCTCAGGCAGTTCTTTACAGCAGTGTGAATGGACTAATAGAGCGGGAAGGAGAAGAGGCAGAGGATGGTAGAGAGGGAAGGTTTACTTGCTCAGGAGAAAGATCAGATGAACTAGAGAGAGATGGAAGGTAGAGGAGAGAGAGAGGAGAATAGATGAAGCCAAGCTGCCAAGGCTGCAGAGCTTTCAGGAGGCGGTTGCCTTTGGACAGGTAGAAGGTAGCACGGCCTCTCAGCTTGGAGGAAGGTAGGAATGCCGGAGGGGAACATATGTTTCTTGGTGGGGCAGAGGAGTAGGTGCATATAAACAAGGGAATTCCTACCTGATGGCCTCTATTTTCTCAGCAAAGCTCAAAGGGTGGGAAACACTTAGAAGGGCCATGGTGGGGAAGGGGGAGGTTTGCTGACAGGGACACTAAGAAGTGTTTCTAGGCTGCTCAGCGGCCCACTAGGCTATGCAGATGATGACTTTGTAGTAGCGCCAATCTGCGTGGGCTGTGATTTTCTCCAGCAGAGCTCAGCAGCCCAGGAGCCCAGATGTCAGAGTGTAGGAAGAGCTGCCTGATAAGGCTGGGCGGCAGCCAGACCGGAGCAGCAGCAGGGCAAAGGCGGAGAGGAGGGAGGCTGGGCTTAGGCAAAGGAGGGTGATGAGATGGCCCAGGAAGCATAGGTGAAGTAGAGAAGGAAATGAAGAAGTTGGGGGGAAGGTTCTGAAGCAGTGACAGAAAAATGGCAGGGGAAAGAGACTACAGGTTTTGAGGAGGTTGAAAATCTAGCACACTGGGAGTTAGGAGTGGGCGGGCTGGAAGGTGGGAGGCTCTGATCTGAGTGGGCTGGGGAACAATTCAAAGCAATATGTAATCAAGTGCTAAATAGGCTGGTATGAAATATAAGTGGGCATAAGTGCTAGGGAGGAGGGTGCCACTTGGGAGGGAGTGCTCAGTGTGGATGGAGGAGCAACCTGGTGCAATTCGCTGCGTTCACATCTACAGCCTGTGCAGCAACCCCAGTGGGGAATTCAAGGTGACAGTGTAGCAAATGGTATCTTGACACTCAGAAAACCCTGGGTGGATCAAACCTTTCAGAGGACACAGCAATAATAAAGTCTGGGCTCAATAAAGTCAGAAAGTGAACAGCAGGAGAGAACATGAGGATTTTCCTAATCCTGCCTATGAAATGTTGCAGTGCCGTGTCATTTGTGCTCTTCCTCCTGCCTTGCCCATTCACTTCCTGCTTCAAGTTGCCCTTCATCTGATCTCAACATTTCAAGAAGTCTCATGCATATTGTACATTTCCACAGGATAAAGCCATGAATTAATGTGTTTACTGGGCAAGAGGGAGGTGGGTGGGAGAAATCATCAAAGCGGTCTTTGGTGAAGACAAGGTTTGCAGCTTTTACTCTGGTCCACTAGAAGCCCAAGGCTTCTAGTTAAGAAGTTAACTAGAGAAGTTAAGCCGCTGGCCTGAAGTAGCACAGGTAGTGAGCAGCAGAGCTCAGACCAGATGCATGACCCCCAGGCCAGGACTCTTTTCTCAACACAGCTCAGGGGAAGCCAGATGATTTCCTCTCCTGTCTACCTTGTGATTGGTCAAAACTTGAGCCTCTGTTTCTTTTATCTCTTAAGCTCTAAACTGGGATGAAGTTTAAACATCTGTGGGTTTTGCCTGTCTAACACCCATTGGCCCTCTTTCTTTTGATCCCAGTTTGGCTATAGGAAGCACTACTCCCCTATCTGGGTGGTTCCATTCAGCAATGACCACTGATCATGTGGCCCAAGGTAGGCCTGCTGGTTGCTGTTGTACTAAGATCCCAGATCATCATTTCCAAGCCCAGTCTTAAAACTGTTTTTCCTTCTTGTCTGTGAGATATTGCATGTCCTTCCAGAGAAATCCCCATTTCTCACTTTGTGTGAGCAGGGTCTGATACTTGATGCCAAAAAACTCCTGGAGGTCCCATATTTGCCATCAAACGAAAACACTGCACACTAGGTCAGGATCTGGAAGCACTGCATATCCTGTCTGTCAGCAAATCTTACCAGCGCCGTCTTGAAAACATGTCCAGAACTCAGACTACACTTCTCATCACTCCCACTGCCACAGCCCTGGTCCAAGTCACCATCACCTTTGGCCCAGACTTTTTTTTTTTTTTTTTAATAGAGATGAGGTCTCCCTCTGTCACCCAGCCTGGAGCGCAGTGACAAAATCACAGCTCACTGCAGCCTTGAATTCCTGGGCTCAAGTGATCCTCCCACCTCAGCCTCCTGAGTAGCTGGGACTACAGGCATACACCACTGAATCCAGCCAGATTATTGCAGCAGCCTCCTTGGAGGTCCTGTTTCCATTTGTGCCCTGAAGTCTGTTCTTCACATAGCAACCAGGAGCATTTTGTTATAATGTAAGTGGGACCATGCCTCTCTTCTGTTCACATCCTCCCAGTGACTCCCCCACCTCACTCAGAGTAAAGGCAAAGCCCTGACTATGACCTTCACGGCCCACATGGTCTGACCCCGTCACTACCTGACCTTCTCTCCTGCTGCTCTCTCTCTCTGATCCTCTGCCCCAGCCACACAGACACTCTTGCTGCTCCTCCAGCACTCCAGGCACGTTCACACTTCTGAGCCTCTGCCCATGCTTTCCCCCACTAGAAAGTAAGCTCCATGAGGGCAGGGAGTTTCATCTGTTTTGCTCATTGCTGTATCCCTAGCATCCAGCAGAATGTGTGGCACAAAATTGGTGCTCACAGCTAGGCACGGTGGCTCACACCTATAGTTCTAGGATTTTGGGAGACTGAGGCAGGAAGATTGCTCAAGCCCAGGAGTTCAAGACCAGCTTGGGCAACATAGGGAGACCCTGTGTCTACAAAAAAATTTTAAAATTAGCCAGGCATGATGGTCCATGCCTGTAGTCCTAACTACCTGAGAGGCTGAGATGGGAGGATGACTTGAGCCCGGGAAGTCAAGGTTTCAGTGAGCCAAGATTGTACCACTGTACGTGAAAGAGTGAGACCCTGTCTCAAAAAAAGAAAAAATTCATCAGTTCGGATTTGATGAACGAATGGATGAATGAATGAACGACCAAATATGAACTGAGCAGCCTGGCACTTTATCCTCCTTTCCATCATGCCACCCTCAGCATATACTTCTGACATTCCCTGGAATGTTGGGTAGATGCTTTTAACACTTGAGGGATCTGCCTTGTGTTGTTTTTTACTGCAGCCATAAGAAACAATCACTTTGTAAAATGTTTGTTTCTAGACATGAAACTGAAAGGCTATTTTGATATATACAAAAATCATAATTTTTAAAATCAGAAGGAAGCAAACCAAAACAAAGTGCATAAACATATAAATATGTCTTTGGAGATTCATTGCATAAATTCCCCAGAACCTTTTCTCAGAAGTATTTCACTTTGCTTCAATACTGCCTTGCATTGGAGAATTCCACAAATTTTCTATTAATTGCCCTTGAAGGTGTTTGCTTCCTGGAAGAAGCACATTATAAGTTATGGAAACAGAAAACCACGATATTTTTGTAAGAATCTCAGCCTGAGTTTGGGGCCTACCGCAAGCATCTGAAGAATAGCTTGTGCCAGCCACAAACCCATTTGAAGGTCTCAGGGTCCCTACTCCTGGGTAATACTATCACCAAGGTGAAAGGATGCGAACTGAAATGGCCAGAGATCGCTCTGAGATAGATTTTGCTCATTGTCCCCGGACTTCCCACAGATATTCCCCTAGGCTCAGGAAATTCTATCTCCCTGATTTCAAGTGCTGCCTAAAATGTAATGATGCAGAAACAGAATTTCCCTGAGCTCTCTCTGACCTCCCCTTCCATTCTCCACTCAAACAGACCTAAAAAACAAATGTACGGAAAATCTCCTACTGGCCCATGAAAACTCGTTTTGCAACCCCTTAACTCTATTGCAGCAGAATGTTTTAGGCAGGGCTGGCAAAGCTTATCTTCAGTGTTTATCTTATTTCCCCACTTCCGCCTCTTCACCTTTCCTTACCCCCTTCCCCTATCAAAACTCACTCTCAGGACAGATTATGTTATGAGTCATTTATGCTTTGGGATTCATTTCAATGCCAGTGTTTTCTCTTTTCCAGAGATGATTATGTTTTTGACTACATTTCTCAGTTTAGGCATCAACTGTCTGGGGAAGAGAAGAATAAGAGGAGCAAGAAGCCCATCTTTGTATCTCTGAAATATTACAATAGCACCAACGACCATTTACTGAACACTTACTGTGTACCTTACAGTGTACCAGGCACTTTGCAAATAGGATACCACTTAAATAGTGAGTTCAGATTAAATGATTTAATACATGTGTTTAGCACAGTGTCTGGCACACAGCAAATATTCAATTCAAAGTAGCTACTATTTTTAAAAAGTAATAATCTTTATAACAACCCTATGAGACAGGTATTACCTCATTTAGTAGACAAAGAAACAAAGTTGAGTGACTTTCCAAACTTACTCAGATGATAGACACAGGACTAGGATTTCAGTCCAGATATATCTGACTCTAAAGAATATGCTTTTTTTCATAACACCATTTGGATTTGACTCTAAAGAATATGCTTTTTTCATAACACCATTTGGATTCCAAACCACAAAAGCCTCTGCTTAATCTGCCTACCAGTGAGTATAGCCTGAAACTTGGGCACATGAAGAACTATGTCCTAAAATGCTTCATTTTTAATAAGACTTTATTTACCATGAAGAGCCTGAGAAGAGATGAGAGTCCCTAAAGTCCTGAAATGTCAGAGTCAAGCTCCAGCATAAGCCCCTTTGATTTACTTCTGTTCCCAAGAGTGGACCTGGAAAGAGATTATTCCTCGTTTACTTTCTTCTTTTTTTTTTTTTTTTTGACACAGAGTCTTGCTCTGTCGGCCAGGCTGGAGTTCAGTGGCTCGATCTTGCCTCACTGCAATCTCCACCTCCCAGGTTCAAGCCATTCTCCTGCCTCAGCCTCCTGAGTAGCTGGGATTACAGGCACACACCACCACGCCTGGCTAATTTTTGTATTTTTAGTGGAGACGGGGTTTCACCACGTTGGCCAGGCTGATCTGGAACTTCTGATGTTAGGTGATCCTCCCACCTCAGCGTCCCAAAGTGTTGGGATTACAGGTGTGAGCCACCGCGCCTGGCCTGGTTACTTTATTCTAGAAGACTCACAGACAGATGGCTAATTAGTATATAATGATGCTAATCCATGCCCCACTTCTTTCTTATATCTCTATAACCCTCACATCCAGGTATTCTCTCTCCATTCAACATAGCCCACAAGAGAATCAGGCTGCATGCATTTCCAGAAAAGTGAGTGTGTGGCTTCCTGCCCAGGGTGGTGGTGACTTTGGTTAAAACTTAGTGTTAATAGGGTCATCCCTGAATGAACCAGGTAGAACACCACCAAAATAAAACCCCCTGATTCCATGTCTAGCCACCTCCCAAACTGCAGCTGTTGGTTCACAAAGGCAACAGTCTAAGTAGGTCTAGTGGCTATAAAAAACAACTCAGCCCAGTGCCTAGGCACAACAACACATTCATTCATGGCGTCTGTCCTACCAGCCTCTTGGGCATGGAGGAATATTTGTGCTAGGATATGGCCTCCCTCAAATGCTCGCCTGCACATGTGCTGACCACAGGGATTGCTTTTTATTCCTTGTGAAAAATGCAATACAGCTTCACCTTTGATATTCTGTGTAGTGCCCTCTTTCAGCTGAATTCAAAATAAAATCCTTCTAGAAGATATTCCCCTCTGCAGGCTGCTTTGAGGCCTGAACATGAAGCAGTCTGGGAGGCAAGCTGCATGGTTCTTGTTTAAATCAGTTTCCCGGGATCTACCCTGATGGATACAGAGTGATGTCTCCCAACAAGCTTGAGCAAAACTAGGGGGACTGCCTGCCCCCTTCGGGAGAGAAGTCTAAACAATGTGAGGAAGTCATTTCAGGGCTTCTCCAAGGTTCTGTTCATCAGACATGAAGGCTGATTAGGTACCGATCATCCTTTGTGGTCATTTTACCTCTAAATCATATAAAGATACGGAGACTTTGTAGTGCTATCCATAAACAGGTATACTTTAAAAAGTTATCTTTCCATGTGAGAGAACATTGATCTACAAGGCTCTTCATTCTTCTTGTTCAGTTTTGTCTATCAATACTCCTTCAGCCAAATCTCATTTCTGGCTTTAATGGGGGCTCACAACTCGGCTGATATGGTCACAACAACTGGTAAGGTCTTGAGACAGCCTGGCAGCCAGGTCACTGCTACAATGGCTGGATCTCTGGTCCGCAGTGTCAGGGTTTCCTGGGTAACTGGCAGGGAAAGACTGCTGTGCTGGAGCTCCCTGGGCCCTGAGCAGGACCTAACTGCAACTTTTGCCCTCCAGGATTCTGATGGCATCAGGACTGTGGGCAGCAACAAGGCCTGCTCAGGTGCTGGGCACAGAGCCCAGACAAGGAAGGCTGGAGCAAGGCTGAATGCAGATTAGGGGACGGGCAGGGGATTAGGTAAGACTGGAAAGTATCACTAGAAATCTGTCAGACAGCAAGGGAAGTTTGGGAGCCAGATCAGAACAGAGTGATAGGTGAGGAGTCCATCTAGGAAGACACTATGTGGAAATCGGAAGGCAACCTGTTGAAAGCAAACCAGGAAAATAGTTTTAAAAACAGCCAATTCATTTTTGACAAAGGTGTCAATGTAAGTCAATAGGAAAAGGATAATCTTTTCAACAAATTGTGCAGGAATAAGTGTTTAGTCATATGCAGAAATGAACCTCAATCATTACCTCATTCCATACGTAAACATTAACTTGAAGTTGATCTGTAGAGGCTGACCGGGCACACTGGCTCACACGTGTAATCCCAGAACTTTGGGAGGCTGAGGCAGGTGGATCACTTGAGGTTAGGAGATCGAGACAAGCCTGGCCAACATGGTGAAACCCCATCTCTACTGAAAATACAAAAATTAGCTGGGCATGGTGGCACGCACCTGTAGTCCCAGCTACTTGGGAGGCTGAGGCTTGAGAATCGCTTGAACCTGGGGGCGGAGGTTGGGTGACAGAGTGAGACTCTGTCTCAAAAAAAAAAATTGATCTATAAAGGCTAACAATATTAAATTATGTACTTTGACAGAAAACATAAGAGAAAATCCTTGTGACCATGGATTTGGCAAAAATTCTTCAAAAGAATTTAAAAAGCCCAAAGTACAACGGTATGAATATACTTAATGCCACCAAACCGTATGCTTAAAAATGGTTAAAATGAGGCCGGGTATGGTGGCTCATGCTTGTAATCCCAGCACTTCGGGAGGCTGCATTGGGCAAATGAATTGAGCCCAGGAGTTTGAGATCAGCCTGGGCAACATGGCGAAACCCCGTCTCTACTAAAAATACAAACAATTAGCCAGTCCCACTGCACTCCAGGCTAGGCAACAGGAGTGAGACTCTATCTCAAAAAAAAAAAAAACAAAACAAAAAAAAAAAACGTTAAAATGGTAAATTTTATGTTTTGCATATTTTACCACAGTTGAAAAAAAAACAAAAAACAAAACAAAACCAAAAAAAAACAGGGCATGGTGGCTCATGTCTGTAATCCCAGCACTTTGGGAGGCCAAGGCAGGTGGATCACTTGAGGTCAGGAAGTGGAGACCAGCCTTGCCAACATGGTGAAACCCCATCTCTACTAAAAATACAAAAATTAGCTGGGCATGGTGGTTCATGCCTGTAGTCCCAGCTGCTCAGGAGGCTGAGACACAAGAATGGCTTGAACCTGGGAGGCGGAGGTTGCAGTGAGCTGAGGTAGTGCCACTGCACTCCAGCCTGGGCAACAGAGCGAGGCTCTGTCTCAAAAAACAAAAACAACAACAACAACAACAAAACAGAGAATGCCTTCTCTTCAGGCATTCATCAGGAAAAAAAAAAAGCCTGAACTAAAAATCAATAAATTGGACTTCAAAATTTAAAACTTTTGTTCTTCAGAAGACATTGTTACAAAAATGAAAAGGTGGAACATATAAAAAGCTGCAAAACCTATTTCTGACAAAGGACTTGTTCCAGGATATATAAAGAACTCTTACAACTCTACAAGAAGACAACCTAATTTTTAAAAAGCAGTCAAAAAGATTTTAACAAACATTTCACCAAAGAAGATATAAAGATGGCAAATAAGCACATGAATAGGTAGCTTAACATAATTAATCATTAGGGGGAAATGCAAATTAAAACCTGGATGAAAAACTACTACATTTCTACTAGAATAGAATGGCTAGAATTAGAAAGACTATACCAGCTGGGCATGGGGCTCATGCCTGTAATCCGAGCACTTTGGAAGGCTGAGGTGGGCAGATCATTTGAGCACAGAAGTTTGAAACCAGTCTGGGCAACATAGTGAGACCCTGTCTCCAAAAAAAATTTTTTTTTCAACTAGCTGGGCATGGTAGTCCCAGCTATTCAGAAGGTTGAGGTGGGAGGGTCACTTGAGCCTGGGAGGTTGAGGCTACAGTGAGCCATGTTCGGGCCACTGTACTCCAACCTAGGCAACAAGAGTGAGACTCTGTCTCAAAAAAAAAAAAAAGATAAAAAAAGACTATACCAAATGTTGTTCAGGAAGTGGAGCAACTGGAACTCCTCATACACTGCTGGTGGGGATATAAAAAGGCATGACCACTCAGGGAAATAGTTTGGCCATTTTTCACAAAATTAAACATATACATGCTTACTATAGGATCTAGCCATTCTCCACCTAGGTATTTACCTTACGGTAATGAAAACATGTGCACAAAAGACTTGCACTTGAAGGTTCATAGCAGCTTTATTTGTAATAGCCAAAAACTGTAAACAACTCAATGTCCATCAAGAGTTGAATAAACAAATTTAGTACACCTATATAATGGAATAGTACTCAGGAATAGAAAAGAATGAATTGTTGATACGTGCACCAATATAGATGAACCTAAAAATAATTATGCTGAGTGAAAGAAGCCAGACAAAAAAAGAGTACATGCTGTCTGCTTCCATATATAAAACTCTAGAAAATGCAAATTAATCTGACAGAAAACAGATGATTGGTTGCCTAGGAACAGAATGGGGTGGGGAGTGAGGGGTGGATTACCAAGGGGCACAGGGAAGCTTTTGGGGAATGACGGACATATTCATTATCTTGATTGTAACAATGGTTTTATGGGTGTATGTATGTCAGAGCTCATAAAATTGTATTTTTCAAATATTTGCAGTTAATGGTATGCCAATTATAATTCAATAAAGACTTTCAAAAAAAGAAAAAGGAAGAAGGAAAAAACCTACACTGTACCATCAATAGGCAACACAGGGTCATGGGTAGAAACTAGGCTCTGGAGGCTTCACTGGATTTGGATTCAGGCTCTGTGACATGAGTGACCTTGACCAAATCATGTGATCTATTTAAGCTTTGTTTTCTTCATCTGTAAAATGGGAGTAATGACAGTGTTATGAAGAAAAAATTATCTGGTATTTGTAAAGTACTTAGGACAGTAGCAAAAGAACAGTAAATGTTGGCTATCGTCCTCATCCTCCTCCTTCTCCTCATCATCATTTGTAAGGCTGCTGATTGAAATGCAAGGCACACAGACAGCTAGTAGAGATCAGCATTCAGGTGGTTGGTTAGAAGGGAGTATAAGAAATCAAGAATTCAAGTCACACTGGCTTACCCAGAAGTCCCACCACCCCAAGGAATGATGTTTTCAGGCAAATTTCTGACTAGCCTGAGGCCAGTCCTCAGGTTTTGCAGGCTAGAATTTGCAAGAGAGAGAGAGAGGTTTCTAGCTGACACCTTGTTGGTATGGCGCCAGTAACATTAGAAGATGGACTCTCCTTTGTTTCTCTTGCCCGGAAGTAATTTCCTGGCATATCAGGGGGACCACCTGTCAGCACTCCAAAGCTTTTCACTTAACCACCCTTCATCCCCCATGGCTCACACTGGATCTGGGTGCCACCTGAGAGGACCAGTGCCTTCTGAGCTTCCTTCTGGTCTGGGTAATCACAGCACATCCTCAGTTCCTATCCCAGAATAGCAACAGGCAGCAGCAATGCTATCAGCAACTGGCCACTCATGGCAAGGGCTGCAAAACCTGCAGAGAAAAACACAAGGCTTGGGTGGAAACACTGGACTAATGGGGATGAAGGATGGGGAGGGGAGATGGTTGGCCAGAAATTGAAAGAGCTTTCTCCAGGATCCATCGTAGGGCCAAGTAAGCACAAATCCCAAAGAATGTGGAATCAGCAGTCAGGGCTGTGGTGGGATCCAGCTGACCAGAAGCCTGGGCCCAGGCAATTTCATTATCTGGGAGAAATTCCTACAGGAGCAAGGAGGAGGAAAAAAGTGGGGGAAAGGATCATTCCAATTAATAGCTGAGCTAGACCAGCAACTGGATCTCTGAGAGGGCTTGCACCTGAGTCAATGGTGCTGCATGGTAGGAAGGTGTCTCGGCTTGAAAGAACCACAGCAAAGCATCGGGACTCCCAAGAGTTCATGGCACAGCCAGGCGCAGTGGCTCACACCTGTAATCCCAGCACGTTGGGAGGGCAAGGCGGGTGGATCACTTGAGGTCAGGAGTTCGAGACCAGCCTGGCCAACATGGAGAAACCCCATCTCTACTAAAAATACAAAAATTAGCCGGGCATGGTGGCAGGCGCCTGTAATCCCAGCTACTCAGGAGGCTGAGGCAGGAGAATCTCTTGAACCCGGGAGGTGGAGGTTGCAGTGACCCTAGATCGCACCACTGCACTCCAGCCTGGGCAACAAGCGCGAAACTCTGTCTCAAAAAAAAAAAAAAAGAGAGAGTTCATGGCTCAAAGTCCAGCTCCACTGCTACACTGGTTATGCTCCTTCTGCCACAACCCCCATCCTTGTCTACCCTGCTCTGTGCCCAAGTGACCGACCTCTTCAGATTGCATCACCCAGTTTGCCTTGGGCTCTGGCTTCTGCATGGGTTTGGCTATGGAAGGAGTGGGAGGGATGGGAGAGGCAGAGAAAAGACAGGTAGAGATTTTTTTTTCCTGTTCCCACCTTGCTTTGGAGCCTGATCCTGGCAGTGGCTGTGTCTCTCTGAGACTCTTAGGTCTACCCCATGGTTCTAGTTCTCACCCCTCATCTCTGGCTGCACTCTTTTCACTCCTTGACCTGTTAGGCTTGGTGGTGTTATAAGGTAAATGCACCTGAGAGTAGTAATTTTTTTTTTTTTTGAGAAGGAGTCTCACTCTGTTGCCCAGGCTGGAGTGCAGTGAGGCAATTTTGGCTCACTGCAACCTCTGCCTCCCGGGTTCAAGCAATTCTCCATCTCAGCCTCCCGAGTAGCTGGGACTACAGGTGCGCACCACTATGCCTGCCTAATTTTTTGTATTTTAAGTAGAGACGGGGTTTCACATGTTGGCCAGGCTTGTTTTGAATTCCTGACCTCAAGTGATCTGCCTGCTTTGGCCTCCCGAAGTGCTGGGATTACAGGTGTGAGCCACCATGCCCAGCCTGAGAGTAATAATTTAAGGATACCCTTAGAATGACCCTGTATGGCAGACACACCTGAATGTGTGTTCTGAGCTAGGGAATCTGTGAGTGGTCAACCCAGAGATTTGTTCCTCATGTATGATAAACAGCTGAGCCCCTGTCCCATTCTGTCCCATGGAAGACAGACGTACAGAGGATTGAGGCCGAGTTTTAGATTAAATGAAGGTTGTCAGGTGGAGGTTTTAGGGGGAGGGTGAAAATGCTATATAAACTGCATGATGTTAGCAGGTAGTTGCAATTTTCTTTTTTTTTCTGAGACAGTGTCTTGCTCTGTCGCCCAGGTTGGAGTGCAGTGGCACAATGGCGCAATCTCGGCTCACTACAAGCTCCACCTCCCGGGTTCACGCCATTCTCCTGCCTCAGCCTTCCGAGTAGCTGGGATTACAGGCGCCCGCCACCACGCCCTGCTAATTTTTTGTATTTTTAGTAGAGATGGGGTTTCACCGTGTTAGCCAGGATGGTGTCGATCTCCTGACCTCGTGATCCGCCTGCCTCAGCCTCCCAAAGTGCTGGGATTATAGGCGTGAGCCACCGCGCCTGGCCAGTAGTTGCAATTTTCCTGCCCAGCCCCTGCCACTGGGCGATGCAGTTATGTTGTCCAGCCTACAGCCACTGGACCATTTCTGTATGTAAGGCAGTTCTCTTGTCCAGCCCATTGTCAGGGGACTCTCTTCCCTGTATGTAACCCCCTAATAAAACCTCCTGTCTCATTTGTTGGCTGGAGGTCTCTTCTGCCTCTTGAGCCTGGTGCCTCGCCTATTAAGGTTAATAGGGGATTTGGCACAACAGGTAGTAAGAGCCTGCTGTTGCTAGTCGGGTTGCCTCATCAGCTTTGTTTGTTTCCTAACCCTGCCTCTGCCTAAGCAAAAACCTCATTAGAACCATTTAGTGGATTCTACTTCTGATTAGAACCTGCCTGATGCAGCCACTGGTTAACTACGCCATCACCTGAGGTTATCAGTCTCTAGGCTCTGCTTCCTTATCTTAGATGGGGACACCTAAAAAGAAGTTGTGACCCAGGTGCGGTGGCTCACACCTGTAATCCCAGCACTTTGGGAGGCCAGGGTGGGTGGATCACAAGGTCAGGAGTTCAAGACCAGCCTGACCAACATGGTGAAACCCCTGTCTCTACTAAAAATACAAAAATTAGCTGGGCATGGTGGTGCGCGCCTGTAATCCCAGCTACTCAGGAGGCTGAGGCAGGAGAATCGCTTGAACCCAGGAGGCAGAGGTTGCAGTGAGCCGAGATCACACCACTGCACTCCAGCCTGGGTGACAGAGCAAGACTCCATCTCAAAAAAAAAAAAAAAAAGAAGTTGTGAGGACTGCATGATATAAAGCAGGTAATGAGCCATGGCTTGTGTCCCAGGTGAGGCCCCAGCAGAGGGCTCTCAGGATGGTAATGCGAGGACTCTGTAGGTCTCCTAATTTCTTTCACCGCCTCACTGAGCCTTTCTTCCCCTTAGGTAAACCCAGTTCACTCAGGCAGAAGCAAGAGGAAGAACATTCCTCCAGCTCCTCCTCATGCAGGCCCGAGAGGTGGGAGGGCATTCTGCCAGCCCAGTATATCCACTTTGCTTCGACAAATGTCAGCCTGCCCAGAATAAGGAAGTACCCACAGCCGGGAAAGGTAAATCCAAACCCTGAAAAGACAGATACTGAGCATTTGAAATAACACAGCTTGCAGCGTCCTTGCGGAGCCCTGTTTATGGGGCAATAAACCATTTAAACGACTGTGTGTTGGAACCCACAAGGTCGCCTTGAAAGGCTTTTCACAGACACTGCTAGTAGGGCTCCAGGACGTCTGGAGGGCCAGGATGGGGTGTCTTTTTGGCTTCTGCTTGAAGCTGCTGGTTCCCCTCCATCAGGAACGCCAGCCCCTGGAGAGGCTGCCATGAGGTGAGTACCCTGGGGAAGATCCCAGAGTTCAGGCTGGGCAGCCTGCATCATGGGTACTAAGGGCCAAGTCTGTGTCTTCTGCCTTGTGGTGAGGAAGAGAGAAATTATTTCTTGCTTGGGGATATTGGGAGGAAGGGCTATGGTGTGGTGAGAAAAGCGTGAGCTGTGTGCGGTGGTAAGTGCCTGGAGTCCCTGCTATTTGGGAGGCTGAGGCAGGAGGATCGCTGGAGCCCAGGAATTTGAGGCTGTAATGTGCTATAATCACACCTGTGAATGGCCACTACACTCCAGCCTAGCAACACAGACTTCATCTCTTAAATTTAAAAAAGCATGACCTAAACGTGAATTTCAATCCTATGTTTGTTGCCTAACCTTGGCAAATGTACTTGCCCTCTCTATGACTCAGTTTTATCACCCGTAAGATGGGAATAATAGCAATAATATGCCTAATAGAGTTTTTGTGAGAATTAAATGAGATTATATATAGACATTGGGCTTAGCAAAGGGCCTGGCACTTCGTAAGTGCTAAAAAAAAATTAGTCATTGTCAAGAATGTTATCGCTACACCCATCTTTTTCCATCTGGTTACTCTTCTCCCAGCTCCAACAGAGCAATGGCCCCTGGGAGGCTAAGAGATAATAACTCACCATCTACTTCTGGGAGGGTAATAAACACACCCAAGTAGCTCACATTAACGCAGACTCCGATCAACTCTTGCAGCCCGGCAGAGTCCAGAGGCTGCTGGAGGCAAAGGGCAGAAGCTGGGGAGAGCCAAGGGGCTGGGGCCAGGTGGACTTCGAGCAGACAGCCTGCAGAACAGTGCCAGTGGCTTCTTTGGGCAGCACTTTTTGGGCAGTACTCTTTGACATAGGCCTGGCGAAGCTGGACATGACTAAATACCCGTTTGTAGAAGGCAAAATAGTCGGAGGAGACCCTCTGTTTTGAAAACCCACCAGCACTCCTAGGAAATACAATCTGCTGATGTTAGAAAGCAGATGTGTAGCAGGAGAGAGGGTAACACCAAGGGAACGGGCCAGCTGGTCCGCAGGAGTGTTCCCAAGGCCATAGCATGCCTTGGTGACTTCTTCTAGGTCTGGGACTACCCTGTATCAGGCTCTAAAATTTAATGTGGTCAACAGGCTGAGGGTAGATTTGCCCACTGGGGATAGACTAGTATCAACCAAGATCATAAAACATGAATATATAGACGAGACTACGAATTCTTTCTCTCCTTTTCTCACTCTTTCTCTTCCTCTCTCTCTTTTCCTTATATTTACTGAATACCTACTATATATATGCTAGGTAGCTATAAATAAAAGCATCTACCTTAATAGAGCATGCATACTAGTCGGGGAGATTAAAACATGGCCATCTATGTAAATAACAGCAGAGAATCATAAGCACCAGGAAGGCCACACAGCAGGGGTAGGCAGGGCTTGTGAGGAAGGGGCACACTTGGCCAAGGTAAGGCCTCTCTGAGGAGGTGGCCTGTGAGCCAGGATGGAGGAAAGGCATTCTAGGCAAGGAGCCTTGCGAAACAACTGCCCAGTAGCCCGGGATCCCTGCACACCTTTTCCTGGCAGTCTCCCAGCGCAGGGAGATGAGCTATAGTCAGAACGAGGACCCAAGCAAGCGAGGAATTAATCTCAGGTACTGACTGGTCCATGGAGGGCTGCAGTGGTCTCTCACCACCCCAAATCTCACCCTGGCCAGGGCCGAGATGTTTGCGGATCTAGGCTGCTCCCCACAGCAGTGCTGGAGGGGCTGTCCCATTGTCCCTGCATCCACACATCCTATCCCCAGATTAGTTAATGGAACTTAGTGGGCTGCCATTACGTTTTGCTTGGGTAAAATATCCAAATTGTTTAACCTCTCTGCACGTGTTTTCTCATCTACAAAATAAGGATGAGAGCTAGCTTGCAAGGCTCTGGGGTGGAGATGAAGATTCAGCAAAGAAGTTAAGTTTCATAAAGCTATCATGCTTGCTAGCAGGCATTCCATAGACAGTTAGTTTAAATTGCTGTTATTCATATTATATTGATTATTCTGCCCCAGCCTGTGAGCCACGTCAACTCTTAGAGGAACAGCAATAGAGCACAGGAATGGCACATAGAACATGGGCTCTGAGCACAAAAACGAGCTGTGTAACTCAAGTTATTTAAACTCTCTCTGCCTCATTTGCCTCATCTGCATACTGGGGTTACTAACAGACCCTACCTCATGGAGTTTGGGAGGATTAAATGAGTTCATCCGTATAAAGCTGTTAGTACGGCGTCTGGCACCTGGTAAGGGCCCAGATGTCCACTGCTGTAGTGTATTGCAGTAGATTGTTTCCAAAGGTGGCTGCAACAATTTGTCCCATTGAAATATGAAGAGACAGAGTCTGTTTCCTTCCCCTTGAATCTTGGCTGGCCCTATGACTTGTGGAAGAAGTGACGTTCTGGGACTTCTGGGCCATAAGAGTCCTTGCAGCTTCCATTTTTACCCTCTAGAAAGCCAGTTTCCACGTAAAGAAATCTAAGCAACTTGCTAGGGAGGCCACATGGAGACAGTGAAACCCCAGAGGATGAGAAACCACTTGAAAAAGAGCGAAGGCACCCAGTGGACAGCCAGCACCCGCCGCCGGATGTGAATGAGGCTGTCTTGCATTCCTAAGATGCTGCAGCTGACATGAGGTGAAGCAAAGATGAGTGTCCCAGCTGAGCCTGGCCAAGCTCCTGACTCACGGAATCCTGAAAAATAAATGGTTGTCATTTTATGTTGTTACATATTGGAGTGGTTTGTTAAACAGCAATAGGTTACTGAAATATATATGTACAAACATACATATACACACATATGAAATACATAAATACATAACATACACACATATACACATGACTTCACCCATTATGTGTTGATTTTCTAGTTTCATTCTCATAGACTAACCTATGGCATCTTGGCATCTCTTTAATATCCTACCTATATAATCAACCAGAGGGAGTTAAGTCAAAGGGTAAAATAATCCAGAAAAAGTGAAAAGTCATAGTCTCCACTCTTGGGACGCTTACGGTTAAAATGACTAAGGTACCATGAAACACAGATTTTAAAGCCCTCACATTTGCATAAAGTTTTGGACTTTCAAGGAACTATCAGAAATCATATTGATTTTCCTTCAAAGCATCTAAAAGCAAATAGTTAACACTTTGACGAATATTTTTTAAGTGCCAGGCACTAATCTAAGCGCTATACATGTAATGCATAGTGTGGCAAGTTGTACTTTCTGCAGATGGCTGCCATGATATTTCCCATCCTACATGCTCTTCCTGAACCATGATGTTGACACTCCACCCATCGAGTGGTGGGGTCTATGTTCCCTCTTTTTTAACCTGGGTTGGGCTTTGTGACTGCATTGGCCAACAGAATACATCAAAAGTGAAGCTATGTGACTTCCAAGGCTAGATCATAAACATGCCACACACTTCTGCCTAGCTTGCTTTTAGAAACTAGCCTCCATGCTGGGAGAAAGCACAAGTCGCATAGAAAGACCACATTGTAGATATTTTGGCTGACAGCCAGCATCCACCACCACACATGTGAGTGAGCAAGGCTTCGAGATGATTCTGGCTCTAGCCCCAGCCATTGTCTGACTGCCATGGCATGAGAAACGCTGAACAAGAACCACCTCCTCGGGTCCAGTCAATCCCCATTAAATGATTGTTGTTTTAAGCCACCAAATTTTGAGATGATTTTTTATACAGCAATAAATAACCAGGACACACGGTTACTTCAATGATTATTTGATTGCCTACATCCCCCTACCAAAGTGTAAGCTGAAAGAAAGTGGAAACTGAGTTTGTCTTATTTACAGCTGTGTCCCTAGGATCTAGTTCGAGTAGATTTCTGTTAAGATTTTGTTAAATGAGGCCGGGCATGGTGGCTCACATCTGTAATCTCAGCACTTTGGGAGGCCAAGGTGGGTGGACTGCCTGAGCTCAGGAGTTTGCGACCAGCCTTGGCAACATGGTGAAACCCCATCTCTACTAAAAATACAAAAATTAACTGGGCGTGGTGGCTCACACTTGTAGTCCCAGCTACTCGGGAGGCTGAGAAAGGAGAATTCCTTGAACCCGGGAAGCAGAGGTTACAGTGAGCCGAGATCGCGCCACTGCACTCCAGCCTGGGCTACAGAGCAAGACTCCGTCTCAAAAAAAAAAAAAAAAGAATTTGTTAAATGAATGAACATGGCATTGCTCTTATGAGGTGCTGGATGAGGTCAGTAAGGCAGGCATTCTTATTTTGTAGATAAGGTAAACTAAGCCCAGAGAGGTTAAGTGACTTGTCTGAAGTCACACATCCAATAGCTGTCAGAGGTAGCTTAATACCGCCACTGTGGGGATTAAGTTTCAACAGGAATTTTGGAGTGGACACATTCAAACCATAGCATGGTCCGAAGCAACAGGCTAACCATGAGGAGAAGTTGGCCCCAGGAATAGATCTCTGTTCCCAGAGCAAACTCTTTTAAGGCGAAGGCAGCTGCAACACTGATGAGAGAAGATGACATGACTCCTCCTGTCTTGGAAACAGACTGCAGACCAGCAGAGGGGAGAAATGTTCCCCATGTTCTCCTTTATCCCCTTTCTTCCAGCCTTCCCAAATTTGACAGTCCATTTTCTTACCAATGGAGGGAAAAATGATAACTAAGATTTCTCTTGAATCTTGGCAACAGAGCTCAGGCTTTTATTAGCATGCAGTAAAAATGACATTAACCTCAATAACAAATAAATTAAATCCTGGTTGGCTCAGAGTTTAACATCTTGGCCTTTCTAAGTTAACTTACCAAGTGATTTACTTCCTTAGTGCCTTTAACCCGATATCCTCAGTAGCTGGCCTTCTTGTGGATGCCACTTATCTTACCTTACAGCTGTGTGTCCCTAGGACACACAGTAGATCCTTGGGATACAAATCCCAGACAAACCTGAAAATGAGCTTTCGAAACAAGCCATAAGGAGTAAATGTGGCCGGGTGCGGTGGCTTACGCCTGTAATCCCAGCAATTTGGGAGGCCAAGGCAGGAGGATCTTTTGAACCTAGGAGTTCGAGACCAGCTTGGACAACATGGTGAAACCCTGTCTCTACAAAAAATTTAAAAAATTAGGCAGGCATAGTGGCATGCACTTGGAATCCCAGCTACTCAGGAGGCTGGCGGGGGAGGATCACCTGAGCCCAAGAGGTTAAGGCTGCAGCAAGCCATGGTGCTGCCACTGCACTCCAGCCTGGGCGACAGAGGGGGATCCTGTTTAAAAAAATTTAAAAAGTAAACATGTTTTAGACATGTTTTAGAGGCAGCTCGGGAGATAAGGGCCCTGAAGTAAGCAGAAGAGTGGCAGGCCAGCCCTGATTGTGAGTGTGTACCAGTTCTCTAAATTACTGGAAGCCTAAATTTCCCCATCTGTCCAAAAGGGAATAGTGTCACATTAGCATGCAGGACTTCTCCCTAAAAATAAAATTCTATACTAGAACATTTAACTTTACTCCATAAGTACTTACTACTTTCCGTGAACACATTGAGGTGACAGAGCCCCAGTGGAATGCAAAATATAGCCTCTGTTCTAAGGACTTCCCCTCTACTAAGGGAGATAAGAGTTACACATATAGAACAGCAGCCCATGGAGATGGCTTCATCAACCATCCCCTTCCCTTTAGTCTGATTTTATTTTTTATAGTAACTGCTGTGGTTAGGATGTGGGTGAGGGACTTAAAAATATTAGGGGAATGGAGAAAATGAAGGAAAGGAGAACAAAGAATAAAGGAAAAAAATGAAATTGGTTCCTACATGTAGTCCAAGAGTTTCCTGGTATTCTGAGGAAATGGAGGTTCTCCTCCCACCAGTACTATACCTTGAACTTACTGGGGTCCTCCAGGCTGACCGAGACTCCCCGGCCACCAAACCCAGGACGGAAGCTGCAGAACTGAACCTGATAAGTCAGTCCAAAACAGCCCATGGAGGGCGGTTTATATGAATTTGTAAGTGAATCACCCGGCTCCTCTCCCCATCTCCTGTAGCATCCCAGCCTCGAGGCTGGATCGTGCATCAAGGTTTGGCCAGGGCAGGTGACGCAAAGGCTATAAGAGTCTTGCTGCTCCTCTCCTAGCTTCTGGGACCACTTACTGACTGATACAATATTAGAGATCAAAATGCCTCCCCCAAGGAACACCCCACTCTAATATGACTGTCATTGGATTCCAGCCTCCTTTGGGCATTACCTTTTGTTTCAGCCTTTCATAAGTGATGACAGAGATTTGGGTTCACATAACCCCTGTTTTGAGGAAACATTTATCAAGCACTTACTATGTGCTTGAAAGAACACACTGTTCTAAGTTCTTTACATGAATTATCTCGATGCCATAACTGCTATTATTATCTCCATGTTACAGATGAGGAAGCTAAAAAATTCTAGTGCAGTTGCTATCTATAGCGAAATGCTCCAAAGAGATGTTTTGAAGACTGTTGAAGGAATTGAGGAGATTGGAAGGCCAAGATCTGAACAAATGTTTGGCCACACAGTAAATACATGGCAAGCTGGCAGGATGTCCTTTTTGTCTAGCTAAAGAGAAAGTGACCCAAGGGAGGGGCTATCCAGAAAGAATATTGGATTGGGAGTTGTGGAACGTGGGACACAAGGTCTGAACTTATCACTGATCAATAGACCTTGACCAATTACCTCTCTGGGCCTAGGTTTCCTATCAGTGAAATAGGGGTTAGGGGGCTGGCTCTGGACACCCAAGCAGCTTGACACATATTTACCGTATGGCCAAACACTTGCTCAGGTCTTGCCCTTCCAATCTTTGCAACTCCTTCAGTGGTCTTAGGGACGCTGCTTTAGAGAGTAACCGTACCAGAAATGTTCAGTTTCGTCATCTGCAGTAGGGGTCAGAGTAATGACCTAAGGTTCAATGAGGCCACTAGTTACTGGCCCTGGGTTCTGCAGAGCAGCTGGCGGTGGCATTCCTGGGAAATGAGCTGGCGGTTGCCACAGTTGGGCTCTTTCCCTGAACAGCTGGTGTGGAGAGCAAAGAGGGGGTGGGGGACAGGATAACCTCTGAGTCTCTGGCCAACTGCAATGTCTATTAAGGGCGGCCCAGTTGGCTGCTAGCCAATAACCCATGCCTGTGTGCTTTGCAAGTTGTAGTCTCTCCTTTTGAAGGTCTCTCTCCAGAAGATGAGGAAGGAATTTGTCTCAGTCCACTTCCACACCTGTCCACCTGAGCTGGGCGTTAGCCTGAGCCTTTGCCTCTGTATGGATCCCGTGAGTATCCTCCTTCCCAAGGCCAATGTGTGGCCCCTCACATGGGTTCCAGGACCACAATGCTTTCTTGAGCAGGCTTTGGGTGGTGATGGTGGGTGGTGGTCTCAGGGAAGATCACACTCCCTTTCTTCACACTCTGTTCCAAGCACAGATACGGGATCTCTTGTTTTTCCAAGATTGTAAGGTTAACACCTTCAAGGCTGAAGTTATTGGGGCTGGCAAAAGAGAGTTATAATTACAGAAAAAAAAAAAAAACCAGTTAAGTTGGAGGCTGCCTATGAACTCTCCTGGAGTCCACTGGCCCATGGCCTGGGGTGCCCTGCTTGCCTTTTCCCTCCAGGCCTGTCAGGCCTGCCATTTAATGGCAGAGCTCACTTAACTTCCACAGAGAGGAAGGCCTTCAGCCAGATCTCTCCTCTCTGGCGTCCAGGTCCCAACTTTCTATTTACCCAAGAGATAAGAGGAAGTCTCCCCTCTTCTCAGGTGACTGGGGTAGCTCTGTCTGCCACTAACCACATGACAGTCATTTATATTAGCATACAGAGCCATTTATTTCCTCTTGTCTCAACCTGTCCATTCCAGAATCAGCTCTGAGCCTTTCCTCTGCATAACGAAAAAGCCCAGTGTTTTTCCCAAAACAAAAAGCAGTCTTTTCCCTTAGGTGGATTGTCCCGCTTCCTCTTGCTAAACAATAAACAGCTGAAGCTTTGGAATTGCTGTGTGCCTTGCTTCAAGCCTTCAAGCTTGCAAGGATATCAGGGTCTGACATGAGAGCACCCCACCATATAAGTAATAATCAGACATGTACAACCATATGTGAGCCAGTCACAGATGGAGGCAGAAGGTGCCAGTCAGCCTTCAGAAGCAGGTCCTTCCAAGAGTCAAGGTTTTAAACTAAGCATACAATTAGAACGGCCTTCCAGTCTTTAGTACATGACTTCATCAGTCAGCAAGACCAAATTACCCCTGTGTTTATTTAGAAAAAAAAAAAAAGGCAATGACCTATGAATAAACAGCACTTGACATTGAAAATTGCTACATTAAATACCCAGCTCCTCTGCGCGATTACAGCAGCCTCCGGAGCTCTCCCAAATTGTCACCTAGGATGAATATGACAGCAAACAATGCTTTAAAAGTAAGTAATCTGCTCTATAATTATTTTAGTGGCTGCAGCCGCCAACCGGCAGGATCACTTATGAAAAAGGATGCAGTCGTTCCTTATTAAAAATGCATGAATATACAGTCTCTTGATTGTGGAAATAATCAGCAGACTATCTAATGTAACAAGACTTAGCCACAGAAGAATTAATTAGGGTGAAATTGATTAAGGAGAAGAGGGTAAAAATCTATCTGTGATGATTCAGGCTCCAATTAAACTCAAGCATTAATTCTCATATTCTTTTCAAATTAAGAGCCTCATCTAAATGCTCCTCATTAATATTCCAATATATCCCACCCTCCTTTAACCAGAGAGAAATGCAGACATTTCTAATGAAAGCAAAAGATCTCGTTCTTGTCGACTCTAAAGCTTCTTCTGTCTTAAGAATTTCAGGAGATTGGAGTTTTTTTAATTATTTTAAATAAAAGATGGGAGGGGGTGGGTCGTGAAACCACCAAATTCATTCTGGTCTTGAGCGCTGAAGATTTTGTTCCGAGATTTCTCAAAAGCTAAAGGAAGCATGCAACACAAATAATTATGTGACAGCCTCTTGAATTCTCTTTGTCTCGTGGTAACCTGCTCCAGTACAGATAAGAGAAGCTTGAAGGGGTCATATATTCCATCCCTTGCCTTGAGACAGAGCTGTACCAAACCAGAGACCCATATGTAATTATCTACCATCTCCTGAGAGGCCTCTGGGGACAAGGACTCCACTCCCTTGGTAACAGGATGGAGATCAGGCAGCTAATATATTCCCAGCTCAGAGCTCTTCCTCCCCCTCCTCCTTCTGCAGCCATTTGAAAGATGGGAGGAGAAGCTTCCCCACACCATTGATTTTTCTTTCACTTTTCTTCCATTAGGAGCCCACTGTGGTTTCTGGCTCTTTGTGTCCGGACTGTCCTTATAATTCACAGGTCACTGACCTTTCTTTGTTCCTCCAATGACTGCTATCTTTGTAGCTCTTCTTCCATCTGCTGCCTTGGGTTTTCTCCCGTGGATGTTAAGGTTGGGTACTTCCTTTGTCCGAGCGAGGACAGGCAGCTCATGGCCAAGAAGCATCCCCAGGGCTGGAGCCTCCTCTCCTCGGAATGCTCCCATCCAGCACTAGAGTGTCCAGAATCACCAGCCTTATCAGCGAAATGCGGGGAGATAGGAGTAAAGAAGCAATTCCAAGCCCTTTGTTTTGCCTTGTATTATCTTGTTTTCTCTTTACCACCCTGAGAGTGGTCATGGTTCCTATTTTACTGGGGAGTCTGAGCTGTTCACAGAGGCCTTCAAGCAGGACTATGAGAACAGGAAGCAGAATTTAGTCTGCCTTGGGGAGTCCAGCCAGGCCATCCCCAAAGATTTATCAGGCAGCCGCCAGAGGAGAGGGCACTCCAGGCAGAGGGAACTGCAGTAGGGGATCTGGGAACAGCATGAATGTGGCAGCTTCATCTTCTTGAGCCTACAAGGGATGTCCCATTTACATTTATGAGAAAATATCCATGGTGTCCCCTCTCCACACAGCCCTACTTGCTGGCCTCAACTGCTTCAAGCATAGGTGGGCAGATGTCTGCGGAGGGAGAATCTGGGGTAGATAGGCCACCATGGAGTTGTGGGACTAAAATCACTGAGAGCCTCAGGAAGGAGTCCAGGCATTCCCATCCTCCCTTAAGCTGCATCCTTCAGGGGTGCAGCCGTATGACTCTACGTCCTGCTCTACCGCCTGCACCTCTATCCCCATGTTCACCACACATGACTTTGAATGATAAGGGAGGAATATGGAGAGGCGACAGAGGCCGGTCTCTTCTTTCAGGAAGCTCCTTCACTTCCATGTAAATTTATGGATGCAAATTGTTATGTGGGGGCAGAGACCCTGAAGCAGCCAAGCCCCAAATGCAAATAATTATGGTGGCGGGGGCGGGGTGGTCGCCCAAACTCCACCCATCCACTGAGCCTAGGATCCCAGCCTCAACCAAAATGTCCCATGCCCTTCACACACGGCCATGGCCAATCCTCTTCTTCTCTTTCCCTCCCGCCCTTTTTCACCCAATTTGTCTCCCATCTGTTCCTCAATTCAGTTATTAGCAAATTGGTTCTCAGGATCTACCTGGGACTTTAATTGTGTCTTTGGTACTAAGGAGGGTGCAAGAGAGAAACATGTGATTCCTGCCCTAGAGGATGTCACAGGTTGCAAGAGAATGCCATTAACTCAATCAAAGCAAGTGAAAAACCACAATGAATAGTATATCATAAAGTATTAAACTGCATGCCACCAATTTAATGTTGAATGAAATCAGAGAAAGGAAGGAACCCCTGGGAGGGAGGCTGGGGTGATCAGAAAGTCTGCTGGGAGCAGATGGGACTTGAATTAGGTCTTGAAGCTGAGTTGGCATCACGTGGATTAAGGAGAGATAGGAAAGATGCCAGTGAAGGGCAGGCCTGAGCAGACACAAGCTAGAAGGCACATTAAGGAACCCTTCAGCCTGGCTGGAGGGGAAGGTACTTGTTGAGGAGTAAGGAAAGCCAAACTTTGCAAGACCTCGAACGCTAGGTTTAGGAATTAGGATTTTAGTCTAGACTGTTGCTTCCAAAACTTTAGTGTGCTGCAGAGGAATGCTGGTTAAAATGAAGGTTCCCAGCTGGGAGCAGTGGCTCACACCTGTAATCCCAGCACTTTGGTTTTTATATTTTTTTGAGACGGAGTTTCACTCTTGTCACCCAGGCTGGAGTGCAGTGGCGCGATCTCGGCTCACCGCAACCTCCGCCTCCCAGGTTCAAGCGATTCTCCTGCCTCAGCCTCCCAAGCAGCTGGGATTACAGGCATGTGCCACCATGCCCGGCTAATTTTGTATTTTTAGTAGAGATGGGGTTTCTCCATGTTAGTCAGGCTGGTCTTGAACTCCTGACCTCAGGTAATCCACCCTCCTTGGCCTCCCAAAGTGCTGGGATTACAGGGGTGAGCCACTGCGCCTGGCCAATCCCAGCACTTTGGGAGGCCAAGGTGGGCGGACCACTTGAGATCAGGAGTTCAAGACCAGCTTCACCAACATGGTGAAACCCCGTCTCTACTAAAAACACAAAAATTAGCCAAGGATGGTGGCACATGCCTGTAATCCCAGCTACTTGGGAGGCTGAGGCATGAGAATCACTTGAACCTGTGAGGCAGAGGTTGCAGTGACCTGAGATAGTGCCGCTATACTCCACCCTGGGCGATAGAGTGAGACTCCATCTCAAAAAAAAATAAATAAATATAAATATAAATACAAAAAAGATTAACCAAGTGTGGTGGCAGGTGCCTGTATTCACAGCTACTTGGGAAGCTGAGGCAGGAGAATCGCTTGAACTCAGGAGGCAGAGGTTGCAGTGAGTCAAGATCGTGCCATTGCACTCCAGCCTGGGCAACAGAGCAAGACTCTGTCTCAAAAAACAAAAAGAAGGTTCCCAGGACTCAGCCACCATAAGGATGGGGCATTTTAAACAAGCACTCTAGATGACTGATGATGGCCCACATACGTTTGCTAGGTCTTGCATCTTTGTCCCTCCTGTGCAGCTGGCGTGGCCTGTGGGTAGAGCCAGGACTTTGTTTGCACCATGGAAACTCCAGGGCCACAGAGGTTTCACCACTCTTGGCAAGGATGTTAAGCTTTGTCTCCTAGGAACCCAGAAACTGGGCAGGAATTATTTTGACTACGCTGTAGCCAAAGGGAAAGCAGCCCTGATGAAAAACTATTAGAGTCATTCCTTTAGAAGAGTCGAGAAAGTGCCTGAGACCCTGGGATCATGTGGGGCCTCTGTTGCATTTTCCTACTTATTAGAAGTGTGGCAAACAAGTAAGTTTGGTGAAGATTTTTTTATATGATAAAAGTGTTCAGCTGTAGGTTCCTTTATTTTTTATTTTATTTTATTTTTTGAGACGGAGTCTTGCTCTGTCATCTAGGCTGGAGTGCAGTGGTGTGATCTCTGCTCACTGCAACCTCTGCCTCCCAGGTTCAAGCGATTCTCCTGCCTTAGCCTCCCGAGTAGCTAGGATTACAGGCATGTGCCACCATGCCAGGCTTGTTTTTGTATTTTTAGTAAAGACGGGGTTTTACTATGTTGGCCAGTCTGGTTTCAAACTCTTAACCTCAAGTGATCGGCCCACCTCGGCCTCCCAAAGTGCTGGGATTACAGGCATTAGCCACCACGCCTGGCCAGCTCTAGGTTCCTTTAAACCTAGAGGAAGGTTTAAATAGCCATTTTTAAATAATAGCCATTGCCCCTTAGCACTGATACAGACGTTGCCTCCCAGATGTGCCGTTTAGTAATTGTGTTTTGTGGCAAGTTACTTGCTCTCTCTGTTAAACTCTGTTAAACTTCTCAATTTTTATTGGAAATTTTTAAACCTAGAAAAAAGTTAAAAGGATAATACTGGAAAACCAGTAAATCCTTTATCTATATTCACCATGGGTTAACATTTCACCATTTGCTTGCTTTCTTTCTCTCTCTTTCCATATATATGTATATATGAATATAAAAATATAAAATATGTGAATATAAAAATATATTCACACATACATATATATGCATTTACTAAAGCATTTGAAACTCAAAGATATCATGACACTTAAGAACTAGGACAGGCCAGGTGTGGTGGCTCATGCCTGTAATCCCAGCACTTCAGGAGGCTGAGGTGGGAGGAACACTTGTGGCCAGAAGTTTGAGACCAGCTTGGGCACCATAGTGAGACCTCATCTCTACTAAAAAATTTTTTTTAATTAGCTGGGCTTGGTGGCACGTGCCTGTAGTCCCAGCTACTGGAGAAGCTGAGGGTGAGGATTGCTTGAGCCCAGGAGTTGGAGGTTGCAGTGAGCTATAATTACATCACTGCACTCCAGCCTGGACGACAGAGTGAGATCCTGTCTCAAAAAAAAGAACAAGGGCATTCCTCTTATAATTTCTCTTATAACCACAATTTCATCACATCCAATAAATTTCACATTCATACAATAATATTAGCTAATGTAATAAATATATTTCGATATCCCCAATTCTCCCAAAATATCCTTTATGGCTTACTTATTTATTTTTAGAGACAGGGGCTCACTCTGTTGCCCAGTCTGAAGAGCAGTGGCACTATCACAGCTCACTGCGGCCTCCCACTCCTGGCCTCAAGCTATCCTCCTACCTCAGTCTCCCGAGTAGCTGGGATAAAGGCACACACTGTCATATCTGGCTAATTCAAAAATTTTTTTAGAGATGGAATCTCACTGTGTTGCCAGGTTGGTCTCGAACTCCTCTTGAACGCCTCAGCCTCCTGAGTCACTGGGATATGACTTTAAGAAAAAAACAATCTGGTATACAGCAAAGACTTTAAACCATGCTTCTTTAGTTTCCTCTAATCTAGAACAGTCCCCCCGCCTTTGTTGGTTGCTTGTTTTTCACGACATTAACATTTTTGAAGAGCCTAGGTATAAGTTGCCTTGTAAAATGTCTCACAATCTGGATTTGTCTGATTTGATTCAGGTCAAATACATTTGAACACGAACATGCCATGAAGGTGAGGCTGTGCCTTCCCATGGTATCCCATCATACCAGGCGGTGCACCATGTCTGTGTGTCCTGTCAGTGGTGATGCTACATTGGATCACTAGGCTAAGGTGCACACTTGCATTTCGACACTTGGTTGCTTAAAAGCACTATGCAACTCTTATTAATCAATATAGTCAAATTATAAAGTCCTTGAGGGCAAGAACTGAGGCTTCACCTTTGGAAAATAGCGCTTTACAGTTTACAAGACTCTTTCATACAGATTACCTCATTTACTCATCAGACACCCCAGAGGGAAATATTTCATTCCCACTACACAGGAATGCGGGATCTCACTGTGCTTTGGAGCCTGACATTGAATCATAAATCTACCCATTAATAAATGTGTCTTATGACAAGTTACTTAACCTCTCTATTAAACTTCTGTTTGCTCAACTGCAAAATGGGGATAATAATGTCTTCCTCCCAGAGTTGTTATGAAGACCAAATGAGGGTAATGAAAATAAAATGCCCGCCACAGTGCTAAGCACATAAAGAATACTTGAAAAATGCAAGGGCTGTGTTTATAGAGCTAAATACGTTATACACACACATGCTTACATACGCAACATTCATGTATACACTGATGTACAGGAAGGTCAAGGTCTGGCCTGTGGCCAACTCAGCTGAGTAAATAGCAGAGCCCAGATTCAAAGCCCCATCTGCCTAACTCCAAATCCGGGTCCCATGCCTGTTCTCCACACAACACCACCCTGCCGGTGATGGGCCAGCCAGTGTTGCCTTGTATGAACCATTTGGTCAAAATCTTTTGAATAATGTGTATAAAAACTAGACTTGATCTTGGTTTTTTTTTTTTACGTGGAGTCTGGCTCTGTCACTCAGGCTGGAGTGCAGTGGCATGATCTCTGCTCACTGCAACCTCTGCCTTCTGGATTCAAGAGATTCTCCTGCCTCAGCCTCCCAAGTAGCTGGGATTACAGGCAGGCACCACCATGCCCAACTAATTTTTTATATTTTTGGTAGAGACAGCGTTTCACCATGTTGACCAGGCTGGTCTCAAACTCCTGACTTGTAGTGATCTGCCCACCTTGGCCTCCCAATGTGCTGGGATTGCAGGCATGAGCCACCGCGCCCAGCCAGACTTGATCTTATTTACATCCAATTTCATATCTTATTTACACCTAATTTCAAGAAGCATGAAGCAAGGCCCTACTTCTCTGATTATACAGAGTTGGCCAAAGGGCCCCATGCTGATGCCCTTTCTTCCCAGAAATCAGCCTGTGTGCTGCCCTCAGCTCATTGCTTTGTGCTACTTGGCAACTTCACAACATACCCAAACTCACCACATTAAGCAGCAGTCACCGTGCATCTGGGAGGCAACACATTGTGGCTGGACAATACTGCATAGTTGACCCCAAACATTCCCCTGTCCTGCCCTGCTCCTTCAGGGTCTTTGGTCTGGAGTAGGGGCAGGACTGGAGAATGGTCCTTGGTCAAGGTCCTTGTTTTAGGGGCTCAGGACAGGCAGAGGTCCCTGAAAGTCCCCTCAAGCATTTTCATTGGAAGTTCCTGTTCCTACTTTCTACTAAGCACCCCAGCCGCACCCCAATTTACATAGGGAAAATCCACAGCGGCACTAAGCCATCATTTTGAGTCAAAGGTCTTCATCCCCTTTGAATGACAATGGGTCCAGTTAAGAATTAATTCCACCCAGCCAGGATTGTGAAGTGTGAGTTTGCTGTTCAGGTGAGGTCAGAGGTCTAGGGAAGGAAAAATCACTTCTAGCAAAGGTTTCACGGAGGAGATGGGCCTTGGGGAAGGGGAGTTGGATAGTCAACTAGGAGGAGGAAGGCATTCCTGATTTGAGGGAGTGGGACACACATCGTATTAGTAAAGGCACAGCAGTAGGGTAGCAAAAGGCCTGGTCAGGGAACTGAGAGGTGGCATCTGCAGGGAGGAGGGGGAGGAGCCCCTCCCTTTCAGACACAGAACAGACTGGGGCTGTAGAGCGGCTAAATATTTCATCGATGGAAAACTGGATATGGCCGTGGTGCTTAGGATGTAGACTCTAATTTCATGGCTGGGTGTACCCAGATGGCTGATTAGGCTGCAGGAGAGAGGCTGCCTCCCCATTCCTGGTTTCCTAGCCACAGGAGGATGCAGACACTGACCTTTTTTTCTCAATGAGGTCAGCAGGCATATGTGTTCTGGGTCTGAGAAGACCAACAAGGCTTCCACCCCCGCCAGACCCCATTGCTTCACAGGTCACAGACCCACCTCGGTTCCAGTTTTTCAGCGGACACACATTTCACATCTACTATATGTCAGCCATCATGGTGAGCACAAAAGAGATACAGATGTCTCTGCCCAGGGAGACAGCTTAGGGAAACAGACCCCCTAACAGGTCTCTAACTGTGGAGACCGCAAATGAAGTGCTAGGTCTAAGCTTCACAGAGAAGGTGCCCCCTGTGCTGATGCAGTCCCTGCAGAGAGGAAGGGAGGGCTGCTAACCAACACTCAGTGAGGACTGACTTCTGGCTAGGCACTGTGCTAGGAGCTTATTCTGTACTACAACGTTTAATCCTCACCGTCACTCCAAAAGGAGATACCATAACTGCTAATTGCCCAAACTGATGGCATTCCAGCAGGAACATGTGCAAAGAATACATGTGAAAGAACTTTGAACCATCAGGACCATTTAGCAGTTTGGAGAGGCTGGCACATTCAATGGAGGACCAAAGGGGCTGGCAGGAAATAAACCTAGGAAGGTGGATGGACTGGGGCTCTGCATGTCCAGATAACACATTTGGACTTTATCCACTTAGCTTTAGAAGGATAGTGAAAAGGGTGGGGCCAAGTGTCCTCTTTCCCTCTTCCACCCCATGGGCTCTCTGGCTCTGGCCTCCAGATCGTAATAATTCCCCATGATATCAACAAATATGGATTACACACCTTTACTGTGAGCCAGGTATCTTTCTGGGCACTGGGGAAACAGCAATGAACAGGACAAGGGTCTCATCTCACGGAGCAATGGAGGAGGGAACAGTGGAGAGACACAGTCGTCTAGTAAGCAAATACATAAATAAAAGATAATTTCCCGTAGTCATAGGTGCTCTGACAAAACAAAAATATAGAAATGGGACAGACAGCGATGGGGGAGGTGAAGCTGCTTGAGTAGGGACAAAAGGGAAAGCCCTCTTGGAAGAGATGACATTTGACCTGGGACCTGAAAGGTGATGGGCCAGACATGAGCAGATATGAGGAAGGGCATTTCAGAAGGAGGCGCAGGCACTTGCAAAGACCTGAGGCAGGAACCAGTTGAGTGGGCTGGAGAAACATGAGATTGAGTTTGTTCAGAGCAGAATGGGCTGGGCAGGGAGTGAAGGAGGACAGGAAGACTTACAGGCCAAGGTGAAGTTGGAATTTTATTGTTCAATACTCAGCTCAAGGCCAGGCACAGTGGCTCACGCCTGTAATCCTAGCACTTTGGGAGGCTGAGGTGGGCACCACAGTTTTCTTTCCTGGGGTTTGGGAGAAATACTGGGGGAACTTGGTGTCAGGGCATTTTCAGAGTTCTTGCTTTACAGAAGAGATGGTTCTCCTGCCTCCCATCTAGGCAGAAATGGTAATATTGGGGTGATCACCCTGTGAACAGCAGGATAGGGTACTTTCTGGGCCGGAGTGTTGGAACTCAGAGAGCTTTCTGCATCCTCCCATACCAACTTAAACCTTTTTCCTCAAAGAGAAAGCCCTGACCCCATCAGGCACGTATGTGCTTCTGAACAATATCTCCAGGGGTGAGAAGGATCGCCCCGCTGAGAGAGGACTCAGGACTGCTGGAGGAAGCCTAATACAGTGAGCAGAGAAGGGCTTTGGAATTAGGCCTTGGCTGTGTTTTTGGGGGCTGTGATGGTCATTTACTTCTGTGAATTCTTGTTTCCTCTCCTCTCCATGGAGCTACAGTTGGTAAGGATATAGGGGTCTCAGGACAGGGAGTTGGGGGAGATAGTCAATTTCTCCCATTTCAAACCCTTTCCTGAAAGTAAGTTAAGTTCTTAGAGAACAATGTCCCATGCGATGACATTCCTGGGCCACAGAGGCTGCTCTTCCTCAACAGCCAGGCAAAGAGCCCTGGACATCAGACAAAGCCTGAGCTGATTCCAGAGGGAATAAGCAGTGAGAGGCACAGCATGGGGCAGCCAGAGGGAGTAGTCCCAGGTCCCAGAGCTGGCAAGGAGGAAATGCCAAGGCCACACAGGACAGATGGCAGATGTTTAGAGAACATTTTTAGGGACAGATTCCTTTCCCTTCACCCATGAGCCATTGCAGAATTTCATCCTCTTGGCAGCCAACAGGGTCCCTCTTTCTCTGAACCAACCCCTCTGTTGCAGGGCCATCTATCTCTAGGACAGTCCTCCATGGGCAGGGAGAAGACATAGCTAAACCCTGACCTGATGAGTCCTCAGAAAAACTAAGTCAGCACAAGTCATCTGAGTCACAGAATCTTGAGCCCTTTTAACATCTCTGCTATTTTCCCCATCAGTGGCTAGATTGCTGTTTGTCCTGAGAATGAAGTAGGAGTAGGTCGGGTGCTGGCAAGGTGGTTTCTCATGCCCCAGCCTCTGGACCATGGGAGCTGGAGAAACAAAAAGGGCTGAGGCAGAGACCTAGAAAGTCCAAGTACTCCCCTCCTCAAAAATGAGCTGGGGCCGGGAACAGTGGCCCACGCCTATAATCCCAGCATGTTGGGAGGCCGGCACAAGAGAATTGCTTGAGCCCAGGAGTTCGAGACCAGCATGGGCAACAAAATGAGACCTTGTCTGTATTAAAAAAAAAAAAAATGAGCCAAACATCAGGACTGGAGCAAATGGGCTGGAGCCTACAGGGGATGGCAAGCAGGTCAGTCCTGGAAGGACACTTGGGAAACGTGGCAGGGAAATGCTAGGCTAGGATTGCAGCAAGAGCCCAGCTTCTTCATGACTGCACCAACCTGGAGGTAGGAGGGAGAGGGGGCTGATGAGGACAGGCCCTGGTTGGGCTGTAGTGCAGAGGCTGCGCTGGGACCTAAGCCAAAGGCAACACACGCTCCCGAAGTTCAGAGAAAGAGGCAATTTGTGTTGGGCTGGTTATCAGCGCCTTCCATCCCTCCAAAAAACCCGTGCTGGGCCTGGTCTTATTGCAGTAGTTCTCTCTTGCTTCCGCCAGGGAGTCATGGAAACAATTTGGGGTGATAGCGAATAACTTTGTGACCACCTCATTCACTTAGAGAACCTCCTTCCACTTTTCCATCCTCCTTTGGGCATTTCTTATACCCTAGCCTAGAAGTGACAAGAAAGGAGAGTGTTTTTCTGATTTTACAGAGCAGAGCATCACTCCTAGCCAAAGCTCAAGATGAGACAGAACTTGAGGCCACGTGTTTTAAAGAGTGCAAATTCATCCTCACAAATTTTTCAGATTCCATCTAAAGCATCCTTAGGCTGAATAATGAAGAATTCAGTTCTCGTCCCCACCCCCTCTCTCTGCCTTTCTCCACACACACATACCCTCCCCCGCACCCATTTCAGAATCTTTTCTTTTTCTGCTGCAGTCTCCTCCTCCTCCTCCCTCACCTCCCTTCTCAGCAGGAGCACACCAGGACAAGAAAATGCTACTACAGGAGCCTCCCAGCCACAAGAACTGGTTTCTCAGAATGAGTAGTTAATGTAGACCTGGCCACAAAGTCATTGCCACGCTGAGCACATTTCTGTCTCACCATGTCTAATGTAACTCAAGAAATAATGCAATTGCCTCTAGTGGACTTCACCCAAACTGTGCCCTGGGTTGCCCTGGGGAGCTGGTTCTGCTGCTTCAGACTAACTCATTTCTTGTGGCAGGAGGCCGCTGATATGGTCAGTTCCCAGGGATCAGCTGCTTGAGGTGGGGGTTGGGGTCGGGGGAGGGGGGGCAGTCAGAGGGTGTTGGAAAGGGCACCTATAAAACGTGGATTCATAAATGGGCTGCAGAGAGACTGGAAAGACTCTGAAACTGAATGCACAAATTTGTATGTGCATTTTTACTGGGGATGAGGATCAATTTTTTTTGTCTGATTCTCAAAGAAGTCAGAGACCCTCAAAATGGTTACTCATTTTGTGTAGTAGGTAAAACAAGAAATTAAAATGTTTCTCTTTTCATTTTTGCTCCCCAGTGACTTTGAGTTTTATGCAATTTCTTGTATAAAAGGAGAGCCTGAGTCCATGGAAGTTGGGATTGAACATCCTGAATATGCAGTTCCTTGGAGAGCCACCAAGAAAAGACCTAAGCAAGAGACATGATGTCACCTTCGGGGAGGAGGCTCTTCAAGCTGTTTGGCATGAGAAGAGGAGGAATGAGGAGGATCACTGGCCTTGAACCCCCAAAGAGAGGCTAGAGCACCTTTCTAGGACCCAGTCCAGGGTTTGTCTTGAACATCCAGCTCCAAAAGAGATGCTGTGCAGATTCAAGCTGCCAAGTCCTGAAGGACCTGAGGGAAAACCCAACCCCAAGCAGCCCAGATGGTATCTGAGTATCCTGTGCCCTACCCACGAAGATCAGGAGCCTAAAGGCTAGAGCTCACTGCAGAACCAGACCAAAGACAGTTTAAGGGCCATTGAGCCAAGCCTTCCTGACCTCCCATGGAGAGGGGAAGAGAGAACAGGACCTCCACTTATCCACCTACCCGCTGCTGAGTCCCTTTAGCCCTTGGCATGGTAATTAACGGTCAGGAAGTTATGCATCAGCCTCAGCAAGCTAACATGGCAGGAGATCCCTCCTGACAGCAGAGCTAATAAGAAATTTGCTAATGCAATTTATCACTTTAAAAAGCCATATGTCGGTGGGGATGAGCACTTCTCTGCAGCAGCTAGTGTAATTGTCAGAACAGAGCAGCGAGCAGCTCTGAGAAGGGGGTGAGGATGATGTCTTCACTAAATCAGTGGTGCAATGCAGCAGGCGAGGGGGCTGGGAGGAGGGGTGTGGTGCTGGGTGGAGGGCTCCCAGCTCTCAAACTCCCAGGAAGCCAGTGCTGCAGACCTGTTCTGGGGCCCCATTAAAAACCAGATTCCCTGAACTCCAGCCCCTGCTGCCTTTGAGCTGCATGAACCTGCGCTTTGGTTCCTGCCACAGTGTTAAAAAAGAAGCGACTCTGTCTGCAGTAATGGCTGATCTAAGTCTCAGCCATTGAGTGTCAACACACAGGACCCCACTCCAGCTCCTCCTGGGGGCAGGGCTGATGCCATGTGCACATTTGGTCTTTCTCTCCCAGACCCCTGCGATAACTTCATCCAGGACAAGGGCCACTGGTCCTTAGTCAGAGGCAGGGAAAGATTAGAAATCCACCTCAGGCCCAACAACATCTCTGCTTTCAGTTTAGACAAAAGGCAAATTGCTTTGAGTACCCAGTGTTTGCCAAAATAAAGAGTGGTTTCTGCAAAGGGGAAAAACTGCTGTTGTGGGATTTTGCTTCAAACACTCAATTGCAAACCATTTTTCCCAAAGCAAATTGATAGAGAAGCAAGTAAAACAGGTGCCCCTTCTGGGAATGAAGTCCAGGGCTGCTGGGAAGGCTGTGGGAAGGAATAAGAATATCCACACGGCTGGATCTCCACTGCTTTCTGGAATAGTCCCCACTCTCAGTTATCTGTGGAATGAGAGGGGCTGGGGAGAGGGATGAGGTAGGGCAAGCCACCACCACCAACACCCAGAGAAACATCACACTCAGTTTCCACCAACTAAACTTCCCTCTAAAGCAAATTTTGACCCTAATTGTTCTCTGTCCTTTAAATTAATGCTTTTTTTTTTTAAGACGGAGTTTCACTCCTGTTGCCCAAGCTAGAGTGCAGTGGCATGATCTCGGCTCACTGCAACCTCTGCCTCCTGGGTTCAAGTGATTCTCCTGCTTTAGCCTCCCAAGTAGCTGGGATTACAGGTGCCCACCACCACACCCAGCTAATTTTTTGTATTTTTAGTAGAGAGGGGGTTTCACCATCTTGGCCAGGCTGGTCTCGATCTCCTGACCTCAGGTAATCCACCTGCCTTGGCCTCCCAAAATGCTGGGATTACAGGTGTGAGCCACCACGCCCAGCCTAAATTAATGCTTTGAATTTTGCATGGAGACACTGAAGGAAGACAAAGTACAAGGACCCAAGTAATAACCAATAGAAAGAAGAAATCCCATGCCAGGGGCCTGGACAGCCCAAGACGTGTATATAAGCTCCACGTTGCCTTCCTGTTTAAGACCTTCTGCTCAGCTCATACTGATGGAAATGGCATGGGTGGGCATGGGGGAAGTATAGCCTCATGACTCTCCAGCCTTCAGGGTGATGGGAGAGGACTGGCAACAGGAACCGGTATGATTTTTTAAGTGAGTCTTACCTTGCTGGAGCAGAGTTTTATGGCAACCCCCAAAGACCCCTGTGAATTGAGGCCCACCTAGGGTCCCAGGAACCCCTTTATGTGCCCTTTAAAATATGCTTTAATATCTAAGGTTCTATCATTTAATATTTATTTATTTTTAAATTTCCCTGATCCTCCTCCCATGTCTATTTTTCCAAATAAATCCTTTTTGTTTGTTTGTTATTTTTGTTTGTTTGTTTTCTTTCTCTTGAGACAGGTTCTTGCCCTGGTACCTGGGTTAGATCATGGCTCACTGTAACCTCAACCTCCCAGGCTCAGGTGATCCTCCCACCTCAGCCTCCTGAGTAGCTGGGACTACAGGTACGTGCTGCCACACTAGGCTAATTTTTTACTTTTTGCAGAAATGGGGTTTCACTGTGTGGCCCAAGCTGGTCTTAAATTCCTGGGCTCAAATGATCCAACTGCCTCGGCCTTCCAAAGTGCTGGGATTACAGGCGTGAGCCACAGCTCCCAGTCCCAAATCAATCTTAATACCATTTCTGCCAAGTTCAAAACAAAGATAATCCTGTTGATATTTGGCTGAGACTATACCAAATTAATAGATTAGTTTAGGGAAAAATTTTTTACCTTGTTTGGGAGGCAAAATATTTACCTCTACTCTCCTAGGGTTTTCAACAGGGCCTAAGAATTAAATCAACATAAAACATATTAATAGGAGGAAAGGAAACATAGTTATTTTAAAAAGTTTTACATGAGATGGGAGCCCTCATAAGGAAATGAAGACCCAAAGAAGCAGTTTAGAGTCAAACACTCATATACTGAGTTGGACAAAGAGTTTCACAAAGTAAATGATGGAAATGTGACAAGGCAAGGGGGCTCGAGCTGGGAAAGATGATCATGAGCAGTGACTGGGAAGAGGAAGGTTGGTTTCCAAGGTCACTTTGTACAGATCCCTCTCAGCCTCCTCTCCCTGTCCCTGGTGATAAGACTGTTGCTTTCTGGCTGGCGTGGTGTCTCACGCCTGTAATCCTAGCACTTTGGGAAGCCGACGTGGGCGGATGACTTGAGGCCAGGAGTTGGAGACCAGCCTGGTCTGATGATAGGGAGACCCTCATCTCTATTTTTTATTTAAAATTTCTTTTAAAAAAGAATGTTGCTTTCCTCCTGGTGTAAGGAGGACATCTTTCATATGGGGCTTTTGTTCTTGCTTTCAGAAAGCAAAAGGAGTGATCAGAGTGCCCTTCCGGTACCTGCTGGTTTTCATTTGCCTTTGGCTCAAAATAACCCTTATGCCAAAGGAGGATATTTTGAGGTGGCATATTCTGCCACCCTTCAACTTTTACAAAATTGAGTTTTTCTATTCAGATTAGAATATGTTTTTTATTTGAATAAAATCTTGCTGTCCAAATACTTTTTAAAACTCCATATTGGCTCTGAATTACCTGCCTTCAAGGCTTATTTGGCAAAGAGACTGTAGAATCTCATCCACTAAGCAGGAAATGTGTTATCTCTTCCTTGGTTATCAGGTGAATTACACTTTTAAAGAGAGCTGCCTACATGCCTTAACTTAAACCAAAAGGCACTGGGACAAATAGCCACCTGGGGATGTCCTTGCCTTGACCGCCAACCTAGACTCTAGGTCCTGCGGCCTCACTCATTCTCATTCCATACCACACACAGGAAGTCAATCTTGCCTGTATTCCCAGAACTTTGGGAGGCTGAGGTGGGCAGATCACCTGAGGTCAGGAGTTCAAGACCACTCTAGCCAACAGTTCAAGACCAGTCTAGCCAACATGGTGAAACCCCATCTCTGCTAAAAATACAAAAATTAGCTAGGTAAGGTGGCGGGTGCCTGTAATCCCAGCTACTCGGGAGGCTGAGGCAGGAGAGTTGCTTGAACCCAGGAGGTGGAAGTTGCAGTGAGCCGAGATCGTACCACTGCCCTCCAGCCTGGCGACAGAGTGATGAGACTCCATCTCAAAAAAAAAAAAAAAAAACAGAATAAAACAACTTTGGTTAAATACATTTGTGGTCCTTTTCTCTCCTTAACCTGTTTTTTTGTTATAGGAGCAGTAGCGATGAGTCTTGTGATGGGTGAGGGAAAGGTAACTTTTTCTCCCCTACAAATATAAAGTTTCTGCCTTTTATTAAGGTATGCGGTAGGGGCTAACCTGAGGGCAGGTGCTGGTGCTAAGGAAAACCTGCCTTGCGCCAGGTTCTCCGAATTATAGCCCCTCTTTTTTTTTTTTTCTTTTTTTTTGGGAGACAGAGTCTTGCTCTGTCGCCTATGCTGGAGTGCAGTGGAATGATCTCGGCTCACTGCAACCTCTGCCTCCTAGGTTCAAGCAATTCTCATGCTTCAGCCTCCCAAGTAGCTGAGACTATACAAGTCATGTGCCACCATGCCCGGCTAATTTTTGTATTTTTAGTAGAGACAGGTTTCACCATGTTGCCTAGGCTGGTCTTGAACTCCTGACCTCAAGTGAACCACCCGCCTCAGCCTCCCAAAGTGCTGGGATTACAGGTGAGAGCCTCCCACTCATGCTTTTCTCATGTAACCCCTCTGCAGGGCCGGCTTCATGGATGGGTGAGCTCCAGCTTAGACGAGCCCTGCACTTGGTTTAATACTCTCCTGTTTAGCAGTTTCTGGAAAATAAGAAAAATAAAAAGCAATACTTAAAAAAAAACTAAAATACTAAAACAAAAGTTTAAAAAATATAGTAAATTCTTAATAATTTTGGAAAAGGGGACCCCACATTTTCATTTTGTACCAGACCATGTTATCCTGTCCCTCTGCAACACTTTGAAGCTCAGAAACAGAAAGCAACAGCCCAGTCACACTTGGGATTGGCTGAGGGTCAGCGTCCAAGTCCACGCAAGACCAGGTGCCGGTCCAGGCACTTGAGCAGCCTCTGCCAGGGCTTCTCTCTGCTTCCTGGAGCAGGCAAGGCCTCGTCCCATCTGCAAACGGGCCTGGGTGATGGATTTTTAAGGGGGACACCTCACAGAGGACTCCCCGCTCCCTTCCTCAGCTCCTGCTCCCTGCCTGCCTCCCAGGATCCACGCTATTAACTCAGCCCACTCAGCAAACCCTCAGCAAATTTTGCTGGCTGTCGTCTGGACTACCTCAGGCCCAAGCCTGCTCAGTGTTTCCAGAGTTTAGACCCCAGGAGTGAGTAAGCAGCCTGCATTATCTCTCCAGAGTTCTGCCTCTCTCAAGACCTTCCAGGAGCCTGCATCGACAGGAGAGAGGAATTCCAGACCACTAGCAGGAGCACATCTGGTCTCTTGGGCCGAGGAAGCCATCACGGCAGGAGAAGAGAAGGGCCGGAGCTCCTGGGCCGTAATCCACAAGGGTTACTTAGCTGCCGAGCAGTGCAATCAGGGAGGAGGGAATGGTGGGCTCCTTCTAAAAGCTCAGGACCACATGTTCTAGGAACCCTCAGGATCCCTCAGGATCCATCCCATCCAGGAGGATGAAGGCAGCTTGAGCAGCAAAGGTGTCAGGGCACTGATTGGGGAGGGAAGGGGGTGGCTCAGTGACCCCCTCTCCCTGTGGATATTCACTTTTCTAAGATGCCTTTCCTCCCAAGGCCTGCCTGCAAGAATCTTGGCAGCAAGAGGACTCGTTTGTAATTTCCCTACTAGAGAGGTACAAGGAATATGTTTAACTATTTATTTAACTCCATCCATTCATGTATGCTTTCAAATCTTTATTAATTTTTTTTTGATGGAGTCTTACTCTGTCACCCAGGCTGGAGTGCAGTGGTGCCATCTCGGCTCACTGCAACCTCCTCCTCCCTGGTTCAAGCAATTCTTCTGCCTCAGCCTCCTGAGTACCTGGGATTACAGGCACGCATCACCACACCCGGCAAATTTTTTGTTGTTGTTGTATTTTTAGTAGAGATGGTGTTTCACCATATTGGCCAGGCTGGTCTCAAACTCCTGACCTCAAGTCTTCCACCCGCCTCGGCCTCCCAAAGTGCTGGGATTATAGGTATGAGCAACTGCACCCAGCCTGAAATCTTTATTAATTTAGCACTTGTTGCATGCTTATTTAGGGACAAATGTTCAATTCTCTGAGGACTGCTGAGAAATGTAAGATGCGGTTTGGCCTCCAGGAACTTAAGATCTACCTGAGCAGTCAATGGTAGCACACGTGAAAGAGCCAATGAAATGCAATACAGTCAAATGGAACATGAGCAATGCCAAATTATTTGGCAAGACAGTAAGTGCTGAAATATAGTTTAACGAATTGTTCCTGAGGGCATACTGTGTGCCAGGCTGTGCTAGGTTCTAAGGGATACAAAGATATGTGAGACATGGTCCCTTCACTGGAAATGCTCAGTTCTAATTGGGGAGACACCCATGAACAGACAGTTTGGATATGTACAAGGTGCAGTGGCAGCACAGAGAAGGGCCACTGAGGCCAATCCAGGTGACGTGACGCCTGTGCTGCATCAGGGCAGCCATGCCAAAGATGCCTGGAAGGATGTTCAAGGCAGAGAGGACACTATGAAAAGATCTGATGGCCTAGTGTGGTTGAGAATCACAGGTAGGGAGTTCTCAGAGGCAGGGAGAGGCAGAAAATAAGGTTAGAGAGGTGACTAGAGATGGGATCATGAAGAGCCTTGTTAAGAAAATTGACCTTGGCCGGGCGTGGTGGCTCACACCTGTAATCCCAACACTTTGGGAGGCCGAGGCAGGTGGATCACTTGAGGCCAGGAGTTTGAGACCAGCCTGGCAAACATGGCGAAATCTTGTCTCTACTAAAAATACAAAAAATAGCCAGGAATGGGGACATGCACCTGTAATCCCAGCTACTCAGGAGGCTGAGGTGGGAGAATCGTTCGAACCTGGGAGGCGGAGGTTGTAGTGAACCGAGATTGTGCCACTGCACTCCAGCCTGGGAGATAGAGCGAGATCCTGTATAAAAAAAGAAAAGAAAGAAAGAGAGAGAGAGAGGAAGGAAGGAAGGAAGGAAGGAAGGAAGGAAGGAAGGAGGGAGGGAGGGAGGGAGGGAGGGAGGGAGGGAGGGAAGGAGAGAGAGAGAGAAAGAAAGAAAGAAAGAAAGAAAGAAAGAAAGAAAGAAAGAAAGAAAGAAAGAAAGAAAGAGAAAGAGAGAGAGAAGAAAAGAGAAGAGAGAGAGAAAGAAAATTGACCTTCTCTTAGTAGAGGCTGGGGGCCACCGAAGGGTTTTCACAGATAAGTCTCATGGCTGGAAGGAGGATGGACCTGCGGGGAATGAAACTGCAAGCAGGACAGCCAGTTAGAAAGCAATAAGAATGGTCTGGTCAAAAGTGATGGAGGCAGTGGCCACCGGGATGAAGAGGAGAGGACATACTCTTCTTGCCGCCTAGAATGCATTTTCCCTCTTTTTTTCACCCAGTTCACTCTCACACATCCTTCAGATCTCAGTTTCTCTGGGATACTTTCCCTGACCCCCAGGTCAAGGCAGATCTTCCTACTGTGCCTTAGGATAGCGCTGGGTACCTTCATTCATAACTCTTCCCAGTCATCATTCCAGGCTTATTCCTGAGGTCATTTTATTGACATCTGAGTTCCTCACGAGGACTCTCAAATCCGTAGGTGTAGGATCATGTCTGCCTTCCTCACTGCATATCCCCAGTTCCTACACATAGTAGAGCTCAATAAATATTTCTGGAATGAAGGGATGACAGATTTGACGGCTATTTGAGAGCTCTATGAGAATTCAGAAAATATTCCTATGAGTTGGAAGAGTTGACGTCAACTTCATAGACAAGATATGAACATAGAAAAAGTTAAATAACAACACAGCAGCAATACAATAGAGATGACAAGGTGGTAAGTGTCAGGGAGAACAGTACAAACACTGTGTGTTAAAGCAGGGAGTGTAGTAGCAGCTGTGATGTTTTTGTCAGCAAGTAACAAAAAACCCTGAACTCAAACTGGAATTAGCTGCAAGGAAGTGTATCAGGTCTCAGCAGAGTTCAGAGGAAGGGCAGGCCAGAGGTGTTTGATACGGCACCTCAAGGACTCCTTTCCCTGCTGCTCCGCCATCCTCATGTGGGCTTCACCCCCAAGCTGGGTGGCAGGAAGTCCACAGCAGTTCTAGACATGGAACCATCCCACTCAAGAAGGAAAGATGGTCTCTTTCCACTGGCCAGAATTTGGTTATAAAACCATTCCCGGCCTGACCACTGGTGAGGGGGTTAACATTTCTGCAACTGGTTTAGACCAAGCTCCATCCACTCCTAGAACTGTGATGGGGTCAGTGCCCACTTAGTTACAAAGGAATCAGAAATCAGGATCTGTTAGACAACAATAAATGGGAAACTAGCTGTTGGGTGAAAATCAAGTGTCCATTGCAGCCCTCCCCTTTGTATACCTAATATCTGCTCACATCATTCATCCCATACTGAGAGATCACTCTGTGCTGAAATTGTCTAGAAAAGTCTTGAGGAATGAAGTAGAACTTAAGTCTTCAAAGAAGGGCAGGACTTGGACAGGTGGAGAAGAACAGGCAATGAGAAATAGGTGGGGATTAGACAGGGTTGCTCCCAAAATAAATGCTCCCTAAGAGCTACTGTTTAAATGCAGGCAATGTTGGGTAATGGAAAGAGATGGACTTTGGTGGCAAAAAGGCCTGGATTCACATCTTGGCTTTGCTACTCAAGTTTCTTAACCTTTGGGAATTTCAGGTTTCTCCTCAATGAAGTAGAACTGGAGGGTCTGGTCTCCTCGGAATGTGCTCAGGATCACATCAGACTGTTTGGGACAGAGACTTGCACACTGAAGGTGCCCAACACGTTTGTCTCCAATTGTCCTTCTTTGGAAAGGAAGGCTGTTCTGGAGAACACATTGAATTGCCAACACAAACTTCATTTCTAATGTGAAATAGAGGCATCAGGCTATGCTTGGATGCCAAAACTTGAAGCATGAGTTTTCCTTTGCTCTGGGTTTTTTGTTTTGTTTTGTTTTGTGTTTTTGAGACAGGGTCTCGCTCTGTCACCCACACTGGAGTGCAGTAGCACCATCACAGCTCACTGCAGCTTCAACCTCCCATACTCAAGCAATCCTCACACCGCAGCCTCCAGTGTAGCTGAGACCACAGGTGTGTGCCAGCCACCATGCTCAGCTAATTTTTATTTATTTTTTTTTTTTGAGACGGAGTTTTTGCTCTTGTTGCCCAGGCTGCAGTGCAATGGCACAATCTTGGCTCACTGCAACCTCTGCCTCCTGGGTTCAAGTGATTCTCCTGCCTCAGCCTCCCAAGTATCTGGGATTACAAGCACCCGCCACCATGCCTGGCTAATTTTTTGTATTTTTAGTAGTGAGGAGGTTTCACCATATTGGTCAGGCTGGTCTTGAACTCATGACCTCAGGTAATACACCCACCTCGGCCTCCCAAAGTGCTGGGATTACAGGCATGGAGCCACCGCGCCCGACCTAATTTTTAAATTTTTCTGTAGAGATGAGGTCTCACCATGTTGCCCAAACTGGTCCTGAATTCCTAGGCTTAAGCAATTCTCCCACCTAGGCCTCCCAAAGTGCTGAGATTATAGGCGTGAGCCACTGCATGGCCCCAGTTTTCATTTTAACTTGAGTCTTCGGTGAATGTTGGGCCTCTTCTTGTCTTTTTTATTTCTAGCCCTTGACCTCTTTTGACATAAACTTTGAGGAAATCCAAGTGAGAAACAGGAAGACCATGGATGAAACATGGAGCCACGGATGAAGAGATGAAGGGTCCATCTAATGCCTCGGTGATCTAAGGTTTTGTCTAAGTGCCTGCCTGCCCAAGAAGACTAGAGCTATACTTCCGCATCCCTGGGGCCATCGCAGACTCATTAGAGATCAGAAGATGTTGTGGACCCTCTTGTCAGAGAAATGCACATATGTACAAAGATTGTCGTATGTCATTTCTAGGGTTTCTGGAACACTCTGAAGCATCTCGTTAGACTGCGGAATGAGAAGCCCTGAATTAAGGGATTTGTTTGGAATGATCCAGCCCTAGTTTCTGCAGGAAATGGGAAAGGAACTGGCTTTGCATGAGTACAAAATCACTTAGTGGTTTCCAGCTTCAGGATCGGGGATGCCTGCTGCTGACCCCTTGCTCCAGACTCACACTCAGCCCCAGGCCTACGTACTGTTTGGAGATGGACTGTGTGCATGTGCAGACATTTAAGGGGGCCTTTTGGTGAGGGTGATGCTGACTTGAGAGAAACCAGCTCAGCATGTTTTAGATACAGAATCTTTGTCCTGAAAGAGAGGATTGCCTCCTTAAAAGCTCTTAAGAATCCAAGGACAAAGAGACAGAAAGAGGGAGATGTAGATATAGAGAGAAAGAATGGATTCGAGATCTTTAAAAACAACAATAGCAACAACAATCAGAGAGACTAGCCAGAAGGTCCGCTAATGTGAGCTGCATCTGGGAAGGAGCAGTCAAAGGGATGTAGAGCAGCAATCTTGAAACTGCACAGCACTTACGTAAGATTGAGAAAACATCAATTGTCCAGATCAAAGAATGGAAGGAGTGCTTTCTGGAGTTTATGAGAAGGTTAAAGCCTTCCCCAGCCTCCTGCCCATTGGTGCCACCTCTGCCCCCGCAGCTCCACAGTCCGTGGTCTGCAGAGGCCCAAGGACACACATACTGCCCTGCTGGAGTGTTAGCTGGTGTTAGGACTGCAGCAGCCGCTCCTTAATGGAGCTCCCCAGGAGCCCAACCCGATCGCCTGCCTGCGTTATTAATGCATTATGTCATCTTTCCTTGCACTTGTTCTCAGCTGCTGAAATTTTATAGAGCTGTATTATTAATTGAAGCAATTAGTGCAGGGGATATCGGCACAGCCACATCAGAGGACTGGAGATGTGCAAGGCAAGAATCGCTCTCTCTTTGTGTCCCTTTCTCCCTCACTCCTGTCCTCTTCCCTGTGCCTCCCCACCCCGACGTCTCTTATTTCTACTCCACCCCCACTTTCCTGTCTCTTTTTCTTCCAGTTCTCTTTCAATATCACTCTCTAGAGATGTGAGTACCCACTACCCTTCTCAGTGAAAGCATTCACATATAGTCTCCCACCATTCCCCTAGCATGGACAGACAGACAGAATGACAGCGTCGCTGTGGCTGACTGATGCTTGGAGTCACTGGCCTAGTTAAATTCAGATGAGAGACCATCCCTCACAATCCTGACATTGGCTCAGAGCCCCTGGTGATTGTGCATGGTGGTAGGTAGAAAAAAATGGGGCTCACTGTGTGTCAGACGTATTCATTCATTCATTCACTCATTCATTGGTTCATTCATTCATTCGTTTACCTTCAGCGTGTACTCAGCCGTATGCTAGGTGCTGTGGGAAATAAACAAGGAGATAAATAGAGTTTTGGCTCTCTGGGACTGGTATAATAGCCAGAGAGACCAGACTGGCCCTTGAAACCATTAGGGCAAAATAGGGTGCAGCAAAGGGCCCCAGAGGAGTGATTTCCCCAAGGAGTGTCCAGATGCTTCCTGGTGTTGAGAAGAAAGACCTAGGATAGGTGGGTATGGTGGTTCACATCTGTAATCCCAACACTTTGGGAGGCTGAGGCAGAAGGATTGCTTGAGGCCAAGTGTTCGAGACCAGGCTGGAAAACATAGTGAGACCCTGTCTCTTCAAAAAGAAAGTAAGGCCTAGAGATGTGAAGTGGCCCTCAGAGGTGAGGTACTAGCAGGCTGCAGGAGGATGGGAACGGGGCAGCTCCAGCCGGGAGAAAGGAAGTTGCAGGCTGAGCAGGTATAGGATGGAGAGCCAGGAGGGACCGATGGCTCTTCACCCCAGGACATCAAGCCTCTCAGCCCAGCCCAGCTGGGGTTGAGACCTAGAAGTGACTGGAAAACCTGGCTGGGAGCCAGGACACCTGGACACCAGGGCTCAGCCTCAGATTCCTTTGTCAGGAATCAGACATGACACCTGAGAGGCCACAGGCTCAAGTTCCCTGCAAAATAAACAGATACCAGGATGGAAACATCCAGAGTGAACAGTCACCCGCTGCCCCTCCCCACACTCACTGCCCCCCGACCCGTCATCAGGAACAGGTGCCCTTCATACTACAGAAAGAGACATCCTTAGAAGTCTGGAAGCCAGTGGTCTGCTTGGGTACGTTAGGTCTTAGTGGGAGTATGTGCTTGATTTTTTAGCTTTTTCTTTTTTGTTGTTTTTGTTTTGAGATAGGATCTCGGTCTGTCACCCAGGCTGGAGTGCAGTGGTGCGATCATGACTCACTGCAGCCTCAAACTCCCAGGCTCAAGCAATCCTCCCACCTCAGCCCCCCGAGTAGCTGGGACAACAGGCAGACACCACCACACCCGGCTAACTTTTTAATTTTTTGTGGAAATGGGGGTCTCACTATGTTGCCCAGGCTGATCCCAAATTCCTGGGCTCAAGCAATCCTCCCTCCTCAGCCTCCCAAAGTGGTGGGAGTACAGGTGTGAGCCACTGTATCCATCTTTATATTTTTCTTTTACTGGTGGTGGTATTAGGATGGGGGAGGTTGTTGGTGGCTACCCTTGTGGTCTGACCTCACTTCCCTGAGCGCTGTTGACTCCTTTCCTTGGCCTGGTGGTGCCCACTCATGCGGACCATCCTTATGCCACACTCCTATTGAAACTGACTCCAAGGAAAGGGGCTCCAAGGAAATTATGAAAAAGTTCAAGCATATGCAGAGAGACTAAAATGATGAACCCTCATGTTACTATAGCCGAGTTTCAAAAATTCTCATCTAATTGCTGGATGGAGTGGTGTGCACCTCTACTCTCAGCTACTTGGGATGCTGAGGCAGGAGGATTGCTTGAGCTCAGGAGTTCAAGTCCAGCCTGGGTAACATATCAAGACCTCATCTTTTTTTAAAAAAAAACTATGAACTCATAATCAATCATTTATCCATCTTCCCTCAACTTTTTGGGAGTGAAACAGGAGTGTGCTTTTTTTTAATTAAAAAAAAATTTTTTAATAGATGCAGAGTCCTGCCATCTTACCCAGGCTGGTCTTGAACTCCTGGGCTCAAGTGATACTCCCACTTCAGCCTCCCAAAATGTTGGAATTATAGACATGAGCCGCTGTGCCTGGTAGCAGCATGCTTTTTAAAGGTAACATGCGGCCGGGCACAGTGGCTCACGCCTGTAATCCCAGCACTTTGGGAAGCTGAGGCGGGCGGATCACCAGAGATCAGGAGTTCCAGACCAGCCTGGCCAACATGATGAAACCCCGTCTCTATTAAAAATACAAAAATTAGCCAGGTGTGGTCGTGGGCACTGGTAATCCCAGCTACTCGGGAGGCTGAGACAGGAGAATCGCTTGAACCTGGGAGGTAGAAGTTGCAGCGAGCCAAGGTTGCGCCACTGTACTCCAGCCTGGGCAACAAAGAGCAAAACTCCTTCTCAAACAAAACAAATCAAAACAAAAAAACAAAAACAGATAAAGGTAACATGCTCTTGTAAGGAAAGTCTGCTAACTTTTTTATTCTTTTTTTTCTTTTTTGCTGTATTAAAACACATACACACCCCTTTGACAGAGACAGGTTTTTATATATGGGGCTTATTTAAAGCTGGGAAAGGGTCCATCATTTGATAAACTCTCCCTAGGTGTGTGGCAGGGGCCAACTGTCAAGTGTTTACTCGTCTCAGCAACTGGAGATAAAGGTATAATTAAACAGATGACAGAAAGGTCACAGGCAGTAAATGAAGGAGGCCCACCAAGTCCAAGTGCCTGCTCTTACATTCTACTGGCGCCTACTCTCCTTATCCTCCAGGGCCACCCCTAGGGAAGCTAAGGCCAAAATGGGAAAAAGGAATAAAGGGTTACTTACTGGTGGTGGTGTTAGGGTGGTGGTGGGGAGTGGTTTATGGCTACCCTTGTGGTCTGACCTCATTTCCCTGAGTGCTGTTGACTTCTTTCCTTGGCCTGATGGTGCCCACTCATGCTGACCATCCTTATGCCACACTCCTATTGAAACCTGCTCCAAAGAAAGGGGCTTAGGTGAGTGAGCTATAATATCACCTACAGCAGAGCTATCCAATAGACTTTCCGCAACGATGAGAATGTGCTACTCTGTGCTGTACAACATGGTAACCATGGCAGGGCATGGTGGCTCACGCCTGTAATCCCAGCACTTTGGGAGGCCGAGGTGGGTGGATCACCTGAGGTCAGCAGTTCAAGACCAGCCTGGCCAACATGGTGAAACCCCTTCTCTACTAAAAATACTAAAAATTAGCTAGGTGTGGTGGCGGGCGCCTGTAACCCCAGCTACTTGGGAAGCTGATGCAGGAGAATCGCTTGAACCCGGGAGATGGAGGTTGCAGTGAGCCAAGATTGCACCACTGCACTCCAGCCTGGGAGATAGAGAGAGAGTCTGTCTAAAAAAAAAAAAAAAAGCAATATGGTAACCATAAGTCATATGTGGCTATTGAGCCCTTGAAATGTGGCCTTATGTGGAAGGCCTTGAATACTAAGTAAAAAAGGAAAGATTTTGTCACATGAGTAGTAGGGAAGTATGGGAGATGCCTGAGCAAAGGGATGTTCTGATGGGGACAGAGAAGGCTTTCTGGTTTTATTTGCTTATTGGTTTGATCGTTGCTATTGACAATCACAGCCTTCCAGGCGATGAACCTTGGAAGGGTCTTAAACTGTCTACGCTCACGCACAGTCTTATTTAATGTTCATATTCAGCCCTGTGAAGTTGATGGTTTACAGATGAAGAAACTGTAGCTCAGTGATGTGTGATGCAATTAGCCATCAGCAGAGGAATTTGAACCCAAGCGTATCTTACTCCAAAGCCCCTAAGCACAATACCTTGCTGGCTTTGAGAAAATTCAGCTGCTATCAGGATATTAAAAAGGATTGGAATAGGAGGACAGCAAGGAGTCTCCTATCCTGGTATCCAAAAACAGTACTGGCACTAAAGAGAGGCTAAGTAAATCCTTGCTCATTTAAAGTGGATTGGGTGAAAGTTCTGGAAAGTCGTTTATCCTCAGCAGCCTGCCAGGAACTCAGTTTGGCACAGGACTCTGAGAAACCTATTTCTACCAGGTAGGCTGGGGATCCACAGCTCTTAAAGTTTATTGTCTATTATAGCTGCTGGCAAGCCAAGCTGCTTGGCAGGACCATTCCCAGGGGCTGTGGCCAGGGCTAGGACCACTTGAAGGAGACAGATGCAAAGCCCTGCTGTGTGGAATTGGCATTTCTGCTTGCCCTATCCCAGGGCTTTCCCATTCCCAGCTCTACTCCAGGAGCATATGAGCTAGTGTCCCTAACTAGGAAGAGGGGCCTGGGCCAGGGGCCTCTGGAGCCCAAGAGACAAGGTCAGACGCAGAGACACAGAGCTCAAGGAAGTAGGATCAAGAAGCTCTGATCTCCAGAAAATCAAACTGCATAATTTTTTTTTTTTTTTGAGACGGAGTCTTGCTCTGTTGCCTAGGCTGGAGTGCAGTGGCACGATCTCAGCTCACTGCAACCTCTACCTCCTGGGTTCAAGCGATTCTCCTGCCTCAGCCTCTCAAGTAGCTGGGATTACAGGTGTATGCCACCATGCCCAGCTAATTTTTGCATTTTTAGTAGAGACAGGATCTCGCCATGTTGGCCAGGCTGGTCTCGAACTCCTGACGTCAGTTGATCCACCCACCTCGGCCCCCAAAGTTTTGGGATTACAGGCGTGAGCCAACATGCCTGGCCACACTGCATAAAATTTGTCTGCACATCCTGCTCAGCAGATTCAGCCTGCCACCTGCTCCCCAGCTACCTTCCACCAGCACTTCAGTTCCTCTTTTCCCCTCCCAGCAGCCAGCCCCTCTTGTCAGAAAACCTTCTGAAAACCTCATTTATCCTAGGATGTTAGGACATCAAATCCTATTCATTATCCTCTCCTACCCTAGGAAATCTGCATTCCATGCTGGAAATCCAGGCCCTTCAGGTTTGGGAAAATGGGGGTTGAGCTAACACCTAACCTGTCTAAGGACAAGGGCATCCTGGCTGATATCAAAGCAATTAGGAGAGAGTCTATAAGAAACTGATTCAATCTAGGCATATCAAATAAAATGAGGCAAGTCCTTCTGTCTGCAAGTAAACACCTCCTGTGTGCCCATCAGCCAGGAACTAAGGGGCAAAGAGCCCCAAGAATATACTCAGCACATGAAAGAGCTTTGGACTTGGTGACAGAAGCTCACCTGGGTTTGAATTCCAGCTCTGTTACTGATGTGCTGTGTGACCCTAGACAAATTACTGGCTTCTCTGAGCCTCCTTTCTAGTTTCTTTGGTTTGGAAGACAGAGCTGAGTGGTTAAAACTTTAAGGTTTAGCAACAGACAGATCTGGGTTTGAATCCTAGTTTTGTCACTCATTAGTGATGGACCTTGGGAAAATTCCTTGACCTCTCTGTACCTCAGTTTCCTCATCTGGAAAATGGGGATGACAATCCTATCTTGCTTGGTTGTTGCAAAAATTAAATATAATAATGGGCCAGGTGCAGTGGCTCACACCTGTAATCCCAGCACTTTGGGAGGCTGAGGCAGGTTGATCATGAGGTCAGGAGTTCAGGACTAGCCTGACCGGCATGGTGAAACCCCATCTCTACTAAAAATACAAAAATTAGCCGGGCGTAATGGTGCATGCCTGTAATCCCAGCTACTCAGGAGGCTGAGTGAGGAGAATCACTTGAACCTGGGAGGGAGAGGTTGCCTCCAGCCTGGGAGACAGAGCGAGACTCCATCTCAAAAAATATATATATATTATAAAATATACGATATATTTTATATATATAATATATCGTATATTATATAATATGTAATATATCGTATATTATATTATATGTAATATATCGTATATTATATTATATGTAATATATCGTATATTATATTATATGTAATATATCATATATTATATTATATGTAATATATCGTATATTATGTTATATGTAATATATCGTATATTATATAATATATATGATATATCGTATATTATATAATATATGATATATTGTATATTATATAATATATTGTATATTATATGCATGATATATAATATATCATATATTATACATGGGATATTATATATATGGGATATATATGGGATAATATATATGGGATATATTATATAATATATCGTATATTATATATGACATATAATATATCATATATATGACATATAATGTATCATATATTATATATGACATATAATGTATCATATATATTATATGATATATATGACATGGTATGATATGGTATATTTTATATATATATATAATAATGTATGTGTCATGCTTGGTACACTGCCTCAAACAGAATCTCAATATTATTATTATTATTTATATTAACCGTTTGCTTCCCCAGGATTAGGAGTCAGACAAGGAAGAAGAGGAAATGATAGGAAACTGGGAGGTGAGTATCAGAATTAAGGGTGAGTTAGTGAGAGGATGAGGCCACATAGGGATGCCCGGTGCTCAGGGCCCAGGAGAACATACTCAGGGTCATCATACATTGTGCACAAAGATGCCTGGCCGAGGGAGTACGTGGGGGTCAAAATCCCACCTAACTCCTACTCTCCAAACAAGTTTTGCTTCTGCTGGCATCATCCTGCACAGGGCCAGGCAGGCAATAGGTGAGGCATACTGCGGGTCACTAGGTCCTAGGGGATCAGAGCAGGTCAGCCTCCAGGATAGGCAGAAGTGGATCAAGGAAGCCCTGCAGCTTAAGGAGTCTAGCAGAAGCAACAGGCATTCCAGGGGTGAGGCTCAGCTGCAGACTTTGTGTGGGAGGGGCAGGGCAGAATTCAATTTGTTCCTAGAGCTTTGAGGGGCTGGTAGGAAACCAAGGCAAGCATTCAGGCGAGGGGCTACCCCAAACAAGGCAGTCTGTAGGTACAAAGCAAAAGGCCCTGATAACAAAACAAACTGCAAGGTCAGGCTGGTCCAGGCACAAAGCTGACTCCAGCCTGGGTCACAGAGAGATGAGGGATCAGAGCCTCAACTCGCTGGTGGTAACAAAATAGGCAGCTGTTGGTGCTGGAGGGGGCAGGCTGTGGGGGCAGGGAGCTGTGCCGATCGATGCAAACTTTCTTCCTAATCCTTTGGCAGTTTATTGGGCACCTCAATCTGTGAAGCTGTGTGGTAGGATTCGCTTCTTTAGGAGGGACGGCCTCCAGAATGGAATGGTATTAGGAACAAGGAGATATTCCTCTGCCCAGAAATATTCATGCATCTCTGTGCTCCTCCTACTACTAAGTAATTTCTTTGAATAAAGTCTAAGGCCACAAGCTCAGATGCTGCAGGAGCCAGGCAGTGGCACAAATGGAAGAAAGAGGCCAGATAATGACAGGGAACAATTGGGAGAGGCAGGAACTGCAGCAAACCGAGAAGTATTAATAAATGTTTCCTCGGGCGGGGTGCAGTGGCTCATGCCTGTAATACCAGCACTTTGGGAGGCCAAGGTGGGTGGATCATGAGGTCAGGAGTTCGAGACCAGCCTGGCCAACACGGTGAAACCCCATCTCTACTAAAAATACAAAAATTAGCTGGGCCTGGTAGCGTGCGCCTGTAATCCCAACTACTCGGGAGGCTGAAGCGGAGAATCGCTTGAACCTGGGAGGCAGAGGTTGCAGTGAGCTGAGATTGCGCCATTGCATTCTAGCCTGGGTGACAGAGTGAGACTCCATCTTAAAAAATAATAATAATAATAAAATAAATGCCTCCTTTATGGAGGGCAGCAGCTGCTGAGCTCCTCCAATTCATACCCAGTGAGAATGTGAGACAAGCCCTTTTGGTTCTTCCATTTTCCAAAAGAAGCCAGAAATCTACATTTTAATTAAAATCTGGTTTTTTTAAATCCCATCAATTATATTTTCACAAAACTCTGTTGACGTTCTCCAGGATTCCCTGGAGATGCAGCCCCCTCTGAGAGAGGTCGTGGGGGTGGGTGGGAGAAGTGCTCCAATGAACTCCTTGCTAGTGCCTGACATTCTCCTTGTTTCTTGTTCCAGAGGCTTTGGGCATCTGAAGAAGATGGGAAGGAGGGGAGAGGCCACTGAAAGGAGAGGTGTGATGCTGGGGGGAATCCCTCTGACCTCATTGTTTTATCCCCCAGGAAGGCCCTGTGCCTGGCCCACCAGCCACAGTCTGTAGACACAGGTCCTGGCAGATGAAATGACATCTCTGAGGCCACACCAACCCCATGGCTTTCTTCTGTGTCCTGTGAGCTGGTCCCAGCAGGCTGGCCCATGGCTTCCCTCAGTGAAACACCCTGTCCTGTCCCCTCCCTTCCCAAGCAGCTCTTCTGGCCACTGTCACTCTGCGGTGGTTTTTATAAGGCTCATCTTACTGTGTGGGTTTTATTAGCAAGTGATTGCTTCTCACGTCTCAACCATGAATCTTTCAGTTGTGGTTTCATCTTGGGCCTAGCAGACTATGAAGAAGCAATTAATATACCTCTCAGCTGCCCATATCAGGGAGAGCACAATGTTTCAGGGCGAGAGGGGAATTTCTTATGACCCTACCCACCCAGCCTAGGGGTCTAGATAGAAAGTGTCTCTTCAAAATACTAAGCAAACCATAAGCATTATTATCCAGCTGAGAAACCTGAGGTTCAGAGGGACTTAAGTCACTTGCTGGAGATGGTGAAAGTGGTAAAGGAGGCAGGACTTACACCCAGGGCTTTGACATTGTTTTACTGTACTTTATTTTATTTATTTATTTATTTTTTGAGATGGAGTTTCACTCTTGTTGCCCAGGCTGGAGTGCAATGGCACGATCTTGGCTCACCGCAACCTCCGCCTCCCGGGTTCAAGCGATTCTCCTGCCTCAGCCTCCCAAGTAGCTGGGATTACAGGCATGTGCCACCATGCCCAGCTAATTTTGTATTTTTACTAGAGATGGGGTTTCTCTATGTTGGTCAGGCTGGTCTCGAACTCCCGACCCCAGGTGATCCGCCCACCTCAGCCTCCCAAAGTGCTGAGATTACAGGCGTGAGCCACCACGCCCAGCCTGTTTTATTGTACTTTAAAGTCACTGCTTTATAGTTCACAGATTGTGTCTTCCAGAGGTCCTTCCTTCACCCCCACCTGACGAGGTCATCTAATTAGAAAGAAGGGTTTGTGGACAGACTGCAGGCTCTGTGCTAGGAGCTCTGGCGAAACCACAAAAAGGGCAAGAACCAAGCCTGTCAGTCTGGCTGGTGAGGGGAGATACACTGCAACATCACAGATGAGAACAAGAGAGGGTTCATTGTTCCTTCCTTCATTCCACAGGCATTGGGCTCCCATTGTGAGGTCTGCACACAACCATGTCTCAGGTGTGGGTCCTGCCCTCAAGATGCCTATAACTCACCTCGGGGGGAAAGACTTGGACTCTGCCATATTAGAGCTGCAAGAGTCTCTTTGGATCATCTAATTATGAATAATCTGGGGTTTTCTTTTTTCTTTTTCTTTTTTTTGAGACAAGGTCTTGTTCTGCAGACTGAAATTCAGGGGCACGATCACTGCTCACTACAGCTTTGACCCCACAGCCTCAAGCAATCCTCCAACTCAGCCTCCTGAGTAGCTAGGATGACAGGCTCTTGCCACCATGCTCAGCTAATTTTTAATTTTTCTGTAGAGATGGGGTCTCTCTGTGTTGCCCAGGCTGGCCTTGAACTCCTGTGCTCAAGCAATCCTCCTGCTTTGGCTTCCCAAAGTGCTGGGATAATAGGTGGGTATGAGCCACCAGGCCCAGAAATCTGGGGCTTTCAATCACTTTCTTCCTTTCTCTCCTCTCCTTCTTCTTTCAGTAGCATTTAGAAGCCGAGTCCATTTGCCACTCAGAGTGGGATCTCTAGTGGAAAGGAATAGGGGAAACCTAAAGCTCCTATTGACTTGGCTCCCTTCCCCACCACTCTCTACCCATCAAAACAACCTCTGAAGAACCTTCCTGAAAAAAACCGGTTTGAAAAATTATGGATCTGGTCCAATCCCTGAAAATCCCCAAAATTTGGAAATGGAGAATCCGGTAGGCCAAATTATTACTCACCCAAGTTCACACAACCTGCACCTCCTAATTGCAGGCAGGGCTCTTTCCTTAACTACTCTGTCAAAAAGTAGTGTAAACATTAAGTCAAAAAAGGGGGAAGTAAGTGATAGGGAAGTCAGAGAGGCAGACGGAGTTCAGTGTGGACTGCCATGGTCAGAGAGACAAGAAAGGTGAGTGTGGGTCCTGCCAGGTGGTTGATGGGGCAGAGGTGGCCATGCAGGAAGGGGGCATGAGTCAAGCAGGTGTTAAATTCCAGAAGCTGGTAGAAAAGCAGCATAAAGTCAAAGGACAACTGGGATGCAGGTAGGATCAGGTTTGATGTGGAGTGGAGGCTGGGGTGCAGGCATGGGCTGGTGGTAGAGTTGGAGGATTATCTTCCCTCCCAGTTCACCCAGTTAAATCTGCTGATGGTTCAACTTTGGCAGCACCACAGAAGGCTGGAAGCCCAGGCAGGCAGGCAGGCAGGCAGGCAGGCAGGCAGGAGCATGGGCAAGTGTATGTGCTGTATGAAGTAAGCCATGGGACAGCAGCTGGGTTGCATTAAAAGTGAATCAAGGCCGGGCGCGATGGCTCATGCCTGTCCTAGCACTTTGGGAGGCTGAGGTGGGCAGATCACTTGAGCTCAGGAGTTGGAGACCAGCCTGGCCAACATGGTGAAACCCTGTCTCTACTAAAAATACAAAAATTAGCTGGGTGTCATGGCTCATTCTTGTAATCTCAGCTACTTGGGAGGCTGAGGCAGGAGAATTGCTTGAACCCGGGAGGCGGAAGTTGTAGTGAGCTGAGATCTCACTACTGCACTCTCCAGCCTGTGCGACAGAGCGAGACTGTGTCTCAAAAACAAAAAAGAATCAAGATGATGGTTGAATAAAAACAAGAATGGAGCACTGGGGAAAAGGCACTCTGAAGGCAACAGGAGCTGATGGCCGGGACAAAACAAGGCTCCGCAGACAGGAGGCCCCAGATGCAAGTCCTTGGCTTCTAATGTCTATTCAAACGAGACAGGAAAGGTAGGGCTGGCTTTGGAGAACGGCGCTTCCTGAGGGCTTCTGCGAACCTGCATTTTCTTACCCATAAAATAGATACAATTTTAATCCCATCTCCATCTCAGGGCTGCTGTAAGGAGTAAATGAAACACCGTTGAGAATGACTGAAGGGCTTTACTAAGGGATTGCCTTCAGAGGTGACAAAATTTGTGACTCAGCTCTGGAGTAAAACAAGGGGGTATGGAGACTGGACAGCACCTCCCCTGCCCGAGGGCATTCAGACTTAGAGATCCTCAGCACTGATGCTGGCCAGATGAAAGGCACCTGCCTGGCAGCTTTGTCCCCAGCCTGCACTACCTGAACTAAGGTTTTGGCAGATAACTGCTAAAGGTACGATCCTCCCAGTGGGATGTATATTCTAAAGGAGGCCTCAAGAACTGCCTTGTCCATTATAACTGCCACTAGCCATATATGGCAATTTTCATTTAAAATTGGATTCATGGCCAGGCACAGTGGCTCACACCTGTAATACCAGCACTTTGGGAGGCTGAGGCGGGCGAATCATTTGAGGTCAGGAGTTTGAGACCAGCCTGACCAACACAGATGAAACCTCGTCTCTACTAAAAATACAAAAAGCTTAGCCGGGTGTGGTGATGCATCCATGTAATCCCAGCTACTCGGGAGGCTGAGGCAGGAGAATCGCTTGAACCTGGGAGGTGGAAGTTGCAGTGAGCCGAAATCGCGCCACTGCACTCCAGCCTGGGTGACAGAGCGAAACTCCATTTCAAAAATAAAATAAAATAAGGCTGGGCGCAGTGGCTCACACATGTAATCCCAGCACTTTGGGAGGCCGAGGCAGGTGGATCACCTGAGGTTGGGAGTTCAAGACCAGCTTGAACATGGAGAAACCCTGCCTCTACTAAAAATACAAAATTAGCCACGTGTGGTGGCGCATGCCTGTAATCCCAGCTACTCGGGAGGCTAAGGCAGGAGAATCACTTGAACCTGGGAGGTGGAGGTGGCAGTGAGCCGAGATCGCGCCACTGGACTCCAGCCTGGGCGACAGGAGTGAAACTCTGTCTCAAAAATAAATAAATAAAAAAAATTGGATGCATTAAAATTTGAAGTTTAGTTCTTCAATTACACCAGCCAAATTTCAAGTGCTCTCTAGCCACATGCAGCTAGTGGCTGCTGAACTGGACGGTATAGATATGGAACATTTTCATCACCACAGAAAATTATATGGGTCAGCGCTGCTCTCAAACTACAATGGTGGAATGATAGGTATTGGGGTGGTGAGTTTCTTCCCTGAGACTTCTCAAATCAAGCTAAGTATTATTGGCTTCTTTCTCTGCCTCGGTACAAGATTAGCTCCAGATTACCTGTTACTGCCTTCAACCCCCAGCCTTTGAAAACTCCCTTCCTCCTAAGAGTACATGCACCCTGCTCATTTTGTAGTAGCTTAGGACTGAAAGTCTAATGGGAGAGGGCAAAGGGCTCTCCAGAGGTCACCCTATCTTCCACTATACTAGTGACTGAGAGCAGAAATTTCTGAACCCTAAGAAAGGTGACAAGCATGACAGAGCTGAGGGGAGAAATTCTAAGGCAGTTAGGACTGCATGTCATTCCTCAAACAGCTTGGTGGAGGTGGCCGCCTGCTTCTATCAGCAGGGTAGTATAGCAAAGCAATTAAGAGCACAAGCCGGCCAAGTGCAGTGGCTCAGGCCTGTAATCCCAGCCCTTTGGGAGGCCAAGGTAGGTGGATCGTTTGAGGCCAGCAGTTCAAGACCTGCCTGGGTGACATGGTGAAACTCCATCTCTACAAAAAATATTTAAAAATTAGCCAGACATGGTGGTGTGTGCCTGCAGTCCCAGCTACTCGGGAGGCTGAGGTGGAAGGATCACCTGAGTCCAGGAGGTCGAAACTGCAGTGAGCCATGATTACGTCACTGCACTCCAACCTTGGTAACAGAGGGAGACCCTGCCTCAGGAAAAAAAAAAAAAGAAAAAGAAAACAAAAAAGAGCACATGCTTCCTGGGTTTGAATCTCAGCTCCTCCACGTACTAGCTATGTGACCTTTTCTTTACATAATCTCTCTGAGCCTCCATGTTTTCACAGGTAAAATGAGAATGGCAGTTACTTCAGGGGGCATTGAAAGAATTAAATGAGTTAATAAATGGAAGGCACATAGAATCATATCTGGCATGCACTAAGTGTTGGCTAGGAGTAGTAGCAGTGGCAGCATTTGATTCTTGTATCATGGCCTTGGTGGAGGTGGTGAATAAGTCAAGTTCACCACAGGCACCAGCCTTGCTGCACGCACAGTGCACTTCCCTCCTGCCCCCAAAACCCCTGAGAATTCTCCATCATAATGCTTGTTGAGCACTTAATTGTTCTTCCAATTTTAACGGTCCCTGCTGGACCACATCACCGAGGTCTTGCCCCACCTTTGCCCAGCCATGTTGCCTCCTTGGTCTTTCCTGCAAGCTACAGCACCCCTGTGTACTACCCGGGCCAAGCAGTGGACTGTCCACCATGCCCAAGAGTCCTTTCAGGGAAGCAGCACAGGCCTGCCATCATGCAAAGTGGATAAGGATTAGCCCTGAAGGTCCACCTGACTGAAGACCACTGCATCCAGACACTGGCACCCTAGAGGGAGGGCTTCCGGAGCCAGAGGCAAACTGAGTCCATCAGATTCCTTCCTCCAGAATTTGAATAAAGGAAGGCCTAAAGAACGGACAGCTGGTTAGCCATGGAGGCTTAAGTCCAGAGTTGAGGGAACCAGGGACGTCTATGATGGTCAAATCAGAGCTGAAGCCGGGCCGGGTGCGGTGGCTCACACCTGCAATCCCAGCACTTTGGGAGGCTGAGGTGGGCAGATCGCTTGAGGCCAGGAGTTCAAGACCAGCCTGGCCAACGTGGCAAAAAACCTCGTCTCTACTAACAACACGAAAATTAGCCAGGCCTCGTAGTGCACACCTGTAGTATCAACTACTCAGGAGGCTGAGGCATGAGAATTGCTTGAGCCCAGGAGGTGGAGGTTGCAGTGAGCAGAGATCACGCCACTGCACTCCAGCCTGGGTGACAGAGCAAGATCCTGTCTCAAAACAAAAAACAAAGCACACACACACACACACACACACACACACACACACACACACACACACACAAAACAACCAAAAAATCAGAGCTGAAGGGAAAAGGCAACAAAGACTATGTGTGCAGTGAAAGGAACAGCACCCAGCCGATGGCCAGCAGACTGTGGGCTGAGAAATGAAGATCTCCACTGGGTAAAGTAAAGCTTTCACTCTTTGCTCCTAGGCACTTGCAGGGAAATGCTGCTGCTTTGTCTTCACTGAAAGTACGGGAAGGACTTTGAGGAAGCGTAAGTACAAAGTCTCCATGGTGCCCTTGTCATGTGCTAGAGCCTCTCATGAAAAAAGGCATCCATCCTTAAAAATCACATCAGTGCAGACACGGCACAGCGCCCCCTCGCCACTCAGCAGCTCCTTTCTGATGGGCACATGGGTGTTGGGGCCAGAGCCGGTCAGGTGCTCCCTCTTGCTCCAGAGGTCTTCCTCTGTCAAAGGGAATAGGCTGCTAGATAAAGAGGTCACTCTTCAATCAAGGGCCTGCCGATGTGTTTTTGATGAACTTATGAACAGAGCAGCTCTCACCCAAACACATTCTTTGGCTGAAAATAGGGGAGTGAACCCGGCATTAATGCTAACTCCTTGAGCCACTCTCTGCCTTTCCGGGCCTCAGGTAACTTGTCTGCAGAAAGCGGGGAGAGAATGTGGAGTAGATTACCTCTCGGCTCCTTGCATTTTCCTTGTTGATCCCAGGGGCTTCTGCCATAGCAAGGGTCTGGGCGGGGGACCCCCAGCTGGGGTGTGGAGGTAAGTCCAGTAAACAGGTAGAAGCAGCCAGGAGCAGAAAGCACCCTGACTGATGGGGCCCAGTGGGAGCGCGCAGGGCTGGCACCAGTGGCTCTGCTGTGCTCTGGACGGTTATTTCAGACACCCTGCTAACACGGAAAGCTGGGCGAGGCTGAGATGGCCTGGCACATTGAATTTACCTCTGTGAAAACTGAAAAAGGAAGATTTTTAAAAAAGATTATAAAAAAGACACTTCCTAGTAAGCCAGCCACCTCCTCTGCTTGTGAAAGGAGCCTGGCCCTGTTTTGGGGGGTGGTACTGAAAGGAGTGGGGGAGAAGTTGAGGCCCTACCTGGGCCCTGAGGCTCTGGGAACGCAGAGGCCATTTTCATCCAGCCTTCAGAAGTTTCCTTTTGTGGCATGACGGTGTTAAAAATATTCCTCCCTGAAGGTGCAACCGCGGCAGAGCAGATGTCCCTGACTGAGCACTTGGGAAGGAGCTATTAAAAGGAATGTAATTAGGTTGTCATCCTGGGGCCTCCGAGCCAGGCTTCCGAACGCCGTCTTTGTTGAAAGTTTTCCAGACGTCAAATATTTGCAGAACCAGGTTTACCAAAAAGGTTGTTAATTCCCAGTAGAAATGGGCTGTGTGCAGCAGAGGCAAAACAATGCTGCAGGTCAAGGTTGGCCTTTTCTGGGTCCTTTCCCCCATGTGGGTTCCATCCTAGCTCCCCAGTTCCCTCTCCCCTCCTCCTCCACACTGCCCCCTCCCCCTAATCACACTTTGCTCTTAGGGAAGCCTCTATGAGTCATTTACCCCTTAGCACTATGAATGTAAGCCCCTGAGCCCCTCTGGCACCCCCAGGAGTGTGGGATTCAGGCCTGAGCTCTGTACACTTTGGGGAACAAAAGGCTTCATCTCCTTTTATAAAATGGTTGTCATGCACTGGAGTGGAGGTGGAGGAGGGCCTTCCCAGTGACCCTGAAATTGCACTACAGGCAGCCACCTACTCCACTATGCAGAGATTGAGCCTGCCCTGATCCCAAGCTGTCTTCTACCTTGGAGGCATATCTGTTGTAATCCCTTCCCTCCCTTCTGCCTGTCATATCCTGCAGGCTCATCCATCCATCCATCTCATCTGTCATTCATTATTTATGCATCAACATTTATTGAGAGTCTGTGGCAAGAACGTGCTGAGTGGTAGAAAGAGAGCGGGAAGCATAAACAGACATAATCCCTGTCATGGATGGAGACAGCATAGACGCAGAAAGACATTCATCAGATAATTGCAGAAACAAATGTAAAATAATAGCCATGACAAAAGCAACAAAGGAGAAGGAAGTGGATGGTGCCTGGAGCATGCGTCAGAGAGGAGACCAGCCTGTCAGGAGAGTTAAGGAAGGCTTCCCAGGTGCAGTGGTGACTGAGCCGAGGTGTGTGTGTGTGTGTGTGTGTGTGTGTGTGTGTGTGTGTGTGTTTTGTGTTTATTAAGAATATATGCTCAGTGGTTGGTTCCTCCAACTGGAACAGTGTGCAAAAGCCGTGGCTGATCCTGAGAGGGAATGCCACAATTTTCATGAGATCCTTCTACTGGACTTTAGGAAACATCAAGGATTGTGGTTACCAAAAAAATACACAAACAAAAGGTAGGAGAGTAGGCCTGGTGCAGTGGCTCACACCTGTAATCTCAGCACTTTGGGAGGCCGAGGTGGATGGATCTCTTGAGCCCAGGAGTTCAAGACCAGCCTGGGCAACATGATGAAACCCTGTCTCTACGAAAAAAATATTTAAAAAGTTAGCCAGGCAACGTGGCACATACCTGTAGTCCCAGCTACTTGGGTGGCTGAGGTGGGAGAATCACCTGAGCCCAGGAGGTCGAGGCTACAGTAAGCCATGATCATATCACTGTATTCCAGCCTAGGCGACACAGTGAGACCCTGTCTCAAAACAAAAAACAACAAAGTAGGGGGAAAGAAGAAAAATGTCTATACTGCTGGAAGGCTTTGTCCTGGTGCTCAGCCCTCGGGGCTCACCTGTGTAGATGGGGTCTGAGGATGGGAGGGACTAACACCTCTAGCAGGAATTTTCTCTGGAAGAGTCAGATCCCCCAGGAGAATGTGGGGCTGACCAGAATGTGTGTCAAAGGAGAGAGTTCCTGGAGGACTCACAGGTAACTTTTTACCTAGGGGTTTAAAATATTCCCCATTTTGCAGCTAGAGAAGCTGAGGTTCAGATACGTTAAGTAACTTCCAGGTTCCTTCCAAGCATCATGCAGGTAGTATTTGACAAGATTTAAATTTGAAAGTTCTTCCGATCCCATTTCCCTGGCTCTTCCCACCTGTTACATACTGCAGCAGTAAAGTTGCGATAATGTGTGCTGATGTTATTTTGCATTAAATGAGATAGTCCTGTTGAAAGCTGCAGCCCCGGGTATGCAGTTAATGCTCTACAGATGTCATCTATTATTATTATTATTATTATTATTATGCCCTACTCATTAGTTCATATATTTTATGACCACGTTGTAAGCACCTTAAGGGCAGGGGTCATTCCTCTCCACAAGGCTGGGCATAGAGTAGCTGCCTGACATAACCAGTTACTAAATAGCATTATTTTACAATACTCATAAAATAGAAGCAGAATTGCTCCCTTTAAGGCAGGGCTTTGTACTTTGTGGAGAAAGCAAGTCTGGCTGTGACTTCAATGGGAAGCTCTCCAGTGGCTTGGAACCCTGGTGGTCAACAAGAATGACACACCAGGGAAAAGAGCAGTAACCACACAACAGAACTCCCAGGGTCCAGGCCCTGACCACTGACGCCAGGCGACCATTGTAACAGCCCTGCCCACAGGGCCTGCAATCTAATAGGCTCAGCCTAGCCGAGGTGGGTGCAGCCTAGGAGAGAATCTGGACCCATCTCCTGGCTCCACAGCCTGCAGCTCGGGCCTAGGTGGTGCAGGAGGTGACTTGAATCAGAAACAGCCTCCAGGGTTACTGGATCACTTTTCTCACCTGCCCCACCTGGAAACAATGCAGGAAAGGGGACTTAGGAGGCTTTCAGTCTCTGGCTTTGCCCTTTACTAGTGCTGAGCCTCAGTTCCTTCATCCACAAAATGGGATAATAGTTCCTTTTCCATGGGATAGTAGCAATTAAATAAAATATAACATGGAAAATACGTAACACTGGTACCTAACTCATTGTAAGCGTTCTTAGAAGAAAATCAGTTGTCTCTAGGTCGCAATCCGCCTGAAGGTGGGGATTATATCTGATTCATGCCTGAATAAATGAATTCATGCCTAAATACCTGGACTCCTTCTGCTAATGCTTCATCTCTTCTGCTAAGCCTTGCCTGTTTTAGGCCTTGCTAGAAAATATCTAGAAGGGTTAACACCATGTTTTTTCCCCTCCTTCCAGGAGGGCCTGGGGACAACATGATAGCCTGAGTACCTGGAGAGAGAAAGGGGGTCACTTTCATAATGAAGACAAATTCGTGGTGTCACCAGCTCCTCCCTGGCATGCATGCAACCCTTATTTTGGACCTTCTCATTGCCCCAGGATGCTTGAACCCACTGGGGGCTATGAGGATTTGAGAGAGGCCAAGTTTCCCTTAGGGGTGGAGTGATGTATTCCCATTAGAATAAAGGAGTGAATGATTTAAAGGAGGGGTTAGAATTTGGACATTAAGGATAGAATTTGTGGCGCGGGCACGGTGGCTCACGCCTGTAATCCCAGCACTTTGGGAGGCAGAGGCGGGCGGATCAAGAGGCCAGAGTTTGAGACCAGCCTGGCCAACATAGTAAAACCCCATCTCCAATAAGAATACAAAAATTAGCAGGGCATGATGGTGCCTGTAAGCCCAGCTACTCAGGAGGCTGAGGCAGGAGAATTGCTTGAACCTGGGAGGCGGAGGTTGCACTGAGCTGAGATCGCGCCACTGCACTCCAGCCTGGGCGACAGAGCAAGACTCCATCTCAGAAAAAAATAAAAATAAAAAAAAGAATTTGCAGGAGTTCTAGAACAGTATGGGCAACATAGTAAGACACTGTCTCTACAAAATAAATAAATAAAAAATAAATAAATAAATAAATAAATAAATAAATAAATAAATAAATAATCTGGGCATGGTAGCACATAGCTGTAGTCCCAGCTACTTGGGAAACTGAGACAGGAGAATCCCTTGAACCCAGGAGGTCAAGGCTGCAATGAGGTATGATGGCACCACTGCACTGTAGACTGTGTGAAGCAAAACCCTGTCTCTAAGAAAAAAAAAAATGCAGGGCACGGTGGCTCACAGCTGTAATCCTAGCACTTTGGAGGCCAGGGCAGGCAGATGGCTTGAGTCCAAGAGTTTGAGACCAGCCTGGGCAACATGGCAAAACCCTCTCTCTATTTATATTTTTATAAAATAATAAATAAATAAATAAATAAATAAGTAAAGTTTGGAAGTCAATTGGAGTTAGGATTTGGTAATTAGTTATCATTTAATTTCTGAGTGAGAGCCAAAGAGCTGCCAGTGGCTAGATATGATGAAGGCCATCACTTTGGTCTGAAATTTAAAGTGTTCTGTTCCAGAGGCCTGCCTCCTTCACTATGTGGAGCCAGAGATTCCTCCCCTCTGACTGATTCCTGCTGAGAGAGCAGGTTGAGTATCTACCACATACCAGGTGTAAAGTCTGGCATACAGGGTCCAAAGGTGTCAAGAACATAGCCCTCTACAACGAAACTGGGGAGGCCAGGCCTAAGCCTAGGCCTGACATAGCCCAGTGACTATGGGGGAAATCATAAATCTCCTAGCCTTAGCTTTCCTGGCTGGTATATGACCCAATGCCTCATGGGGCTGTTTGAAAAGCCCCAAATGATCACGGAAGGAAAGAACTTTAAAGGGAACCTGCTCTTTGGCAGAGCAAACTGTTCCAAAGGGAACTACAGGCAGGGTTTGGCACCCTGCCCTCAGAGAAGGCTGGTATCCATCCTCCTTTCCTCCATGAAACTCCAAGCTTTCTTGCCCTTGCCACGCCCACCCCATCTTTCCCAAGACCATTTCCAGCAGGGACTCATGCCTCTTAACAGGAACTGACAAAGAAGTGACACACCCCTAAAGCTTTCCGGGCTTCTGGTGTCCCCCACCACCCCCACCACACACACTCCAGCCAGCCCTGGGCTGCAGTGTGACCAATCTCATGAGTCACTTGGATAAAGTGAGGACTCAACAAATATTTATCAAATGAATGAATGAATGAATGAGGCAACGGGTGAGTGAGTGTCTCCATGAATGGGCAGCCACTCCCTCTGAGAATGAGACTGCTTCTTCATTCAGGATGCTGAGTGCTCCCACAGGAAGTCACTCCAGATTTTTCTGATGAGTGCTCCATGGGGGAGACACATTCCCTGTTTTTTCTCAAGCCCCATGTGTTTTATTTTCTCCAGAACTCCATTGTGGGGGCTGTGTCCTACACTCCTTTGGGACCTTATGTACTAGACTTTATACCTGGTATGTAGTCGGTGCTCAATAAATGTATGATGAATGGAAGGGGGAAAGAAAAAGATTAGTAAGACTTGGACCCTACCTTCCAAATTATTACAATTTAGCTAGAGAGAAAAGGCAGGTACAAAAGTACCATAGGACAAAGCCCAGTAGGATAATTGGTACCAAAAAAAAAGGGGTCAAGGAGTGAATGCCACATTCAGAGCTGGGAAAACTCATTATGGGCTGAAAAAGTCAGGAAATGCTTCCTGAAGGGACTGAATGGGATTCTCTTCCTGAAGCCTGGCCTTGAAGGAAGAGAAAGATTTGGAGGCAAGTCAAGGGAGGTGTTCTTGATAGGGAAAAAGGGGATGGGCAGCTCGCCAGAGGAAGGCCGGTTGAAATTATGTTACTTTGAGTCGATTTAGTGGAGCAATGGAAGAGTCCAGCACGTATTGTAAGATAGTGTCAGGGAGGAAATATAATTTTCCCTGTACCCTTCTGAGTCCTTAGCTGGGACCCCTGTAACAGAAGACAGATTAACAAGGAGAAACAAACAGGGCTGGGTGCGGTGGCTCACGCCTGTAATCCCAGCACTTTGGGAGGCCAAGGTGGGTGGATCACCTGAGGTCAGGAGTTTGAGATCAGCCTGGCCAACATGGTGAAACCCCATCTCTACTAAAAATACAAAAATTAGCCAGGTGTGGTGGCGGGTGCCTGTAGTCCCAGCTATTCAGGAGGCTGAGGCACGAGAATTGCTTGAACCTGGGAGGCGGAGGTTGCAGTGAGCAGAGATCGTGCCACTGCACTCTAGCCTGGGCAACAAGAGTGCGACTCATTCTCAAAAAAAAAAGAAAAAGAAAAAAACACAGAAGTTTACTAATATGTAAACATGGGAGACACTCAGGGAAAATGAGAAAACCTTGAAGAGATGACTTAGAACTCTTATATAGCATCTTCAACAAAAAACAATGCAATTTTAGAGAAGTGACAAGACAAAAGCAATGGACCTTGAGTCCCTAGGGGTGGCAATTGTGGAAAGACAAATAACTGAACAAAATAATGGTAGATAAAGGCTAGTTAGCAAAGCTTTTTATGCAGATTCCTCTGGTGCTGTCTCCAGGCTGATAGAGGTCTAAGGCCGTCTTCTGTGATCAACCTTTGTCCTTCCTGATTGAGAGGGAAGGAGGGACACCCTTGTAAATTTATATCCGGCTTTTAGGCAAATAGGGGGAGGGCAGAGAGTTTTTCATGTTTCTGCTTCTTCTCAACTGCCTTCAGCTCAAAATAATCCTTGTGCCCAAGTGGCATATTTTAGGGCCGTGTATTCGGCTACCCTTCATAGGGTGGGGCAAGACCATGCAGAACATTGAAAGCTAGGATAAGAGATTTGGATCAAGTACTAGCAAGGGCATTGGAACAGTGGCAGAAGTGAAAGGGAACGTGTGAGGTGTGGGAAGATGGAGGGAGAGGGCTCCAGGTAAGTATCATAGCAACAGGAGCATGGCAAAGCCTGCTGGTCCCCTGGGACCCATCAGGGCTGGCCAGAGCTGGGTCTTAGGCAAACAGACAAACAGATCCCTAGATCACTTTCCATTTCTTTTTCTTTTCTTTCTTTTCTTTTTTTTTTTTTAAGCAACGGGGACTGGCTATGTTGCCCAGGCTGGTCTCCAACTCGCAGCCTCAAGCAATGCCACCATGGGCTACCGTGCCTGGACTACTCTCCATTTCTTTCTTTCATTCATACAAATAATGATTGGCTCTATCACCAGCCAGAGCCTGCAGAAGTAAACAGGGCAGATGCCTTCCCACATTCCCCAGGGGCCCTGGACTCTACTCTAGGCCCCCATCCCAGCGCCCAGGCCTAAGGCTTGAGGCTACCGAGGCCTAAGGCAATGGCTGGGGGTGAAATCAGCTATGGCTTCTCATTTGCAGCTTCCCTGTACAAAACCGCTAATCTTCACTCCCGGGTTCCGGGCCCACGTCCTCCAGACCATGCCCCTCACCCCCGGCCACCACCCTCCCCGACTGACCACACCTGGAAGGGAAGGAAGGGTGGGGGTGGCCTGCAGAGGGTGTGGCGAGATCTGGACGGCCTGGGGGCGGGGGACTAAGTTGACCGGAAATGGGGCTAGGCCGCGGCCAGGGACGGCAGCAGATGATGGTTGAGGAGTGGCCTAGGAAGGCCTCCCTGACGGCGCCCACACACGCCCCGCGGCACCGCGAACACGGCTGACAGGGCAGTTGGGCAGCGAGGTAGTCGGGAAAGAGCAGGGGGAGCCCAGCGGCTCCGTTGCGCCCTCTGTCGGCCGCCAGCCTCCATTGCACGCGGCGCCGCCCACCTGCGCACTGGGACCCCGGCCCTGGGCCGACCAGGAACCCCTTGCGCCCGCGCCAGCTCGAGCCCTGTTGCACCTGTCGTGGTCACCGCAAGCCTCTCTGGGAGAAGGCAGGTGGGAATGGGAGCCTTTTTTGTAATGGGAATAGAAGCATTCTCGGAAGTCTCCTCCCCAAGGGCACTTAGGAGCCAGCATTACCCAGTGCCTGCAATTCCACCGTTAGACATTCCCTTCTTTGGAGGGGTGGAGAGGCGATGTCTTCAACTCTTATTGGTTATTACGGTAAGGATTTACCAAATGTGCCTAGGAGAGAGCCTGGAGGGGGTGAGTAGTCTAAATCATTCATTCTGTCCCTGAGCCAGGCTTTCATTAGCACTCATTTGCCAAGGCCGTTCTGAAGGTGACCCAGCACCAACAGCCATGCTGTCCAACTGCCAGGGTCGCGAAAGGCTGGTTTCTCTTGCGGTGATTTGCCTTTTATTAATCACCGGATAGCTGAGCCTTCCTCTTCCAGGAAGTCTGCCTTGACTTTTGGGGGTAAACTCCTGTTACAAGCCAGGGTTCTCTGTTTATTTCCCACGAGATTTGCCTGGTATCACCAGAGTCCAGGCTCGTTCAGTGCCCGGGTCAGAAAGCCCCCATCAGCTGGGACACTTCTCTAAGGGAAAAGGAGAAGGGGAACATAGAGTTAAGGGAGCAGACTCGCCCATTTCCTGCCGTCAAGGTCAAGGACACACTCCCCAAGGGCTGGTTGCCTTGGCCTCACATTACTGATGACCTTGATGACCTTGTGAACACCCACCATCTGTTTCCAGAGAGTATCCAGGAGGTCCCATAAGATTGTGAATGCTCTAAAACTTAAGTTAGATGGTCTTCTCTGCTCAGATCCCTGCAATGGTTCCCCACGCCACTTGGAGTAAAAGCTGAGCCTTAGCCTGCATGGCCCTAAGCACTTGGAGCTAAGCTCCTATCGCTGTTCTTGCCACTCACTTCCCTATGGCCATATCGGCCCCATGCTGTTCTTTAAGCACACCAGACACACTCCCACCTCGGGGCTTTTACACTCACTGTTCCCTCTGCCTAGAAGGTCACTTCCCGACACCCCCATGACCCGCCTGCTCCCTCACCTTCCTCGGGCCTTTATTTAAATGCCACCATGGCCGAGCAGCCTGACTCACGCCTGTAATCCCAACACTTCAGGAGGCCAAGGCGGGAGGAGTGCTAGAGCCCGGGAGTTCAAGACCAGCTTGGGCAACATAGGGAGACCCCCATCTTGAAAAAAGAAAAAAGTAAATGCCACCTTATCAGAGAGGCTTTCTCTGACCATCCTGTCTAAAACAATACTCGCCATCATTCTTTGGGTGCTTAGCTCCCTTGATTTTCCACAAGCACCTGTCACTCTCTAACGTATTGGTTATTTTCGTTTATTTGTATGTCGTCTGCCTCCCCAGCGGGAATGTAAGCTCCACAAGAATGGAGAGCTTTATCAGTTTTGTTTACGGCCCAGCACCTAGAATACAGCCTGGCACATAGTCAGTGCTCAATAAATTTGTGAAATGACTGAATGATTGTGCCAGGCACTAAGCCAAGTACCAGGACAGGCCATGAATAATAAGCCTGGGCTCTTGCCCTTGAAGAACAGACTGGCGGACAGGCAAGTAATTACAAACCAGAGCGATGAGTGCTATGTCTAAATACAGATGTATATAAAGTACACATGAAGGCTCAAGGGAGAAAATAATTCACTCTGCCTGGAAGTAAGAGGAAAGAATGAGTATGATGTCATCGGGTAGGGAAGAAAGGGAAAAGGCATTCCAAGCAGAGAGAACAGTCAGAGCAAAGGCTCATAGAGATGTGAACGTATTTGACATGTTCAGAGGGTGGTAAGTCGACTTGCCTGGCTGGAGCACTGGATGTGGGGCAGGTATGGCAGGAGATAATTTGGAAAGAGAAGCTGCAGTCACATGATGAAGGGGCATGTTAGAACTATGACAACTGGCTCTCTAAATTTCAGATCTATGCCAGGCCAGCGGGGACATTGCAGGGCAAAGAACCTACTTCTAACCCCGGCAAAGGCACCGCAGGAGCAACCCTGTCCTCCTGCCTAGGGAAGGCCTGGGAATGTTGCGTGGCCTCCCCAAGTGGGCAGGCTGGGGTCAGAGCACCTGTGGCAGCAGCCTGGTGGTTCTGCTTGCCTTCCTGTTGCTGATTTAAACAGGGCCCTCAATAAGGACCCTACCCAGCTCCATAGGGCCTGAAAGAGTCCCCAGTCACATGTCCACAGCCTTGATCACAAAGAATCTGTTTCAAAATGTCCTTATTTTGCAATCTGACTCAAAAGGATGGGGAGTGGAAAAATTACAGACAGCAGCCACCAAGGGACCTTGGCTTAATATAACTGGTGACCTGGGAAACGACAGAGGCAGAAAATAATTTCCCTTTCGGACTGAGGGATGGAGAGGGCCTCTCATAGCTGACTCAAAATAAAGACTTTCCTTCAAGCAGAGAGAGAGTATTTGTATTTGTATATAGGATTCTTTCTTTTTCTTTTTCTTTTTCTTTTTTTTTTTTTAACAGAGTCTTGCTCTGTCACCCAGGCTGGAGTGCAGTGGTGTGATCTTGGCTCGCTGCAGCCTCTGCCTCTCCAGTTCAAGCAATTATCATGCCTCAGCCTTCAGAGTAGCTGGGACTACAGGCTCAGGACAACATGCCTGGCTAATTGTATTTTTACTTGGAGACAGGGTTTCACCATGTTGGCCAGGCTGGTCTCGAACTCCTGGCCTCAAGTGATCCACCCACCTCAGCCTCCCAAAGTGCTGGGATTACAGGCTTGCACCACTGTGTCCGCCCTATATATAAGATTCTTTTCTCTGCCTCCCACTTTTGTTATTTTGCTCTTTCCCTCCCCTCCACTCTTCCCGCAGCCTATCTCTGCCTCTCAATCCTTCTTTTCGGTTTTCTTTTATTTTCTCCTTTCCCACTTCTCCTTCCACCTGCCAAGTTCCACTCGTCTCCTCCTTCCCTTTCCCTCTCTGTTCCTTCAACTTAAGCACAAGACCCATATTTAAAACTGTTAAAGGATATTTTTTAAAAGGTAAAATTATAATTCTTATGCAAATATAAAATAAGGCCGGGCACAGTGGCTCACACCTGAATCCCAGCACTTTGGGAGGCAGGGGCAGGAGGATTGCTTGAGCCCAGGAGTTCAAGACCAGCCTAGGAAACCTGACAAAACCCTGTCTCCACAAAAAATACAAAAATTATCCAGGCATGGTGGCGTGTACCTGTAGTCCCAGCTACTTGGGAGGCTGAGGTGGGAGGATTGATTGAGCCTGTGAAGTCGAGGCTGCAGTGAGCTGTGATCATGCCACTGCACTCCAACCTGGGTGACAGAGTGAGACCCTGTTTCAAAAAAATTTTTTTTAAATATTTTAAAAATAAAAAATAAAAACAAATATAAAATGAGCATGTCAGTGACTTCAATTCAATTGATTAATTAATGAGGGAACTGGTAAGATATTACAACCAGTTCACAGGAAAATCCAAGAAACAGACACATATATAGGCAATCAGGGATGTTAAAGGGAATTTACTAATAGATGCAAAACCGGCCTCTTCATTTGCATTTCTATGAACAGGAATCTTGTGTTTAAGCATCAGCTTACCATAAGTTAACTTACGTCTCTACAGAGATGCCACATCATTGAAGACAATAAAAGGCACAGATTCCTGTAGAATCAGACAACCTAGGAAGGGTCTTCTACTCTAGACAATGCCTGACATTGTTGAAAGGACACCCAGGAAGCATTGCCCATTTCAAAGTCGTTCACAATTTTTGTTGACAAGATCTTAGAAGGGACTATGGGAGCTGGTTAATATTTTTTCTCTTTTCTTCTTCTTCTCCTTTTTTTTTTTTTTTTCTTAACAAGGTCTCACTCTGTCATCCAGGCTGGAGTGCAGTGGTGCAATTATGGTTCACTGCAGCCTCAACCTCCCAGGCCAAGAGATGCCCCCAACCCCCTCTTCCAACCTCGGTCTCCCCAGTAGCTGGAACTACAGGTACGTGCCACCACGCTTGGCTAATTTTTTTATTTTTTTGTAGAGATGGGGTTTTGTCATATTGCCCAGGCTGACCTCAAACTCCTGGGGTCAAGCAATCCTCCCACCTTGGCCTCCCAAAGTACTGGGATTACAGGCATGAGCCACCACCCAGCCAATAGAGCTGGTAACTTTTTTCAAGTCTCCAAACAGGTCTCTGTCTGGAGGTAGAAATGGATTCTAGCTCAGAGGCTTAGTTCTGGGGCAGGAATGGGGTTGAAAACAATGATTGCCTGGCTGTGATCAAAGCTGAGGGTGATGAGGCAGGTGACCATTGGCCAATACCCCATAAACCCTCATTCTTGTCATCTTACCATCATCTTCTGGCCTTGGAGACGCAGAGAAGCTCAGGGCAAGGTTGAGAGCAATCTACCCCACATGTGCCCAGGGAGGTGGAAGCAGCCCTGGGTATGGAGATGGACATGATCCCTCCTTAGACTATCCCTGGCAGGTGGCTGTCCCCAGGTGACAGCTTTCAGGACCACCGCACCAGGCTTTCATGCCCATTTTCTGAAGCCTGTGACAGCCCTCATTCTCTGCTGCTCAGATCCTGCATGCACCCTGCTGTCCATTCCCAGGCCTCACACAAGTCCTCCTTTATTACCTCTCCCCAGATTTGGCATTTCAGGATCTCTGCAGTTACCTGAAGAGAAACCATACAGATTTCTAAGGTACATGTTCTGACAAGATATGTGAGCTTGGAAGTATGAAGCAATCTGTGAGAGTTTCCTGAACTGTGCAGGTTATTGAGTGCTGAGCCCTGAGTGAGATGCTTGGCAGATGCTGGGGTGGGGTAAGGGAGGATAACATTGGCAAAGAAGATGTGATCCCTGCTCTCAGGGCATTTACAGTCTGGTTTGGGAGGCCAAATACCCAGGAGACCCCAGCAGCTAGTGGTCATGCTCAATGCATGGCGGGGGGATGAGGATGGGGGACATTCTGACCACAGGACCAGCTCTGGAGTAGGCCAGGGAGACCATCCATCATGGGCAAAGTGCCCACATAATCCCTTATCTCCATAAAAGAAAGGGCAGCTACCTTCCTTACCTGAGCAGGTGTCTTGAATTTCACCTCCCCATAGATAGGGCTGCGGGCTGGACCTTAGCTCGTGCCCCCTGCCTCTTCATTCCCACCCTTGCAGAAGAGAGAACTCTTCAGCCTCCAGGTAGAAACCCCAAGCGGGTAATCAAAAGATTAAAAGATTTCTAAGATGCAAAGGCTGAGCAGGTGATGGAATGTGCTCCACCAAACAAGGGGCCTTGGGGTAGGGCTTAGGACCAAGTCACGGACACCCAGGTTTGGTTCTTCTGGTTACTCTGGTAGTTGTGTGACTCAGGACAAATCATTTCCCAGCTCATCCAACAGGGAAGTTGGACTCCCTGATTTCTTTGTTTCTTCTGTCTTTTATATTTTCTAGTGTGGCAAAATACATATAATATAAATGTGAGTGTTAATTTTATCTATCAACTTGCCTGGGCTACAGGGTACCCAGATATTTGGTAAAACACTATTCTGGATGTGTCTGTGAGAGTGTTTCTGGAGAAGATTAACATTCGAATCAGTAGACTGAGTAAAGCAGATTGCCTGCCCTAATGTGGTCTCATCCAATTCCTTGAAGCCTAAATAGAACACAAAAAGGCTGTTTAGGGGAAAATTTGCTCTGCCTGATAGTCCTCAAGCTGAAACATCAATTTCTTCTACCTTTGGCCTCAGATTTAGACTGGAATTATGCCATCAGCACTCCTGGGTGTCCAGCTTGCTGAGCACAGATGGATTGGGACTTCTCAGCCTCCATAATCACATGAGACAATTTCTTTTTCTTTCTTTCTTTCTTTCTTTCTTTCTTTCTTTCTTTCTTTCTTTCTTTCTTTCTCTTTCTTTCCTTCTTTCTTTTTCTTTCTTTCTTTTCTTTTCTCTTTCTTTCTTTCTTTTTTTCTTTCCTTCCTTCCTTCCTTCTCTCTCTCTTTCTTTCTTTTTTTTTTTTTTTTTTGGAGTTTGTTGCCTAGGCTGGAGTGCAATCGCGTGATCTCAGCTCACCGCAACCTCTGCCTCCTGGGTTCAAACAATTCTCCTGCCTCAGCTTCCTGAGTAGCTGCGATTACAGGCATGCGCCACCATGCCTGGCTAATTTTGTGTTTTTAATATAGACGAGGTTTCTCCATGTTGGTCAGGTTGGTCTTGAACTCCTGACCTCAGGTGATCCGCCCGCCTCGGCCTCCCAAAGTGCTGGGATTACAGGCATGAGCCTCTGCACCTAGCTGCCAATTTCTTGTAGTAAATTTTATATATTTTTTTTTCTTGACAAGATCCTAGGAAAGTATAGGAAAGGGAGGTGGGAGCTAATTTTTACATGTGTCTCGTAGCTCCTATTGATTCTGTTTCTCTGGAGAATCCTGGCTAATATAACAAAATTTGCCATTTTGATCATTTTTAAGTGTACAGTTCAGGGACATTAAGTACCTTTACATTGTTGTGTAATCATCACCACTATACATCTCCAGAAATTTGTCATCATCCAAAACTGAAATTCTAAACTCATCAAAACAATGCCTGGGAGATATGGCAAAACCCTATCTCTACAAAAAACACAAAAATTAGCCAGGCATGGTGGTGCGTGCCTGCAGTCCCAGCTACTCAAGAGGCTGAAGTGAGAGGATTGCTTGAGCCTGGGAGGTGGAGGTTGCAATAAGCCGAGATCGCACCACTGCATTCCAGCCTGGGTGACAGAGTGAGACATCCTGTCTTAAAAAAAAAAGAAAGAAAGAAAGGAAAGAAAACCAACAAAAAGCCAGGTGTGGTAGAACACACCCGTAATCCCAGCACTTTGGGAGGCTGAGGTGGGTGCATCACTTGAGCTCAGGAGTTTGAGACCAGCCTGGCCAACATGGCAAAACCCCATTGCTACTAAAAATACAAAAATTAGCCAAGCGTGGTGATGTGCACCCATAGTCCCAGCTACTTGGGAGGCTGAGGCAATGAGAATCGCTTGCCCCCAGGAGGCAGAGGTTGCAGTGAGCCGAGATCTCACCACTGCACTCCAGCCTGGGCAACAGAGCGAGACCCTATCTCAAAAAACAAAAACAGGCCAGGTGTGGTGGCTCATGCCTGTAATCCCAGCACTTTGGAAGGCTGAGGCAGGTGGATCATTTGAGGTCAGGAGTTCAAGACCAGCCTGGCCAACATGGTGAAAACCCAACTCTACTAAAAATACAAAAATTAGCTGGGTGTGGTGGTGCACCTGTAATCCCAGCTACTCAGGAGGCTGAGGCATGAGAATCACTTGAACCTGGGAGGCAGAGATTGCAGTGAGCCGAGATTGCACCACTGCACTGCAGCCTGGGCAGTAGAGTGAGACTCAGTCTCAATAAATAAATAAATAAATAAATAAATAACTCCCTATTATTCCTTCTTACCAACCCCCCTTATAACCACCACACTACTCTCCTCTGTGTCTCTATGACTGTGACTACTCTAGGTACCTCATAGAAGTGGAATCATACAATATTTGTTTTTTTTGTGTCTGGCTTAGTTCAGTTAGCATAATGTTTTCAAGGTTCAACTATCTTGTAGCATGTATCAGCATTTCAATCTTTTTTATTTTTTTTTCCAGACAGGGTCTCGCTCTGTCACCCAGGCTGGAGTGCAGTGGTGTGATCATGGCTCACTGAAGCCTCGACCTCCTGGGCTCAGGTAATACTCCTACCTCAGCCTCCCAAGTAGCTGGGACTACAGGTATGTGCCACCATGCCCAGCTAATTTTTTGTAGAGATGGGGATTTGCCATGTCGCCCAAGCTTGTCTTGAACTCCTGGACTCAGAAGTGAAATCGCTGGATCAAATGGTAATTACATGTTTAATTTTTTTAAGAACTACCATACTGTTTTCCACAGTGGCTGCAACTTTTATAATCCCACCAACAGTACACAAAGGTTCTAATTATTCCACATCATGGCTAACACTTGTTTTTAATAGTTTCTGGCTTTTTGATATAACATCCTAATGGATGTGACGTGGTATCTCATTGTAATTTCTTTTTTCTTTCTTGGTACTCACTGGTTGTGGCATCGTTGTAATTGTGTCAGGCGAACGTGATAACCACTACACTACGGAAACATATCGTTGTAATTGTGATCCACATTCTCCTGATGACTAGAGATGTTCAGCATCTTTTCATGTGTTTATCGGCCATTTGTATGTCTCCTTTGGAGAAATGTCTATTCAAGTACTTTGCCTATTTTTGAATGGGTTATTTCATTTTTTGTTGAATTTTAGGAGTTCTCTATATATTGTGGATGTTAATCCCTTATCAGATATATGATTTGCAAGTATTTTCTTCCATTCTGTGAGTTGCCTTTTTACTGCTGATGGTTTCAAACCTATGATCCACAAAAAGTTTTAATTTTGATGAAGTCCAAGTTGTCTATTTTTTTTTTCTTTCTTTCTTTCTTTTTTTTTTTGAGACAGGGTTTCACTCCCATTGCCTAGGCTGGAGTGCAACGGTGAGATCTCAGCTCACTGCAACCTCCGCCTCCTGGGCTCAAGCAATTCTCCTGCCTTAGCCTCCCAGGTAGCTGGAACTGTAGGTGCAAGCCACTGTGCCCAGCTAAGTTTTGTATTTTTGGTAGAGACAGGGTTTTACCAGGTTGCCCAAGCTGGTCTCAAACTCCCAGGCTCAAGAGATCCACCCACCTTGGCCTCCCAAAGTGTTGAGATTATAGATGTGAGCCACCATGCCTGGTCTATTTTTTATTTTGTTGCCTGTACTTCTGGTGTCATATTCAAGAAATCCTTGCCAAATCCAATGTCATAAAGCTTTTCCTGTGTGTTTTCTTCTAAGAGGTTTTTTGTTCATTTGTTTTTAGAAACAGGGTCTTGCTCTGTTGCCCCAGCTGGAATACAGTGGCATGATCTCAGCTCACTGCAGCCTTGGCTGCCTGGGCCCAAGTAATCCTCCCACCTCAGCCTTCTGAGTAGGTGAGACCACAGGCATGCGCCACCATGCCCAGCTAATTTTTAATTTTTTTTTTTTTTTTTTAGACGGAGTCTCACTCTGTCGCCCGAGCTGGAGTGCAATGGCATAATCTCGGCTCACTGCAACCTTTGCCTCCTGAGTTCAAGTGATTCTCCAGCTTCAGCCTCCCAAGTAGCTGGGATTACAGGTGTGTGCCACCACACCTGGCTAATTTTTGTATTTTTAGTAGAGACAGGGTTTCACCATATTGGCCAGGCTGGTCTTGAACTCCTGACCTCAGGTGATCCACCTGCCTCAGCCTCCCAAAGTGCTGGGATTTCAGGTGTGAGCCATCACAGTCGGCCAATTTTTAAATTTTTTATAGAGATAGGGTCTCCTTATGTTGCCCAGGTTGGGCTCAAACTCCTGAGCTCAAACAATCTTCCAGGATCAGCCTCCCAAAGTGCTGGAATTATAGGCATGAGCCACCATGCCCAGTCTCTTCTAAGAGTTTCATAGTTTTAGCTAGCTCTTCTCTTTATGTTTGATCCATTTTGAATAATTTTTGTATGTGGTGTTAGATAAGAGTCTAACATTCTTTTGCATGCGAATATCCAGTTTTCCCAGTATCATTTGTTGAATACCTGATTTCTAAAACCCTAATCAGTTAGGAATTTTGTTCAGCTTGAAGAAATAAAAACTGACTACAGTAGCCTAAACATATAAGTTTTTACTATTTCACATAAAGGAAGTCCATGGGGAGACTGTTCTCAGCTGCTATAATATGAAGGGTCCATGGAGATCTGGGCTCCTTGTTTCTCTTCTGCCAGACATGGCTTCCATTCTAGGCCCACTATCGTTGTGTGAGCTCCAGCCAACACCTGGGAATTCCAGGCAGCAGGAAGGAGGAGGGGGGAAGGGATAAAACAATGTCACTCTTTTTAAAGGGCCTAAGTCTTGAACTGTAGGAGTTCAGTCAGGATGGTGGGAAAACTTACAGAAAGATGCAAACCTTCTTAGAAGGCTAGGTTTTGTAAAAGCTTCAGGAAAAAATGTGGCTGAAGGCAGCTGAATTCTCTCAGAGTAGATAACAAAGAAGGGTAAGAGAATTGATCTAGATAAGTTAGTTTACTTAGGCCTTGGAACCTGGCCTTTAATCATCTGTGCAGGACTGCTGTCTCTGGGAGGGCAACCATGTTAATTACCCACAAGTGTGTTGACCCAAGGCTTTTGTCATTAAATCTGTACTGAATAAATGCCTGCAGCACTGGCTTATCGAGGCTATGGCTGCTGACTCTTTACAGCACCTTCTTTGGTATCTGTGAGCAGCCCAGTCCCCTAACCGTGCAGCCACACAAAAAACCTGTGTCTGCATACATTTTTTTCATCCATCACTCAGCCAGGGTCTGCAGGTCAGACCCGGCATTGAACACTTGCACTTAGTCTCATAGCTGCAAAGGAGGCTGGGAAATAACAGACCCTTATCTGGCTACATGGCCATTTCAAATTAAATCAGGGCACTCTTGCCAAGGAGGAAGGGGTGAATGAATGAATTGTGGCTTAGATAGCTAGCAGCCTCCACCTCAGGCACCTAACACATCTGAAATTCTGTGATGATCTATCTCCTGGAGAAAAAAATAAGAAAATGGTTACACAGTGCTTAGCAAAATGTCTGGCTCAGGCTATGCACTCAAAAAATGTTAGCTATTATTTTTGCTTCTATTACTCTCTGATCTCAGAGATAGGCCTGTCCTTATACCAGGATGGAACCCATGGTTCTCTATGTGGTGTGATGGACAGACCACAGAAGTGAAAACTGGCCCCCAAAGAGACTCTCTGCCTTACGTATTTCTCTCTTCAGACTCTGTTTTAAATCCAAGGAGGGTGAAATAGGAGGGGAACAGGTAGCCTTAAGAAACAATGCATTTGGCCACCCTCAGCCTCAGTGTAGCTCTCTGTCTCTGAGCTTTTTGCCTGGCTGCCAGCTGGGATCCGAGCCCCATGGGCATGGGAGTCAGAAGGAAGGGGTCACATGGCAGCCAGGGAGTACAGGCTGGGTGTAGCACCGGTGAGGATGAAACGCACAGGAAGGGGCTGTTCAGCTGCCTCTGTTGGGGTGCAGGGGTGGGGGCCCTTTGAAGGGGGCGGAGGAAGTGCTTTGCTCCTCCCTGCCCCTCCCAGGCCATATCTGGACACACTGTCAGGCATAGCCCAGTTAATTGCAGTGAAACAGAGCAGGCCAGGAAGGCCTGGGATCTGGGATCTGGGATCTGGAATCAGCACCGCCTATCAAGTGTGTGGAGGTGGTGCAGAACACAGAGTGTCCGCCGTGTTGCCAGGCCCAGGCAGCGTCTGCCATATAGCTCTGAGGCCTGGGGCCACTCAGAAGTCAGCTTGGAGCAAGGTGACAGCAGGCCCACACTGCCAGGAAGAGAAGTGGGACTGGAACTGGAACCTCATGTCAGAAACCAGGCCATAGGGGGCCTATTTGGCAGCAGAAGAGAGGGCCCGAGGTCAGCCTCAGTGAGCATGATATTCAGAATATGTAATCACCAGTATAGCCAGATGCCCACCAGTGAGGGCAGACCCAGACCTTACAACTAGGACAGGGTTCTGGAGACCTCCTACAAGGCCAGGGGCCAACACTATTTTCTGGATCATGGAAATGTCCTGGGGCCAAGGTACATTGGACCCACCATCTCCTTGTTTCCTTTCTAACTGAAGTTTCTGGAAGTCTGAGTTGAACTTTCTCTTGCACATAAAGGAGTCCTGAAGTAAGGGGATCACACACAGTCACACACAGAGAAAGGCAGCAAAAAGTAGAAAGATGAAGACGAGAAAGTTAAAGTGCCCCGTACTTCAGCCCAGTCAAGGACTAGGAAAGCAAAAGTTTCCTAGTAACTACACTGTGCATTTCCTTAACCATGTTTGATATTAATTCCTGTGCCCAGCCCCTTTGTAGGGAGATGGAGACACCATTTGCTTCCATCTATTTAAAAATAATGAAATGGATACAACTCAGTATTACATGTTGTAGTGGCTGCATTGTTTTTCTCCTATAATTAGGGAAAATGGGAAGAAGTTTTTCTACATGTTCTACATATGCAACATAGATATGGGGGACACAGGAGACAAGAAAATGTGGTTCTTCTTTTTCAAAAACTTACTGTCTAAATAGACAATTAGCCTCTACTAGGAAGAAATATCACAATTGCTAGGAGATAATGCACACACTGTCACAGCTTCTGAAGTCATTGGGATAGACCTTCCAGTTTGAATCTGAAGTAAACTCTGCAGTAAGTTTCCATGGGAAGAATCCTGTAAAACCTGCATTTGCTGTCAGCTTCTTAAATCTGTTGCCATTACTATGTTACATGAAGTGTGTTGAAAGTCATTGTAGCCATTTAGAAAACTGTAGCCAGAAGCTTATGGTGACAATGAATGGGTTTTTTTGTTTGTTTGTTTGTTTGTTTGTTTTTAGCAGTATCACTTTTTTTCTTTTAAAAAATTGAGATATAATATCTACACCATAAAAGTCACCATTTAAAGTATACAATAGGCTGGGCGCGGTGTCTCACACCTGTAATCCCAGCACTTTGCAAGGCCGAGGCAGGTGGATCACTTGAGGTCAGGAGTTCGAGACCAGTCTGACCAACATGGTGAAACCCCATCTCTACTAAATATAAAAATTTAGCTGGGTGTGGTGGTGTGCACCTGTAATCCCAGCTACTAGGGAGGCTGAGGCAGGAGAAATCACTTGAACCCGGGAGGTGGAGGTTGCAGTGAGCCGAGATGGCACCATTGCACTCCGGCCTGGGCCACAAGAACGAAACTCCATCTCAAAAAAAAAAAAAAAAGTATACAATTCAGTGGGTTTTAGTAAAAGTTTGTGCAATCATCACAGCACTGTCTAATTCTACAGCATTTTTATTACCCCCAAAAGAAACCCTATACCTGTTAGCAGTTGCTTCCCATTCCTCCCTTTCTCCAGCCCCTGGCAACCACTAATCTACTTTCTGTCTCTGTGGATTTGCCTACTCTGGACATTTCATATCAGTGGGGTCATATATACCATGTGGTCTTTTGTGACTGGCTTTTTTCATGTAGCATAACATTTTCAAGGTTCGTTCATGTTGTAGCAGGAATCAGTCCTTCATTTCTTTTTGATGCTGAACAATATTCCATTGTATGGATAGACCATATTTTGTTTATCCATTCATTGGCTGATGATCATTTGGGTTATTTACACTGAATGCTTTTTAGGGAAGACTGGTCTATGTTGTGGTCAAAATTATTACAAGTGGCTGGGTGCAGTGCTTCATGCCTGTAATCCCAGCACTTTGGGAGGCAGAGGCAAGTGGATCACTTGAGGCCAGGAGTTCAAGACCAACGTGGGCAACATGGCAAAACCTCATCTCTACAACAAATATAAAAATTACCTGGGCATGGTGGTGCATGCCTGTAGTCCCAGCTACAGGAGGCTGAGGCAGGAGGATCACTTGAACCCAGGGGTTTGAGGCTGCAGTGAGCCATGATCATGTCCCTGCACTCTAGTCAAGGCAACAGAGTGAGACCTTGTCTCAAAAGAAAATTATTATAAGTGATATTTCCTGTTTTCTTAGTCAGTTTGGGCTGCTATGACAAAAATACCACCATAGTCTGGGTAGCTTAAATAACAAACATTTATATATGACAGTTCTGGAAGCTGGGAAGTCAAAGATGAGGGTGCCAGTATATCTGGTATCTGGTGAAGGCACTCTTCCTAGTTCGCAGATAGCTGTCTTCTTGTTGTATCTTCACATTGTCAGGGGAGGCAGACACACACACACACACACACACTCACACACACACAGTTTTTTTTTTTTTTTTTGAGACGGAGTCTTGCTCTGTCGCCCAGGCTGGAGTGCAATGGCATGATCTCAGCTCACTGCAACCTCCACCTCCCAGGTTCAAGTGATTCTTCTGCCTCAGCCTCCTGAGTAGCTGGGATTACAGGCGCCCGCCACCACACCCAGCTAATTTTTGTATTTTTAGTAGAGTTGGGGTTTCACCATGTTGGTCAGGCTGGTCTCGAACTCCTGACCTCAGGTGGTCCGCCCACCTCAGCCTCCCAAAGTGCTGGAATTACAGGCTTGAGCCACCGTGCCCCACCCAGTCAGTTCTTATAAGGGCACTAATCCCATCATAGGAGCTCCACCTTCAGAAACTGATTACTTCCCAAAGGCCCCACATCCTAATACCATCCCACTGGGAGTTAAAGTTTCAATATATGAATTTTTGGAGGGGACACAAACACGCAGTTCCTAACACCTGTCCCCTCTCTCCTGGCTGTAGAGCCCCCACCCACCCCAGGAATTGGTATACTCTGTGTCAGTGCAGTAAAGAAGGAAACCCTGTATTCTGCGTATGGATGAAACCAGCTACATAGCTTTGGATCGATCACTGCAATATTAGCCCATGTTCTGAAACTTGCCCCTGGGCATTTTTCTTTCTATTCAGACAAGGTAGCTATTATCTCAAGCCTTACCTGGTGCGCTTGCTAGAATTCCCTTCCAGCCCTGTGCTCTGTGGAGAAAGACCTTCACAACCCTCCTGCTTCAACGCTTAGTGAGAGAGTAAGAACTCACCGTAGTGGGAGGACATTCGTCAATTCATGAGGAATCCACCCTCATGACCCAGACATCCCATTAGGCCCAACACCACCACATTGGGGATCCAATTTCAACATACATTTTGGTGGAGACTATTAAACCCTATCCAAACCATAGCACCATCTTATCCAGCACTTCCACTTTGGGGTATATACCCAAAATAATTGAAAACAGGGACGTGAAGGAATATAATGTACCCCATGTTCATAGCAGCATTATTCACGATAGCAAAAAGGAGGAAGCAACCAAAGTGTCCATCAATAAATGAATGAATAAACGAAATGTGGTATATAAATACAATGAAACAGTATTCAGCCTTAAAAAGAAATGAAATTCTGACATATGCTACAAAAGGGATGAACCTTGAAGACTTTACGTTGCATGAAATAGCCAGTCACAAAAGGACAAATACTGCATGATTCCACTTATACTAAGTACATAGAGTAGTCACATTCCTAGAGACAGATAGTCACATTCCTAGAATGCTGGTTGCCAGGGGCCAGGGAGTGGGGGTTGGGGGTAGTGGAGGTGGCGGAGGAGGAGGAAATGGGAATTATTGTTTAATGGGAATTACAGTGTCAGTTTTACAAGATGAAGGGTTATGGAGAGGGAAGATGGGATGACTGTAATGGTTATACAACATTATAAATGTATCTAACACCACTGTACTGTACACTTTAAAATGGTTAAGATGGTAAATTTTATGTTATGTGTATCTTAACACAATAAAAAATTGCAGAAAGAAGATCTTGTAGTCATCTTTTTGCCTTATTTCCAAACTATGCATAATTTTTCCTAAACAGTCTCCCCTGTGACCATAAATAATCTCTGAAGACCATTCGTGATCACATAGTAAAAAGGCTGATCTCATGCTTTTGTGCCAAGATCATTATTTGAACTTCTTGCTTAGTTGGCCATTTTCCATAGTTTTTTTTTTTTTTTTTTTTTTTTTTTTTTTTTTTTTTTGAGACAGAGTCTTGTTCTGTTGCCCAGGCTGGAGTGCAGTGGTGAGATATTGGCTCACTGCAACCTCTGCCTCCTGGGTTCCAGTGATTCTCGTGCCTCAGCCTCCAGGGTAGATGGGATTACAGACACCCACCACGATGCCCAGCTAATTTTTGCACTTTTAGTAGAGACGGAGTTTCACCATGTTGGCCAGGCTGGTCTCAAACTCCTGGCTTTAAGTGATCCGCCCGCCTCCACCTCCCAAAGTACGGGCATTACAGGCATGAGCAACCGTGCCCAGCCTCTATAGTTCTTTTGATGGAAATTAGATATAGACATAATTTATAGCACACAGACATGATTATGATGACCAAAAATTTTGTAAAACCATAGACTTTTAAAATTGTTTAAGTTTATTTTAAATCAACATATAATAGTCATACATATTTTGGGGTACATGTGGTATTTTGATACCTGTATACAATGGATAATGATCAAATCAGGGTAATTGGGATATGTATCAAACATTTATCTTTCTGTGTGTTAGGAACATTACAAATCCCATATAGCTATTTGGAAATACGCAACAAATTATTGCTAACTAGAATTTCCCTGTTGTAGTATGGAATACTAGTACTTAGCTCTCCTATCTAACTGTATTTTTGAACCCATTAATCAGAGTGCTGTGCCACATGTGAGGAGACATTATTATACTGATTCCATGGGAGCCATCCCATGTATTCTCTGAATCTGTTCCCTTTTTATTACGTAATTTCTAACCTACTTAGTCTGATTCATATATACAGATGTAGCAAGAGGTATAAATTAACATAAGCCTCCTTTTGGTTAGCAAATCTAGTGCCATAAGATGCTGAGCAACTATTGCAGCCTGATGATTAACTTCTGTCTGGAGATTATGCAAGGTATTTAGGAGTGCATTTTCAACAGCCTTATCATTCCAAAGTGGTTTCTTAATTGATTTTTTTAAAATTAAATAACCTATTCTGAGGCCATGAAGCCAACATCAAGAAGTTCTTCTCCACTACTGTTTTTAGCTATAATTGTCTCTTTTCCTCAAGATTCCTAAAATTCGCCAATGTTTGTAGCCTGCAGGGAAGTAGCTTCTTTACAACCTGTAAGGCTGAGAGAAACTGTAAACTAAGGAACAGGCACCACACCAGTTTCCTGGGAAGACACTGTAGGTGTTAATTGTGGATATTAATTGCAATCTTTATTCCTTAATGTGAACTTGTCATACCTGATTAGGTGAAACTTGTTCTCAAATATTAATGGCACTCCCACTATAGCCTTGGTTGTACTAGCAATCTGTCCATTTATTTCCTGTTAAAGGAAGCACTGATTCTTTTTTTTTTTTTTTTTTGAGATGGAGTCTCGCTCTGTCATCCAGGCTGGAGTGCAGCGGCACGATCTCGGCTCACTGCAACCTCAGCCTCCCAGGTTCAAGCCATTCTCGTGACTCAGCCTCCCAAGTAGCTGGGATTATAGGTGCCCACCACCACACTTGGCTAATTTTTGTATTTTTAGTAGAGACAGGGTTTCACCATGTTGGCCAGGCTGGTCTCAAACTCCTGACCTCAGGTGATCCACCCACCTCGGCCTCCCAAAGTGCTAGGATTACAGGCGTGAGCCACCACACCTGGCCAGAAGCACTGATTCTTACTTACTCTATGAAAATAGTTACATTGGCTGGACACGGTGGCTCACACCTATAATCCCAACACTTTGGGAGGCCGAGGTGGGCGGACCACGAGGTCAGGAGTTCGAGACCAGCCTGGCCAACATGGTGAAACCCCGTTTCTACTAAAAATACAAAAATTAGCTGGACGTGGTGACATGTGCCTATAATCCCAGCTACTGGGGAGGCTGAGGCAGGAGAATTGCTTGAACCTGGGAGGCAGAGTTGCAGTGAGCCAAGATCGTGTCACTGCACTCCAGCCTGGACGACAGATCGAGATTCCATCTCAAGAAAAAAAAAAAGAAAATAGTTACATTACCATTAAAAGTAAAGGGGCTTTGCTCAAGTATTTGTAACAATATCTGGCTATTCTCCTAGGACTTTTATGGATAGGCTAATCAATATTTTTCATATATCCTGTAAAATCACCACATAATCCACCAATGACACTACCTCCCAAAATGTGGTATTTTATATACTATGGGTCTTAGAATAAGTAAAATTTAACTCAATGTATTTTTCTAACCTTAAGTCATTGTAAAAGCATTTCTCTGAATTCCAATTACAAGAGTCATCATTATCCTTGAGTTCCCCTGACAAATTCACTACTTCATAACTTATATTAATATTTCTCCAGGGCCAGGCGCGGTGGCTCCTGCCTGTAATCCCAGCACTTTGGGAGGCCGAGGCGGATGGATCACGAGGTCAGGGGTTTGAGACCATCCTGGCTAACACGGTGAAACCCCGTCTCTACTAAAGATACAAAAAATTAGGCTGGTGTGGTGGCGCATGCCTGTAATCCCAACTACTCGGGAGGCCGAGGCAGGAGAATTGCTTGAACCTGGGAGGCGGAGGTTGCAGTGAGCCGAGATAGCACCACTGCATTCCAGCCTGGGCGACAGGGCAAGACTCCATCTCAAAAAAAAAAAAAAAAAAAAAAAAAAATTTCTCCAAGGATATATTTCCTGAATTCTTACAGGTCAATTGAAATAAAATAAGGTTCAAAGAATGTCTCACTCCACTTTGCACAGGTATATCCTGCTAAATTGAGAATTAAAGGTAGATCAAGAAGAATTTTTTTTTTTTTTTTTGAGACGAAGTCTCCCTCTGTTGCCCAGGCTGGAGTGCAGTGGCACAATCTCGACTCACTGCAAACTCCACCTTCTGGGTTCAAACAATTCTTCTGCCTCACCCTCCCGAGTAGCTGGGACTACAGGCGTGTGCCACCACGCCCGGCTAATTTTTTGTATTTTTAGTAGAGATGGGATTTCACTGTGTTAGCCAGGATGGTCTCGATCTCCTGACCTTATGATCCGCCCACCTTGGCCTCCCAAAGTATTGGGATTACAGGCATAAGCCACCATGCCCGGCCCAAGAAGAAAATTAAAACAGAATCAACATTAAAACAATACTAAAGATATTCCAAAACAAAAAAAATTATAATTTTTAATTAGTTCACTGGTACTATAAAATTAAATTTTGTTCTGTGTAATCTCAGGCAAGGGGTCTACTTTCACAAAATCATCTGCTTCTGAGCTAAAAGAATCCTAGAAATCCCAACTCAGTCTCTTGGTGCAAGCCAACAGGTATCAGTTGTTGCGGCAATATCAGTCATACTGGGAAGTCTGTTCCCATAAGTCTATTTCTACTGTTAATGGCTAAGAGTACCTTGTGGAATCTTTTACTTGCTGTTTTAATGTTTCTTTCAAACGACTCCATTTCTGACCTATAGCTTGCAGCAAGGGTCTTTAGATAAAGGAAAGGGAGAGCAAAGATCATCTGCCAATGACAAAATTAAATGACTCTGGTTAATTTATTACAGTAACCAACAATACCAGAATGAAGCAGAATAGAATCCTCTATTGGGCTATAATACATAACTATTTCACAATGATTCTGGGGTAAAATATATCATGATCTTTGAAGGTACTGACAAATCTCAAGGTCCTTCTAATCCACCTACTAAACTATGTGTTACAATTGCTATTGGTTGGCAAGAGTATTTTAAACAGAAAAAAATTGGTCAGGTGTGGTGGCTCTCACCTGTAATCCCAATACTTTGGAAGGCCGAGGCAGGAGAATAGCTTGAGACCAGGAGTCTGAGGCTGCAGTGAGCTAGGCTGGTGCCACTGCACTCCAGTCTGTGTGAAAGAGTGAGACCCTTTCTCAAAAAAAGAGAAGGGGCCGGGCATGGTGGCTCACTCCTGTAATCCCAGCACTTTGGGAGGCCGAGGTGGGCAGATCACTTGAGGTCAGGAGTTCGAGACCAGCCTGTTCACCAATATGGTGAAACCCCATCTCTACTAAAAATACAAAAATTAGTCAGGTGTGGTGGTGCACGCTTGTAATCCCAGCTACTTGGGAGGCTGAGGCAAGAGGATCACTTTAACCCAGGAGGCAGAGGTTGCACTGAGCCGAGATCTCGCCACTGCACTTCAGCCACGGTGACAGAGCCAGACTCTGTCTCAGAAAAAAAAAAAAAAAAAAAGTAAAAGAAACGGTTTAGCTTGGCTAGCTGATTAACAAGAATAAGAATGCAAATTAAAAAATAAAAGTTTTAATAGAGATGGTGTTTCACGATGTTGGCCAGGTTGATCTCAAACTCCTGACATCAAGTGATCCGCTTGCCTCAACCTCCCAAGTGCTGGAATTGCAGGTGTAAGCCACCACACCCAGCCAACAATGCAATATTTAAAAACAAACATAGCACAAAGTAACATCATCATCATCGTAACAATGTAATATAGCTCTTTTAGATTTGAAGAACATTTGTTGATCGTTTCAAAAGCACTAAAAATTAACAGGTTCTCAAGAAAAATATTCAGTTGACATAAGAAATCTCTGCTATCTTGGCAGATTACACAAAAGGTAAATAGCTTTTTACTACCTTTGGTGAAAAACAGAGTAAAAACTTCGAGACCAATTTTGAACCAGGCATCTTCTCTTCTGCATCACACATACTTTATTCATTTCAATATTTATATGTATATATATTTAAACACGTAATTACGTATATTGCTGTGCAGGAAAGACAAAAAAATTTTTAAAAAACAAATAATTCTGCATAAAGTTATATGACAATATTAAGATCTTCCATCTTAGCTTTAAAAGATAATTAATCTTATATTACAAGACAAAGTAGATATTTTACTGAATGTACCTTTTTTAAATTTTATTTATTTATTTAGGAACCTCTGGAAGATTAATTTACCTCTTTATTGGCACTTTTTTAAAAAAAGGTAAAAACTATGCTTGCTGACACAGTAATTTTTTCTACCTCTCTGTTAATTTTTGTTTTTAAAAAGGTATTCAGTGTAACCAAAGAGGTCTCATTAACTAATGGAATACTGTATTATATTACCCTAATATCTTAAAGTGGTTTGAGGATCTTGAAAATTATGCTCAAGTTTTGATTACAAAACAGCACAATCACTGCTGATATTCAAAGTTTGCCAGAGAGATGACAATTAGAAATTTTCCATGGATGTTGAAAGTGAAGTAATACGCCGGGCGTGGTGGCTGACTCCTGTAATCCCAGCACTTTGGGAGGCCAAGGCGGGCGGATCACAAGGTCAGGAGATCGAGACCATCCTGGCTAACGCGGTGAAACCCTGTCTCTACTAAAAATACAAAAAAATAGCTGGGCGTGGTGGTACGTGCCGGTAGTTCCAGCTACTCGGGAGGCTGAGGCAGGAGAATCGCTTGAACCTGGGAGGCAGAGGTTGCAGTGAGCCAAGATTGTGCCACTGCACTCCAACCTGGGCAACAGAGTGAGACTCTGTCTTAAAAACAAACAAACAAACAAACAAACAAAATTTCATGGAAATTTTCCTTAGCATATTTTTATGACTGGGTATTGATTATATTTTCTTATTTTTTGTATTCTTATTGCTCTGGCATTTGAGGCTTTGATCCTAAAGAGACTGCTCCTCCCAGGGCTTGCCAATGTTTAACATACAAATGTTTAATATACAAACCAATCAACCCAGAGCCCACACCCCAATCATCTCCTTTTTCAAACTCCCACACATCAGGCCAATATTCTCCCCACCCTAAATCACTCCAAAGCCAGGCACCAAACAACTAAGGAACACCCCCTATTGCCCAGAGCCCCCTGAAATTATTCAAACTATCCAGTCCTAAACTTTCTCAGTGTACCTACCCTGCCTGGCTCATTCCTTCCTGTGAAAACCCCAGTAAAGCCTCTGGGCCATGCTCCCCGCTTCTGCCTCCTGACCAGCGTGGGTGTGTCCCCTTGTCTCTCTGTGTGGCATGCCAACCGTCTCTAGGCGTCTGTGAGGGCAAACTTCTTTCTTCATGATAATCATTTCTCTGTCTGCATGTCTTACCATACCTGATTGAAACAAATTCTGAGTGCATTTTTAGAACAGACTGCTAATTATTAATATTAGCTTGGTACTGGCCAGGCACGGTGGCTCACGCCTGGAATCCCAACACTTTGAGAGGCCAAGGCAGGTGGATCACTTTAGATCAGGATTGAGTGTTACCTTGATTTGATTAAAGGTTGCAGTATTGATCCTGGCTGTGTCTGTGAGGGCGTTGCCAAAGGAGATTACCATTTGAGTCAGTGGGCTGGGGAAGGCAGGCCCACCCATAACCGGGTGGGTGCCATCTAATCAGCAGCCAGAGAATATAAAGCAGGCAGAAGAACGTGAAGAGAGGAGACAGGCTTAGCCTCGTAGCCTCCGTCTTTCTCCCATGCTGGATGCTTCCTGCCCTGGAACATCGGACTTCAAGCTCTTCAGTTTTGGGACTTGGACTGGTTCTCCTTGCTCCTCAGCTTGCAGACAGCCTATTGTGGGACCTTGTGATTGTGTAAGTTAATATTTAATAACATATATATATATTCTATTAATTCTGTCCCTCTAAGAGAACCCTAACAAATACAATGGTGAAACCCTGTCTGTACTAAAAATACAAAAACTAGTTGGGCGTGGTGGTAGGCACCTGTAATCCCAGCTGCTTGGGAGGCTGAGGCATTAGAATTGCTTGAACCCAGGAGGTGGAGGTTGCGGTGAGTCGAGATCGCACCACTGCACTCCAGCCTGGGGACAGAGCAAGACCGTGTCTCAAAAAAAAAATACTTTTTTGTATATATTATGTATATGTATATATTATCTTGATACCTATTGCATTTCCTTTCCTTCTCTTGAGATCCCTATAATGAGTAAAAGTGACAGATTCCTACAGTCTGTGGAAGGGGATCAGAATATGCCACCCCAAAATATACTAGTTTGGCATTAGGATTATTTTCAGCTGAAGGCAATTAAGAAATAGCAGGCTCAGGAGAAACTCTCTGCCCTCCCCCTTTCTTCTGAAAGCAGAGCATAGAGTTCCCTTTTGTAAAAGTAACATAAATTCCCGTTTGTAAAAGTGTCTCCCTCTCCCATACCAGGAAGAGAAGACTATTAATCACCTGACGTGACTCTTCTCACTTCAGTCTGCACCCAACTTGAGTCTGCATAACAAACCTTACTAAAAAATTCTTCTCTACAATTAGTTCCCCCATATATTTACCTTCCCAAAATTTGTTTCCACTGGGAACCCAAGCCCCTTTTCCTTTGTGTAGTTACTTCTCCACAATTTATTGCCCTTTATTAAAACAACATTTAGGCCCTGGGTCCAACCACTTGTTTGGGTTTTCACTTGTTTTCTGTGTAATTCTTGCACATAAAATTAAAAACATTCAGTAAGTTTGCAAGCCTTTTTTTCTCCTGTTAATCTCTCTTTTGTCAGTTTAATCCATAGGCTTCAGGCACAGAACATAAAAGAATAGAGAAAAAGTTTTGCCTCACCTACACTATTAACCAAGCTTCTCCACAAAGAAGGCAACCACAAGTATGCAGGGCTACAGTTGCAAGCAGATCCCCCTAAGCGGCCAGTTACTTTTCCTCTGTGGGGAGGGCAAAGGCTTTTCTTATTTACATCTGCACAAACAAGAACCATAGCTTCAGTGTGCCTTCAGGAAAACTCAAAAGAAAACCAACCAAACAAAAATAAATATCTGCAGGTATATGACTCTGAGAGTATAAAACTGGACAGAGGCTGTGGGTCACTACTTTCTCCCTACCCACTCCAAAGATGTTTCAAGGTTCCATCCCATAGAATTCCTTAAACAAAGAAATAACCGTAGAAACCTGCAAGCCCAGATCTCTCCATCACCCTTTGAGGCTTTCACAGACTTTCCAGCACAAACAGTGGAAGACCAGCTCCTTTCCCAGGCTTCTAGCCTTTAAACTGGAAGACAGTCAAACTCCAATTGTCTACCAGGCCTTTTTTTTCTGGACAACACCTCTGGCACCCAGACCAGGCCTTTCAGACTCTTCTGAAAGACAATAACTAGGTTCTAGCAGTTTCTGGCAGGCAAACACGCATGATTTACAGAACCATATTTTCAAAAAACAAACAAAAAGTAGAAGCAGAAACAAGAAGTAAGATTTTCGAGTTCTTAAGAAATGAGAAAATATTACCAGACAATTTAGAAACATTCAGATGTCAAAACTCTTCATAGTGGTGTGGTGTGGCGGCTCATGTCTGTAATCCCAGCCCTTTGAGAGGCTGAGGCAAGAGAATCTCTTGAGCCTAGGAGTTCGAGACCAGCCTGGGAAACATAGCAAGGTCTCACATAATAAATAAAAGTAAAAATAACCCAGGGCATGATGGCTCACACCTATAATCCTGACACTTTGGGAGGCTAAGGCAGGTGGATCATGTGAAGCCAGGAGTTCAAGACCAACCTGGTCTGGGCAACATGGTGAAACCCTATCTCTACGAAAAATACAAAAATTAGCCAAGTGTGGTGGTGCACACCTGTAATCTCAGCTACTCAGGAGGCTGAGGCAGGAGAATCGCTTGAACCTGGGAGGTGGAGGTTGCAGTGAGCCGAGATTGTGCCACCGCACTCCAGCCTGGGCGAGAGAGCAAGACTCTGTCTCAAAAAAAAAAAAAAAAAAAAAGTAAAAATAATAAAATTAGCTTCGTGTAATGACACATGCCTGTAGTCCCAGCTGCTCAGGAAGCTGAGTCCAAGTTTGAGGCTGCAGTGAGCCATGATGAAGCCACTATACTTTAGCCTGGGAGATGGCGAAAGGCCTTGTCTCTGGGGGAAAAAAAAAGAGCGTTCATAGGCTTTGAGTTAAAAATTCCATTTCTAAAAGCTTATTCTACTGTTGGGGCTCACAAAGTGATACCCCAAAGTATGGTGGTGTGGTATGCTGAATACTTTGAACTGAAGGGCATTGAAAGGGCCTCAGAAGCAAAGCTTCTTTCTGACTGTGAAAGTTGCAGATACCAGGATGAAATCACTTTTGTCAGACTCAGACAAAATAAGGCCAGGAAGGCATGAAGAAGTGGGGGCTTACGCTTCCATGTCTGAGATAAGAACTATTTCCAAGGACTTTCTGAAAACCCCACAAGAAATCTTTTCATGTCCTTCGCACATCTCTTGCTTTGCACAGCTTGTACTTTTCACGTGGATTCATATATTTCTATGACAAGGTTTATCACTAGACATTCATTAGGGCACAGTAATTCAGAAAAGGTGCTCTCAAAACTTTGATTAAATAAATGTGTTATGTTTTCTCTTTTTCACACGTCTTTTGTTATTGAAGGTCTGATTATGACCTTTACGATGGGACAGAAATGGTATCACGCCTTTTCACTCCTACAGTTCAGAGGTGTTTGAAGATGCATGTTCCCCAAATTCATGCCCAAAAATATTTACCTTGGCCCCTTGATCACAAGGAACTGGAATAGCTAAAGGATTCACTACAGATGTATAGTAGGAGTCAAATAAACCTCGGCTTTATCTTTACTCCACTCTACCAACTGTGTACCCTGAACGCCTACCTTTTATTTCCAGGTTTGCAAAATTAGGACTAACAATGCCCAAGGCTGGATTGCACAATAGACAGACATGTTTAGGCACCAGTAAAGCCAGGGCACCAGAAAATGGCTTTTGAAAAAGTTTGAAGTTTGATAGAAAAAAAAACCAAAACACCAAAATAGTCATAATTGTCAGAGGCGTTTGAACCAGAGTGACTCCATCTTAAGTAGGGGCTGGGTAAAATAAGGGTAAGACCTTTTCGGCTGCATTCCCAGTAAGTTAGGCAATCCTAGCTGATAAAACAGGTTGTGGTAAAGAAGTCGGCCACATCCCACCAAAACCAAGATGGCGACAAAAGTGACCTTTCCTCATTATACACTCACTGCTCATTATACACTAATTATAATGCATTAGCATGCTAAAAGACACTGCCACCAGCACCACGACAGTTTACAAATGCCATGGCAACATCAGGGAGTTACTATATATGGTCTAAAAGCAGGAGGAGCCCTCAGTTCCAGGAATTGCCCACCTCTTTCTTGGAAAATTCATGAATACTCCACACTTTGTTTAGCATGTGATCAAGAAATAACCATAAAAATAGCCAACCAGCAGCCCTTGGGACTGCTCTGCCTATGCAACAGTCATTCTTTCGTTTCTTTATTTCTCTAAGAACCTTGCTTTCACTTTATGGATTTGCCTTGAATTCTTTCTTGCACAAAATCCAAGAATCCTCTCTTGGGGTCTGGCTCGGGACCCCTTTCCAGTAACACCTTGAGAAACTTACATTTTCTTATATTTATTTTATGTATTTTGTGTTTTTAGTTTATGAATAAGAGGTTGACCTTGTGGGGAAGAAAATTTTTTCCTCTGCTCTTAGGTTTTGTAATTGGGGGTCTAAAATTAAACTGACAAAAAACAGATTCACAAGAGAAAAGATGAATTTTAATCATGTACAGGCATTTACAAAGAAATGCAACTCAAAGAGGTGGATAGACTTTAGGGCTTTATACCACCTAATAGGTGACGCAGAGTGGGAAAAGAGTACTTACCAGGAAAATAAATGACTTCTTAGACGAGGGAAGGAAAAAGAGCACTTCTGGAAAAACAAATGACTTTCAGGAAAGATAAATGGGCCCTTAGGAGAACAGATGGGAGATATGACAGTTTTCTGATAATGTCTCTTTGGGTGTGCTGGCCAAATTCTCTCTCAAGATTAGAGTTGTTCCCAGGGAGGGGATTTATGATAACTGAGTTCTTTTGAGTTCTTTTGGGAGCCTCTGCTTTTAGGAAGATAAGGGACTTCAGGACCCCAAATGCTTTCAGCTCACAAAAATTTTTATGGCACAATGGCTTATTCTGGATCCCTTCAATTGTCTCGAATCTCAGGGCCTCCAAAGTTCTTGATAATGATGAGTGCTCTAGCTGGGTGCGGTGGCTCACGCCTGTAGTCCCAGCACTTTGGGACGCCAAGGTGAGTGGATCATGAGGTCAGGAGATGGAGACCATCCTGGCTAATGTGGTGAAACCCCATCTCTACTAAAAATACCAAAAATTAGCCGGACGTGGTGGCACGCACCTGTAGTCCCAGCTTCTCAGGAGGCTGAGGCAGGAGAATCACTTTGAACCCAGGAGGTGGAGGTTGCAGTGAGCTGAGATCGCGCCATTGCACTATAGCCTGGGCGACAGAGCAAGACTTCATCTCAAAAAAAAAAAAAAATTAGCCAGGTGTGGTGGCGCACACCTGTAATCCCAGCTACTCAGGAGGCTGAGGCAGGAGAATTGCTTGAACCCGGGAGCCGGAGGTTGCAGTGAGCCGAGATCTCACCACTGAACTTCAGCCTGGGCGACAGAGCAAGATTCTCTCTCAGGACAAAAAAAAAAAAAAAAAAAAAAAAAAGATTGCTGTAGATGTTGAAGTGTAAATCCTATGACTAATGGATTGAGCACAGATATGCAAAGTCATTGCAAGAGCCTCAGCTGGCCAGCAGGACTTGACTGCAACCTGATTTAAAGTATTAACATACCTAGGGCCGGGCTCAGTGGTTTGGTGGCTCATGCCTGTAATCCCAACACTTTCGGAGGCTGACGTGGGCAGATTACTTGAGGCCAGGAGTTCCAGATCAGCCTGGCCAACATGGCAAAACCCCGTCTCTACTAAAAATATAAAAATCTGCCGGACATAGTGGTGCACATCTGTAATCCCAGCTATTTGGGAAGGCTGAGGCACAAGAATCGTTTGAACCAGGGAGGCAGAGGTTGCGGTGAGCCAAGATCACACCACTGCACTCCAGCCTGGGTGACAGAGCAATACCCTGTCTCAAAAAAAAAATTTTTTTAAATAAGGTATTAACATATCTAAAGAAAGAATGTGTCACTTGGAAGAACTGCTGAGATTTCCCCTCCCAAATAATTACTGTGCTCCCCTATTGCTTGTCTATAAAGCAGACTTCCCATGGATGTTTATAAGTTTGAATTGGAATGAAATTGAGCAATATCACCACTTATTGAACACCAGATGTCAGACATTGTGCTAAAGGTCTTTAGTACATTATCTTGAGTCTCGCAATAGCCTGAAGTCAGTATTATTAACCCATATAACAAATTTTAGAGGGACAGTGTGTTTCCCAAGTGATAACCCAGGCTATCTGGTGGTAGAGCTAAGATCAGCCCTTGGAACCCAAGTTCCTATCCTTTATCTTGCCATATTCCAGTCTCTGTTCCAGGTATCCTTCACCCAGAACTTGAGTGGTTTGCCTGGGTTCCCTTGATCCTTCACCCAGAACTTGAGTGGTTTGCATGGGTTCCCTTGCTGAGACTTTTGCTCACTGTGACAATGAACCAGAGAAGTAGGAAATAAGCCCCCGCTCACCTGCCTCCCTTTTGGGTGACCCACAAGAACATAAATCTTGCAGGGTCTTTAGCATCCAAGATGCCTAAAAGCTAGGTGGTGTCAAACCTGTCATCCAAAAGACCACCAGGATGGCTAAATAGTGGAAAGGAGAGCTTTATTGGTGATACTGGTTTGCAACCCAGAAAGAGGAAGTCTCCAGTGTGGACAGAAGGTCCTGTCTCTTTGAAGTGAGGAAGGAAGCTTGGGTTTCTTGCTTCACAGGGCGTGTATCACACAACAGAGTCATACATATTCATCAGGTTTTGGGGAAAAGCTATACATAATTATGAAGGGAGCCTAGCGCATGGATGATGGATAAGCATATAGGTAACATATATTCCATGTTCACTTTGGGCAGGGTTTTGGCATAAAAATCAGATGGAATTTGGTGCTTTATGTGAAAAGGTGAACTAAAGCACACAAAGACAGTTTGTGTGCAGCTTCTGTAAGCTGGCTGAAACTGGCTTAAGGCTTAAGGTCTGAAGTAGCTTATTCAGGAAAGAATCTTTGTAAGGCTGGTCTGCTGTGCAGTCAGGGCTGTAGTGGTTTGGATTGTAAATCTGAGTTAGGAGAGGGCTGATATCTCTTATTGTTAGGGAGTTTAGAGCCTCAGGAATTTAGCAATTTGCCATGCTAGCTGGGTCCTGAACCCTCCACCAGTAGATAGACCCGTAGGTAACTTTGTTTCCTTAACCTTAGAACCTGTCTTAGTTGATAAAAGTGTGTCTATTTTGGTCTTCCAGATCGCAAACCCAAGCATTACTGCGGTGAAGCTAGAAAGCCCCTGTCTGAGCTGTTTCTGCAACTGACTGCCTGGGTGGTACAGGGGAAATAGTTAAACCTCCCTGAAGCTAATTTTCTCATTTTAAAATAAGAGCAGGCTGGACACAGTGGCTTATGCTTATAGTCCCAGTACTTTGGGAGGCCAAGGCAGGAGGATCACTTGAGGCCAGGAGTTTAAGACCAGCCTGGGCAACATAACAAGATCTTGACTCTATAGAAAATTCTTCAAATTAAAAATTAAATTAAAATGAGAGCAATAGACTAGATCGCTTCCCAGCACTACCATTCTGGGATTCTGTAGTTCAGTGAAAAAGATCAAAGTCTCCATAGAGGTAGAGGTTGCAAGGAGAGAGGCTGAATCCTCACTAAAGTTTTTCCAGTTCCAGTGATGGAGCTATTTTTAGATTTGATCAGGTTCTCTCATGCATGTTGCATATTGTAGGACGGTTTTCTGGGTCAACCTTTCTCAAGTAAACTGTCACTTAATCTCTGGCCAGGACAGTTGCCCCGATAGAGTAACAGCTTTTCCCACACTAGCACTGGCTATTTTGAGATTGCTTTGCCCCAGGTATGTGACTGGACTTCAAAGAACCGTGATGTAGGGGTCCACACATCCTTGGCTTGAAAGGGGTATCCTGGAGGGCGTAGTTCTAGTCTATCATATGTGGAGTTTCTCCTCTGTCTTCTAAACATGCGTTCATTCAGTAGTTCTTTTCTTGAGTGCCTACTTTGTGTTAGGAACTTAGAATAAAATGGTGAGCAAAAATACGCAGGACCCTTACCATCAAGAAACTTTCAGTCTATCAGGGTAAAAGACATTAATCAAGTAATCATACACATTTTTTATTGCTAGTGTAAGAAGTGCTATAAAGGAAAAGTATAGGATGCCCGAAGAGTCTCTAACTGGGAGGTCAGAGAAGGCTTCCTTGGGGAGCTGCCGTTTGAACTAGTTTGAAGGATAAGGAGTAGTTATATAAATGCCAGGGGAAAGGAAAAGCATTCTTGGCAAGGGAAAGGTTATGGGCAGAGGTCTGGCAGGAGGAATCATGAAACTAAAAGGAACCATGGCCAAGCGCAGTGGCTCACGCCTGTAATCCCAGCTCTTTGGGAGGCTGAGGCAGCTGGATGACGAGGTCAAGGGACTGAGACCATCCTAGCCAACGTGGTGAAACCCCATCTCTACTAAAAATACAAAAATTGGCTGGACGCAGTGGCTCATGCCTGTAATCCTAGCACTTTGGGAGGCCGAGGCAGGAGGATCACCTGAGGTTGGGAGTTTGAGACCACCCTGACCAACATAGAGGAAACCCCATCTCTACTAAAAATACAAAATTAGGCAAGCGTGGTGGCACATGCCTGTAATCCCAGCTACTCCAGAGGCTGAGGCAGGAGAATCGCTTGAATCTGGGAGGTGGAGGTTGCAGTGAGCCGAGATCACACCATTGGACTCCAGCCTGGGCAACAAGTGTGAAACTCCATCTCAAAAAAATAAAAAATAAAAATACAAAAATTAGCTGGGTGTGGTGCCACGTGCCTGTAGTCCCAGCTACTAGGGAGGCTGAGGCAGGAGAATCGCTTGAACCCGGGAGGCAGAGATTGCAGTGAGTTGAGATCCCGCCAGAGCACTCCAGCCTGGAGACAAAGCAAGGCTCCATCTCAAAAAAAAAAAAAAAACAAACAAACAAAAACTAAAAAGAGCCAGAGTAAGAGCACAGAGATCAAGGCAGTGTCAGGAGGAAAAACTTCCTCTATCCTCTTAACGTTTAGTATCAAGGAATCCATGAATTAAACTGGCAAAAGACAGATCAACAGGAAGAAACATTTGTTTGTATGCATACAGGAGCTTACAAAAGAAGTAGCACAATAAATGATTTAAGTTAGAGGCTTAAATTCCTAACTTAGGAGGGAAAAGGGAAGGGAGAGAAAAGGTCTTTATCACAAGACCAAATGAGTTTCTTTAGAAAAGACAAATGGGTTTCTGCAAGAAGAAATGAAAGATAAAAAAAAATTTGTGATAATGCGTGTTCATGCAGATATGAGTGTTCTTTCCATTTTCTTCAGTGGCCATAAAAAGTTCCCCCAGAGTGGGGATTTATGTAGGTTTATTCTTGATCTCCTTCCTGGGAGTAAAAGCTGCCCTGAAGAAGGAATTTATGACAGCCTCATTTCCCAAAAGTTTCTGCTTTTAGTCAGATAAGGGAAGCTCTGAGAAGGCTTCTTTCTACACTGGTTGAGCCTCAAATGTCTTCAGCTTAAAATAATCTTCATGTTAACTGGGAGGTTCTAAGTGGGTCTCCACAGGGGGCTGATGTAAAGTGATGCCAGAGAGGTACTGGCTAGACGATGGACAGCACAGCTCTGTTAGTTTCATGTTTTTCCTGAGAATAATGGGATGAATTAAAGCATTTTAAGCAGGAGTGCTGCAGGATTAGATTTTTATTTGCTGAACTTGGGGTGCATTGATGATAAACAGGCAGCTAGACGTGCCAGTTAGAACTCAAAGATAAGCTCTGAACATCCTTGTGAGTCATCTATGTATAGATGGTCATTATGGACCAGTGAGTGGATGAGATTGCATAAGGCAAAAATGTACAAGAAGATAATGTTCCTTTCCACCCATCTGTAGATTAAAAACAAACAACAACAACAAAAAAGAAAGAAAAAGAGAAGGTTTTAGGGAAGGAATGCTAGCTTTCAGGAACCAACCCATTTCTAGGTTTGCAGAGAGGACCTGTAAGAAATTATAACTATATTATTTGTATTACTTTATTGCAGCTCTAACCTTGGAATTATTTTATCTGACAAATTAAAAATCCTTGCCTTGGCTACTTTAAAGAAAGCAAAGGGACATAAAAATTCTTCAAAAATACAAAGTATTATAACATTGTTGCTGTGACCATACCATTGTTGGCTGAGGAGGGAAGGAAAGTAAAGGAGAGAAAAATATCATTTATGTAAGCTTACTCATGTAGCAGCCTCTGTGCCAGCCAACTGGCATTATCAATCCACACTAGATCATAATAAGATAGGTGCTATATCTCCACTTTACAGATGGGAAACTAAAGTGAGGCTCAGATAGGTAAAGAAATTGCCTAAAGTCTCATAGCTGGAATATAATAGAACTGAGATCAATACTCACATTCACACATCTGACACGGTGGCCTATGCTTTTTCTTTAAAAGTTTGTTTTCTCCCCTACTGTGCAACCCCACTCTACTACACACACAAGAAAAAGATTTTTCAACTCAAACCGTGCAACACAATATCAAAGAAATATCAAATATCCTAAGTCATAAAGGTGTGGCCTGGGCCACTTTTTCAGACTCCTCCAGACTGATAGAGCTGTTGCTCTGACACTAGGGAAATTAAGAAGCTTGTCGGCTTGGGTCCTTGCTGTTCCGCTTCTGGGCATGCAGTTTGGCAAACAGTGTTATATTATTTATTGACTTGTAGATGTCATCACAGATTTTTTACAGGAAGGATTGGTGGCTGTTTCATTTAAAGAGTTAGAAATTTACAAAATTCCTCTCTCTGGGCCATGCAGATCAAATCCAATTCCGTCAAAGGAATTCCTGAGCTCAGCCAATCAAGACTTCTACCTTTCAACCGCTTTTCTTAAAATACAGGAATAATGTTCAATAGAACAGTGAGGAAAAATTTTGGACGGCAAAGGTGTGTAGTTGTTCGACAAATATATACTGGGAGCCTTAAATGCTGTGGAGGATACAAATATATCCAAGTCCAGTTCCTGCCCTCAAGGCCAACCTACCAGGAATTGCAAGTGAGGAAGGTCAGAGAGGTTAGAGTGACTAGGGTGTCACAGGAGAGGAGATGCTTGAAATTTGAAGAATAGGCATGGTTCAGATGGGTGCATAGGAGAACATTCCAGGCAGAGGGAATCACATGAACAAAGGCACAGGGTAAGAACTAAGAAGAACAGGTTTAGGAATAGGGACAGGACCTGCCTGAGTGTGCGTTGTTCCCCATGTTGGGGAACAATGGTTGGATATGTGGATTAGGGGCACAGAATGGAGAGCATTGATTGCTGAGTCAACTTAACCCAGAGTTTCTCAACCTCATTGCTATTAACATTTTGAACCGGATCTTTTTTTTTTTTTTTTTTTTTGAGACAGAGTCTTGCACTGTCGCTCAGGCTGGAGTGCAGGGGCACGATCTCAGCTCACTGCAACCTCTGCCTCTAGGTTCAAGCCATTCTCCTGCCTCAGCCTCTCAAGTAGCTGGGATTACAGGCACCCACCACCACACCTGGCTAATTTTTGTATTTTTAGTAGAGGCGGATTTCACCATAATGGCCAGGTTGGTCTCGAACTCCTGACCTCAGGTGATCCACCTGCCTTGGCCTCCCAAAGTGCTGGGATTGCAGGTGTGAGCCACCACACCCAGCCCGTATCATTTATTTTGTGTGTGGGGTGAGGGGAACAGGGAAACCATCTGTGCATTGTAGGATAGTTAACAGCCCACCCGATTTCTACTCACTAAATGCCAATAGTACTCTCATCCCCAGTTGTGTGCTCTGCCCCCAAATCATGACACAAAAAATTTCTTCAGGCCAGGCACAGTGGCTCAAGTCTGTAATCCCAACACTTTGGGAGGCCAAGACGGGAGGATCACTTGAGCCCAGGAGTTTGAGACCAGCCTGGGCAAGAAAGTGAGACCCTGTCTTTACAAAACAAAATTTAAAAATTTGCTGGGCATCGTGGCGCTTGCCTGTAGTCCCAGCTACTTGGAAAGCTGAGGTGGGAGGATGGCTTGAGCTGCGGGGGATCAAGTCTGCAGAGAGCTGTGATTGTGCCACTGCACTCCAGCCTAGGCAACAGAGCAAGACCCTATGTTAAAAAAAACAAAAAAAAAGTCTTCAGACATTGCCAAATGTCCCCTGGGGTGTAAAATTGCTCACTGGGTTGAGAGCCACTGGGTTAAGACATTGTGATAGTGTATGTGATGTGCATGTGATTTTTCTGAGTCAACAGGTCCTCTGTGAGCTGATTCGGTTCTTCCATATGCCATCAGGGCTCCTGTGCTCGTGGCCCTAGGACAGCGACCTGCAGCCCAAGAGAAACCATCCTCCTGTTGGACTTCTGGGCCCAATTGCGAATGGTTCCTTACTCACCACCCACTACTTCAACATGCCTGGAAAATGCCACTAGGGGAGAAAGAACAGGTAAATACAGCAAGCTAAGGGTAACAAGGATGGTCTGGTCTCTGAGTAGAGATAAAACACCGAGAACAAAGATACAAGCAAAAACGTGGAAAGCTCTGAAGCAATTTATTATTAACATCAGTAGAGCCCAGTAGCAATGAAACAACACATTGTGGCCAGGCACGGTGGCTCACGCCTGTAATCACGATACCTTGGGAGGCTGAGGTAGGAAGATCTCTTGAGCCTAGGAGTTTCAGATCAGCCTAGGCAACACAGTAATACTCTGTCTCTACAAAATAATTTAAAAATTAGCTGGGCGCAGGGATGCATTCCTGCAGTCCCAGTTACTTGGGAGGCTGAGGCAGGAGGATCACTTAAGCTGGAAGGTTGAGACTGCAGTGAGCCATAATTGCACCACTGCACTCCAGCTTGGGTGACAGATTGAGACTGTCTCCAAAAAAAAAAAAAAAAAAAAAAAAAAGGAAAGAAAAATAAAGCAACATGTTGTGCTAGTCCCAGAGCTGGGCAGTGAAATTCTGCCCAATTAGGCCTGGCATTGAGCCAACTAGAGCCCCTGATTAACACCAGTGAGGATGTTTAGAGAGGGTGACACATGTTTTCTTCTCCTCTATGCCAGGCAGGTTGTTGATATAAGTACACTGTGAAAATGTTTACCATTATTCTGCCTTCACCTAATTAGAGCTTTTGGACCACAAACTTTACCCAGAGAATTTGACATTCAGAATGGAATGTAAAAGTGCAACATTGGAATACAGCTTGTGTATAGCTGAGTGACCTCATGGAACTGAGGCTTCCATCTCCCTGCAAGCCTGCCTGCAACCTGTTCCCTTCTGGTTTTGTTTGGTTGACAAGGCTAGTGAAATACCCATGGTGGAGGCTCAGAATCTTTTTGCAATTTCCTATCCCTGGGATGTTTGAAAGGCTAAATCTCCATGATAAGGATAGCTAGCATTTATTGAGTATTTGCTACCTTAAAAGATATTGCAATGTTGTGGCAAGTGAGGAAGCTGAGGCTTGGAGATGGTAGATGGTCTGCCAAGGACACACAAATCGTCAACTGTACAGTGAGAATTTTTTATTTTTTTATTTTTTTAGACAGAGTCTCCCTCTGTTACCCAGCCTGGAGTGCAGTGATGCGATCTCAGCTCACTGCAACTTCTACCTCCTGGGTTCAACAATTCTCCTGCCTCAGCCTCCCGAGTAGCTGGGATTACAGGCATGCACCACCATGCCCGGCTAATTTTTGTATTTTTAGTAGAGACGGTGTTTTACCATGTTGGCCAGGCTGGTTTTGAACTCCTGACCTCAAGTGATCTGCCCACCAGGACCTCCCAAAGTGCTTGGATTACAGGCATGAGCCACCACGCCCGGCCGTACAGTGAGAATTTGAACCCAGTTCTGTATGACTCCTGAATCCTCTTAATTTCCACACTACATCAGTATTCAACAGTCAGGACTGCCTACACAGGCTGCTTGATGGAGCTTCCCTGGCCTCCACAAAGAGAACCTCTCTCCATTAAGATTTGCTTTACATTAAGACTGGGACTTGCAGCACCTTGTCTGAGTCCCCTCCCTGACCAGCTTCCTTCTAGTAGCAGTTGTGAACTCAGTACTGCTTTCCTCTTACTCCAAAAAGTGCTGCTCTTTTCTTAAAAAAAAAAAAAAAAAAAAGTTTCTTCTGGTTATTTTTCACTGTAGAAGATTAAGAAAATCCTGAAAAGCACAGGAAGAAAATAAAATAATCCATAATTACGAAATTGAGATAATCTTTTAAAACAGCTTGATATATTTCCTTCGTGTACAAGGTGTTTTTCAGAGGCCTGTGGATCCCAGCCCCTCCACCAGCTCCTGACTCATGAGCTTCTCCCGGAAGCTTCTCCCTTTACTCTCATGGGCAAAGACTTCCTCCCTCAATCCCTCAAAGTGACCCCACAAGGACATAAGGCTATACCCTGCCACCTTCTCTTTTTTTTTTTTTTTTTTTTTTTTTGAGATGGAGTCTCGCTCTGTCACCCAGGCTGGAGTGCAATGGCACGATCTCGGCTCACTGCAACCTCCGCCTCCCGGGTTCAAGCGATTCTCCTGCCTCAGCCTCCTGAGTAGCTGAGATTACAGGCACATGCCACCATGCCGAGCTAATTTTTGTGTTTTTAGTAGAGACGGTGTTTCACCATCTTGGCCGGGCTGGTCTCGAACTCGTGACCTCATGATCCACCCACCTCGGCCTCCCAAAGTGCTGGGATTACAGGTGTGAGCCACCATGCCCGGCTTATCCTGCCACCTTCTAGCCTCAACTGAAAGTCAGAATTCTGGAGCCAAATTTTGGAGACATGTGGAGAACTGATACACAACAATTGTTACACTCTTTCCTCACTAAACTTTTTAAATTTTTTTTTTCATTTTTTATTTTTGGAGACCGTGTCTTGCTGTCACTCAGGTTGGAGTGCAGTGGCACGATCACAGCTCACTGCAGTCTTGACCTTCCAGGCTTAGGTGATCCTCCCACCTCAGCCTGCCGAGTAGCTGGGACTACAGGTGTGCACCAGCACGCCCAGTTAGTTTTTGTATTTTTAGTAGAGACGGGGTTTCACCATGTTGGCCAGGCTGGTCTCAAACTCCTGACCTCAGGTGATCCACCCAGATGATCCACCCGCCTCAGCCTCCCAAAGTGCTGGGATTACAGGCATGAGCCACTGTGCCCAGCTGATTACTCTTGTCTCCTGCTAAATCACAGACGTTTGGGGAGTTCCTTCAGGACCCCAATAAACTTGTCTGTGGAGGCCTGGGGAGTCTCTTCAGACCCCCAATAAAATTTGTTTAATCCTAAATGGATCCTGTTAAGAATTCCTCCATTATTTTGTCACGCTTTAAGGCCCAGGAAAGGCCTAGGCAAAACTCTTGGTGGGCTTTTGTTACATTCCAGTCTTTGTATAAGGGCACTGGCCCTTTCAGCTTTTAATATTTAACTTAACTACTCAGTCAGTACTTTCACAGTTGTTATGGAAGCCTGAGGATCTTGCCACTGCGCTCTAGCCTGGGTGACAGAATGAGACCCAGTCTAAAAAAAAGAAAAAAGAAAGAAAAGAATGTCCTGTATTCACACAACCACCACAGAACTGGACCTTCTTGAACAGTGCAGCATGGCTCATTCCTTCATTCTTTGATATCCCAACCCCTGCTCAGCATCTGCAGCATGGGGCACAGAGCAGGCACACCCTCCAATGCTGCTCTGTTCACTAGACGGCAGCTTTCTCCTCAGCCCTCAGTGTTCGGCTTGTGCACAGAAAACGTGAATCTAGATAATAAGAGCAAAGAACATCTCCACGGGACATAAGTAAACCACCACACCCCACCCACCTCTATCAACCTTATCTGCTTACTTGGAGCTCTGATCTCTAACAGGCAATTAATCCTCCCTTGTGGAACTCAAAAGTCACCTACCCATTCCCCAGGGAGCTGGGTGATAAGAAAGCGCAAAGTTTAGGATTACTCTTTGATAAGAGTCTTGCTTAAACAAGATCACATACAAAAGCCTGTCTGATCCCCACACCCTTCTCCCCTGGCTCCCCTCTCTCCTTTCTTCCTCTCTTGCTTGTAAGATTGCAAGATTGTGCAAGCCAACCCACAGACTTGGGCTCTGAAAGGCCTAATGCAAATTGCTTTTAGACACACACATTTCTTTCCCAGCCCTCTGTATTAGTCCACTCCCCACCCAGCAGGCCTCACCCTTACCCCCTACCTGGGAGTTGACGCTTGGGGCTCCCCTGGGAGCTGATTGCCCTGGTCTGCTCCTGGCCACTTCCCATTGGTGCTTGCTCATTTACATTTTAAAATTAGAGCAGAGTTCAACACTGTGGTTGGCTTTAGTGGCTCTATGAATTGTCCTACCCTGGTGAGAAAAATGCAGACAATATAGCCACCTGGGAAAACTTTGCTCCTAAAATAGCGCAGCCCCCACAGCATTCTGGCAACAGGTTGCTCTGTGGTGAGTCTCTGGCTCTGGGCTGATAGAAACACCCGGGGATGTAAATAGCAATGAGAAAAGGCCACTTGTACCACGATGACGTTTCGTGTTGGCGGGTTCTACCCCCACCCCAACCCCACCTAAGTTCTCTATTTTTGTTTTGCTTAAACTTCAGCTCACAGCATAAACACCCAGGGTTGAGGCTCCATTCTGCCCTAGAGCTGTGAGTGCAGGGTGAGGGGTTGTGGTGTCCTGTTCCTCCTACCATGTCCCAGCCCCTCTGTTTCAGTCTCAGCACTGTCCTCCCAGACCCTCCCTTCTGAAGGTCAGTTCCCTCTGCTGCAAAGTGGGAATAACAGCATTCGTTGGGAGGGTTGAATGAGTTGACAAAACCCATGCCTGGCACAGTGCCCGCCTGTGGCAGGCTGCAGTGTCTCAGGCCATGATTAAGACAGGGTTGTGGCAGTGATGCAGGTGCACACAGTGGTGAAGAAGCAGACGGTGGGGACCCTCTTGGCAGTCCCCGACCACACAGATGCATGGCAGGACCAGGAGGTGGGGGGCCTCAGGCTGAAACGGCCATCTCCCCAACTCCTCCTTGTTTGTCGGATTCCAGGCCAGCGCCTGGCAGCCCTTCGGCACAGAACTTCTTGTACATTCCACAGCAAGTGAAAGGGCTTTTGTCCCCACACAGGAAGAACAAATGACAAAGGCAATTGTGTGTCTCCCCACGGGCCCACACAGCAAGCTTGGGAAGAGAAAATTCTTTCCCCAAGAGTCCAGCTTTGCTGGAGCGGTTGCAGTCACAGATCAGTCAAACTGTGGCACAGCTCTGGAAGAGTGTGGCATCTGAGCTCCCACATGTGTGGCAGGGTGCTCATCGCACGCCCAGCACACACACATGTGCACAAACTCCAACACATTGCTCCTGCCCAGACTAGCTGGGCAGTGCGTCACAGATGCTCTAGCTGCAGGGGCTCAGGAGGGCATCACACCCACCCCCTTCAGGAGGTTATGGCTTTATTATTCCCTGATATGGTTTGGCTGTGTCCCTACCCAAATCTCATCTTGAATTGTAGCTTCCATAATTCCCACGTGTTGTGGGAGGGACCCGGTGGGAGATAATTGAATCATGGGGGCAGTTTCCCCCATATTGCTCTCATGGTAGTGAATAAGTCTCATGAGATCTGATGGTTTTATAAGGGGAAACCGTTTTCGCTTGGCTCTCATTCCCTCTTGCCTGCTGCCATGTAAGACGTGCCTTTGCTCCTCGCCTTCCTCCATGATTGTGAGGCCTCCAGCCATGTGGAACTATGAGTCTATTAAACTTCTTTTTTTTATAAATTACCCAGTATGGGCATGTCTTTATTAGCAGCATGAGAACAGACTAATACATTCCCCTTCCCAGGTGGGCCACAAAGGCCCAGAGGGTCCTACAACTCGCCATGGGTCTCACCGTGCTTGTCCTTTTCAGGCCTCATGGCCCACACTGTGAAGAATGTTAGGCACTATCAGAGAAAGATCTGTTTTCAAGAAGTCTATCCTGAAGGCCCTTCAAACACATAGTCATTGAGGGCCTATGAGAGGGTGGAGACTCCAGACTACCCACAGGAGATAAATTATACTGAAGAAATCATTCTCACTGGGACAGGATAGATCTCTCCTTTTACCATTTTTTTTCCATCCTTATTTTTCGTATTCTCTTGTAATTATCATAATAGGAAGCTGAGGGTTTGGAAGATTTTAAAATTTGTTAAAGGAAAAAACTTTTCTTATCAAATGAAATTATTATGCATCACTTTATTGGACCCCATGAATGGAATGGAATAACCCAACCCATTTCTGCTGCAGACTTGGCTGCCAGAGCCCTTGGTTGCTGAGTTTAGTGATCAGTCACAGTAACCAGTTCGTCCCAGGTACATCTGGTGCTCCTAATAGATGTCTGGCCTGGCATCTGCTTTTATGTTTTGTGTCTTGTTGTATCTTGAACTTAAATTTCATAAGTGATCTTTGTGCTGTGCAAAAAACTTTCATTGGCCTAACAGAGTTGGGAAATCTAGATGTTATTCCCAGTTCTGCCTGACTGACCAGTTCCACCTTGAGCAAGACATTCCCTCTATCTGGGCCTCTATTTCCTCATTTTGAAACCTATCTGTGTCTCCCAGACTTTCCTGTAACAGAATAACCTTGAGTGTTTGTTAAATATACAAAGTCACAGGCCCCTTCCCTAAATCAGGGGTGGGGACAGGGAGCTGGAATCTGTATCTTTAAACCTAGCATCCTGGTGGATTCTAATCATCTGGCAAGTTCAAAACATGAACACCAGATGGTTACCAAAGTACCATTCTATGCTATGATCTATAATTTATACAAATAATCTCTTAGAAGAAAGGAGATGAAGTTTGGTACAGATTTTGAAATCACGTGTCTTGTTCTTTACTGAATGTAGTTTATCATGATCCTCAGTTTTCATTTATAAACACACACAAGGGGGAACATTTTGTATATTCCTTTGCAAGGTGAAAAACCCAACCCAGGTGCTTGTTCCTCCTGTGGCTTTCCACTGGATTTTTACCAGGGTTGGGCCCCCGACTCCTACCCGTGGAGGCTGTGCTTCCTAGGAAGCTCGATGCATGTTTCCCCAGACACCTGCATGACTCATTCCATCACCGCCCTCTCTTGGGTGTTGACTCAAACGTCAGCTTATCAGTGAGGACTTCCATGGGGCTAATATCACAGCTCCCTCTCCAACATTTCCTATCCTCCTCCCTACTTTGTTTTTCTACTTAGCGCTCATCACTATTTAACCCACTGGAAATTTTACTTGTTTATTTTGTTTGCCATCTGTCTCCCCAACTAGAGATAAACTCCTCAGGGACTTCTCTCTGTTGTGTTCCCTGCTATAGCCCTCAATGCCTGAACTGAGACATAGTAGGTGCTCAATAAATATCTGCAGACTCAATGAATGAAATGCTTGCTGGATAAAGGAATGAATGAATGAACTTCCTGGATTGGTGTAGGTATTTGACTGTCTGTACAGTCAGAGGGACAGCCCCTCTAATCCCAGGCCATGCTCCAGCCTTCTCACAACTGTGCTCCTGGCCTCTGGGCTCATGCACACACTGGTCACATCTGAACCCCATGACTGAGCTGCCCCTTAGGTAACTGCATATCCTCTGTCCTCAGTCTCTCTCTGTGGGAAAGCTGGGGGTTACATGGAGCTCCACCCCTGCTCACAGCACATCCCTTGATGAATGCTGACTGTATCCTTTCACCCCAGCTGCTCCCCACCCTTCTTACTCTCCCACTGGGACCACTGAGAGCTTGGTTGCCTTTGCTCCAGTAGGGGGCTGTCCAACACTCAGCCACACTCCTGAGCCTTTCTCTAAAAACAAAATTTTCTGGCTGGGCACAGTGGCTCACACCTGTAGTCCCAACACTTTGGGGGGCTGAGGCGGGTGGATCACTTAAGCCCACGAGTTCAAGACCAGCCTGGGCAACATGACAAAACCCAGTCTCTACAAAAAATACAAAAAGTAATGAGGTATGGTGGTACACAGCCACTCAGGTGGCTGAGGTTGGGGGATCACTTGAGCCTGGAAGGTGGAGACTGTAGTGGCCAAGATTGTACCACTGCACTCCAGCCTGGGCAACAGAGTGAGACCTATCTCAAACAAACAAACAAACAAACACAAACAATTTCAGTCTGGCAAGAAAGCAAGTCCCCATCTTTACAAAAAAAAAATTAAAAGTTGGCTGGGCACGGTGGCTCATGCCTGTAATCCCAGCACTTTGGGAGGCTGAGGCGGGGGGATCACCTGAGGTCAAGAGTTTGAGACCAGCCTGGCCAACATGGTGAAACCCCATCTTGACTAAAAATACAAAAATTAGCCGGTTGTGGTGGCAGGCGCCTGTAATCCCAGCTACTCAGGGGATCGAGGCAGGAGAAACGCTTGAACCTGGGAGGCAGAGGTTGCAGTGAGCCGAGATGGCGCCACTGCACTCCAGCCTGGGGGACAAGAGCGAGACTTCGTCTCAAAAAAAAAAAAAAAATTAAAAATCAAGAATCAGCTGAGTGTGGTGGCACATGAAGTTCCTGCTACACGGGAGTCAGGCAGGAGGATTGCTTGAGCCCAAGAGATCAAGGCTGCAGTGAGTTGTGGATTGCACCATTGCCCTCCATCCCAGGTGACAGAGCAAGACCCTGTCTCGAAAATAAATAGCCGAGAGCGGTGGCTCAAGCCTGTAATCCCAGCACTTTAGGAGGCCAAGGCGGGCGGATCACGAGGTCAGGAGATCGAGACCATCCTGGCTAGAACAGTGAAACCCCATCTCTACTAAAAATACAAAAAAATTAGCCAGGCGTGGTGGCGGGTGCCTGTAGTCCCAGCTACTCAGGAGGCTGAGGCAGGAGAATGGCGTGAACTCAGGAGGCAGAGGTTGCAGTGAGCCAAGATCATGCCACTGCACTCCAGCCTGGGCCACAGAGCAAGACTCCGTCTGTAAAAAATATATAAATAAATAAAAAATAAATAAATCTTTATTATTAAAAAGACAGCTACTGGCACCTAGAGGGATGAAACAGAGTCCCAGAGCTATGAAGGAGGTGGGATTAAGCAGGGTCCGTTAACTTGAGTCTCTTGAGCTGGGGCCTAGAGAAACTGGTTCAAGTACTTGTGGCTCTTTGACCATAACTGGCCTAGGTCTTAATATGAGTGAGCATTTGAACTAGGAAAAAATGGGCACAAATACCCACTGCAGAAAGTTTATAACAAACAGGTAAACAAAAAGAAGAAAAACAACTACAGCCAACACACAGAATGCTTACTAGTGCCAGCTGTTCTAAGGGCATTTACATTGACCAACTTGTTTAATCACATCACAATCTGTAGAAGCAAAAAATTGCCCTGCTTCCAAAGTTAGCAAACATTTAGTATGCCATTGTCAGGAAAACAAAAACAAAATATTTTGCAACCCAAGATAAACCAAAACTAGCAGGTTCAACTCCAACTAGTTGTTGTACCCAGAATAATAAAACCTTGATTATTGTCAGTGAACTTTAGACTCCTTAACAAATACAATTCCTGGCCAACCATGGTGGCTCACGCCTGTAATCCCGGCACTTTGGGAGGCCAAGGTGAACAGGTTGCCTAAGCTCAGGAGTTTGAGATCAGCCTGGGCAACACAGTGAAACCTCGTCTGTACAAAAAATTTAAAAAATAATAATAAAATAGCCGGGCAGCTACTTGAGGGGCTGAGGTGGGAGGATCACTTGAGCCCGGAAGGTTGAGGCCGCAGTGAGCCGAGATTACACCACTGTACTCCAGCCTGGGTGACAGAGCGAGACCCTGCTCTGAAAAAACAAACAACAACAACAAAAATTCCTGTCCCTAGTTTTTGTTATGCTGGTGTCTAAAGATGTCGTGGCCTTAGTAAATGTAGTAATCATGTGAGAAAGTCATTGTTTTTCATAATGGGCAGACAAATGTAAACTATATTAGTTTCCCAGTTGCCATAACAAGTTAGCACAAACTTGGTGGCTTGAAACAACAGAAATTTACTCTCTCATAGTTCTGGAGACAAGAAGTCCAGAATCAAGGTGTTGGCTGGGCCATGCCCTTCTGAAGTGTCTAGGGGAGGCTCCTTCCTTGCCTCTGCTGGCTTCTGGTGGGTGACTCCAGGCATTTCTTGTCTGTGGCCTCATCACTTCCATCTCAGCCTCTGTCTTCATGCGGCCTTCTCCTCTGTCGCCCTTGTCTTCTCCTGTTCTGCCTCTTATCAGAACTCTTGTCATTGGATTTAGAGCCCATGTCAATAATCCGGGAGGATCTCATTTCAAGATCCTTAAATTAATTACATCTGCAAAGACCCTTTTTCTAAATAAGGTCACAGCTTCCAGGGCTTAAATCATGGGCGTATCTTTTCGGGGGCCACCATTCAACCGATTATATTAGCTCTGGTGGTCTTGAGGGTTTGTTTGTTTTACTGAAATGCTACAGTTATGTTTTTATATTTGGAGGGTCAGTCCTGAAGTTTAACTCTTGCACTCTTCGCAAGTCATTTGTTGCCTTCCTTTTCTGAAGATTTTGCCTCAGAGTTTTTCTTTGACAAACCTATGGTGATGTGGGTTGGTGCCATTATTATCCCTGATTTATTTATTTATTTATTTAGAGATGGAGTTTCGTTCTTGTTGCCCAGACTGGAGTGCAGTGGCGCGATCTCGGCTCGTTGCAACCTCTGCCTCCCTGGTTCAACAGGTTCTCCTGCCTCAGCCTCCCAAGTAGCTGGGATTACAGGCATGCACCACCACGCCCAGCTAATTTTGTATTTTTAAAGTAGAGATGGAGTTTCACCATGTTGGTCAGGCTGATCTCGAACTCCTGACCTCAAGTGATCCACACACCTCGGCCTCCCGAAGTGCTGGGATTACAGGCGTGAGCCACTGCGCCTGGCCTAACTTTTTTTTTTGAGACAGTTTTGTTCTGTCGCCCAGACTGGAGTGCAGTGCCACGATCTCAGCTCACTGCAGCCTCCACCTCCCGGGTTCAAGTGATTCTCCTGCCTCAGCCTTCCAAGTAGCTGGGACTACCAGCGTGCACCACCACCCCCAGCTAATTTTTGTATTTTTAGCAGAGATGGGGTTTCGCCATGTTGGCCAGGTTGGTCTCCTGACCTCAGGTGATCCACCCACCTCAGCCTCCCAAAGTGCTGGGATTACAGACGTGAGCCACTGCACCCAGCCCCACTTAACCTTTTAAATGCCCAATGGCCCTGGCTCCACCCTTCCTGTGCTCCCTCCCTTCCTGTGCTCCCTCCCTTCCTCCCTCCACCATCTCATTTTCATCCCGTTCCCATGCTACCCCTTAAAGTTAGGCCAAAGAGTTGTTAGAAAAACTATAGACTTCACCATCAGACAATCTGAATTTAATTCCTCACTAACTCTGTGAACTTGGGCCAATTATAAAATCCCTTTGAGCTTCAGTTTCCTCATCTATGAAATGGGGATAAAGATATTTAGCTGATATAATCATACTTGGTTGATAGGGTTGCTGTGCTAATTATTTAAATTAAAGGTACTTAATAAATGCAAGTTCTACATTTTTCCTCGGAAAGAGTCTGCCCTTATTTAAGTCTCAGCATAAATGTTATTTTATTATTACTATTACTTTTTATTTTGAAATAGAGTCTTGCTCTGTTGCCCAGGCTGGAGTGCAGTGGTGCGATCTCAGATCACTGCAACTTCCACCTCCTGGGCTCAGTGATTCTCCTGCCTCAGCCTCCCAAGTAGCTGGGATTACAGGCATGGGCCACCACATCTAGCTAATTTTTGTATTTTTAGTAGAGATGGGGTTTTGCCATGTTAGCCAGGCTGGTCTCCAAAACTGACCTCAAGTCATCCGCCTGCCTTGGCCTCCCAAAGTGCTGGAATTATAGGCGTGAGCCACTGCACCAGGCCTCTGTTATAAATTTTAATCATAGCTTCTTTTTCCCTGTCTGGGTATTAATAATAATAATAATTATTATTATTATTATTATTATTATTATTATTTTGAGACGGTGTTTTGCTCTTGTTGCCCAGGCTGGAGTGCAATGCTTCGATCTTGGCTCGCCAAAACCTCAGCCTCCCTGGTGCAAGTGATTCTCCTGCCTCAGCCTCCCAAGTAGCTGGGATTACAGGCATGCACCACTACGCCTGGCTAATTTTGTATTTTTTAGTAGAGACGGGGTTTCTCCACGTTGGTCAGGCTGGTTTCGAACTCCCGACCACGGTGATCCACCCGCCTCGGCCTCCCAAAGTGCTGGGATTACAGATGTGAGCCACCGCACACAGCCTACATTTTATTATTAAAAATCATCTTTTTTTGCTGGGCACCGTGGCTCATGCCTATAATCCCAGCACTTTAGGAGGCCAAGGCAGGTGGATCACTTGAGGTCAGGAGTTTGAGACCAGCCTGGGCCAACATGCCCATCTCTACTAAAAATACAAAAATTAGCCGGGCGTGGTGACACACACCTGTAATCCCAGCTACTTGTGAGGTTGAGGCAGGAGAATGGCTTGAACCTGGGAGGCGGAGTTTGCAGTGAGCTGAGATCAGGCCACGGCACTCCAGCTTGGGCGACAGAGAGAGATTCCATCTCAAAAGATAAAATTATCTTTTCTTCGTTTTTACTACAAAAGCAAGGCATGTTAATTTGCTGAAAACCCAAAGAAGCAAAAAGAAAACATAAAAAACACCATAACCCTACCATCAGCATATTTACAATAAACAACGACTTGTTGAGTAGTATAAGCCAGAAAATGTGATCAGCCTATTATGTTATTTTTAAATTTAATCCTCACAACCTATAGATACTATTTAAATCACCATCCAGCATGTGATTAAACAAGGCCGGGCGCAGTGGCTCACACCTGTAATCCCAGCACTTTGGGAGGCGGGTCACTTGAGGCCAGGAGTTGGAGACCAGCCTGGCCAACATGATGAAACCCCATCTCTACTAAAAATACAAAATTTAGCTGGACACGGTGGCACATGCCTGTAATCCCAGCTACTTGGGAGGCTGAGGCAGGAGAATCACTTGAACCCGGGAAGTGCCAGTTGCAGTGAGCCAAGATGGCGCCACTGCACTCCAGCCTGGATGGCAGAGTGAGACTGTCTCAAAAATAAAAATAAATTAAAAATTTAAAAATTTTTAAAAAACATATGATTAAACAAAATTTCAGAGAGGTTAGGTATCCTGCCCAAGTTCACACAGCCAGTGAGGAGCCCAGCTGGGATTTGCACCCAGGTCTGTCAACTTGAACTGTAAAGATTTATTCCCTATTTAGAGGCTTGTTTTTTGTTTCTTGTTTTTTGTTTGAGACGGAGTCTCACTCTGACGACCAGGCTGGAGTGCAATGGCACAATCTCGGCTCACTGCAACTTCTGCCTCCTGGGTTCAAGTGATTCTCCTGCCTCAGACTCCCGAGTAGCTGGGATTACAGGTGCGTGCCACCATGGCCAACTAATTTTTGTATTTTTAGTAGAGATGGGGTTTCACCATGTTGGCCAGGCTTGTCTTGAACTCCTGGTCTCAAGTGATCCGCCTGCCTCAGCCTCCCAGAGTGCTGGGATTACAGGCATGAGCCACTGCGCCTAGCTATTTAGAGGTTTTCAGGAAGCTGAGAGGGTATTTGGGAGCCAAGAGCTGTTTCTGGGGCCCAGAAGTATCCATCTTTCAGCAGTCTCAGCTCAGGAGTTCCCTGCCTGGCTGGCTATCCCTGGCCATCCCCGGCTGCACCCACCTGCCCGCCAGCCTTTCTCAGTTGCATCATCCTTACTGGCTGCAACTGCAATATATTCGCCTGTAGCCCTGTGGGGGCTACTACAGAACACAAACAGAGCCCTGGCTGGTGAGACTGCTGACACAAGAGCCAGAGGCTTTGCTCCTTTTTTTTTTTTTTTTTTTTTTTGAGACAGAGTCTCCCTCTGTTGCCCAGGCTGGAGTACAGTGGTGCAATCTCAGCTCACTGCAACCTCTGCCTCCGGGTTCAGGTGATTCTCATGCCTCAGCCTCCTGAGTAGCTGGGATTACAGTCATGCGCCACCACACCCAGCTAATTTTTGTATTTTTAGTAGAGATGGAGTTTACCCATGCTGGTCAGTCTGATCTGGAACTCCTGATCTCAAACGATCCGCCCGCCTCAGCCTCCCAAAGTGCTGGGATTACAGGCATTAGCCACCACGCCCAGCCCCATCACTACTTTGTAAACTGACGGGCAAGTCCCTTGAGAATCCCCATCTCTCACAGAAGTAATAGCAATTAGTTTTTCCTGTGGTTCTGAAGGAAGTAAAGTATTATATACAAGACCACCCAGATAGTTTAAATGCCATATAACATGGAATATAATGTTACTGAGATAACTAAAGGCAAAAATAACCTGTATATAACATGCTTACAATGTTCAAAGGGTAGCTGATGACTTTAGATTTGAGAACACACGCAGGCAGACCCATCAATACCCAAGGAATACCTTAGTCACAGAATAGGAATAGGCAAATGCATATTGATCAGAAAATGTACCTGACATGCAAACCCAGAACAGGTGAGTTTGATGTGGCAATGGACGGAGGAAAGCTGGAACCCTGAGGTTAAGACTGAGATTGGGCTGGAGTCCGGAGAGTCTGGGCTGAGGGTAGAATTCCCACTTATTATGGGATCCAGTGGGACCCTTCATAGAAGAGGCTGAGTTTCATAATCCTGGTCTATCTGATTTGGAGAGTTCCTGGAATCTGGGGAGACACCCCACAGGCTTTGTCTGAGGACTATTTGCAGTTCTTTGAACCTCAGAATAGGAAGACTGAAGTGAGAACTCAGAGCAGAGAGTAAGCCAAGGCTACTTTGAATGCTCAAAACCAGGGAATGGGTCCTACTGCTTTCCAAGTGTAAGCATGGCCAGCCCAACCAGCCCAGAGCCCTCAAAGTCAAGCCCCTCACTGGTCAGCCTCATGGCATTCTTGATCTAATGCCCTGTGGCTTTAAACTGCCAGCTTTTGCAAAAGGAAGAAGAAAGTCCTGTATTTCTTCTGGACTCCTACAGGCTCTTTGAAACAATGCTGTTTCTGTTTGAGATGATGATACCCTGAAAGCACCTGTGCACTCCTGCAACTTGTCATGTGCCCATTGAATAACAAATTGACCAACTGACATTCTTAGAGACGCCACTGAAGACCTAGTGCTGGGTTGGACCTATGGGGAGACCCAGAGGTTCATAACTCTGTCTCTGCCCTCAAGGAGTTTAGCATCCAGGGATTTAGGTGGTATTTGGGTCACTTTGGACCTCACCATGGGCACAGGAAAAAAATCCAGGAAATGTCTTCCTCAGTGTCAGCCTGAGCAAAATAATGCCCCAGCTGACATTTCTGTGTCTAGAAATGTTTACACAGGGATTGCACTGTGCAGAGCACTATACCACATGGATTTGCCTTTGTAGGTTGTACTATACTTGCACATTTCCAAGGGCTGAGGAAGGGAAGGTGAGAAACGTGGTGATGAGCCCCACTGTGGCCAGCACTGTGCCAAGCGATCTTTAAAGGTGGTGGTTTTAGCCTTACAACCACCTGGGTGGCCAGTATCTTCATTCTCACTCTGCAGTGGAGAGATTACAGCTTTAGATACTGAATGCTGTGGCTCAGGGGGCTGGGGCTGACAGTGCACCCTCGTAAGCCAGTGGGGAAGAAGTCTGGCGGCAAGGTAGCTGGCAGCTTAGGAAGCACCTGGGCTGCTTGCTAAGGAGTGGGACTTTCTTCCAGAAGCTACAGGGGGCCCAGTACAGTAGTGAGAGAGCCATCTGATCAAATCTGTTGGAAAGCTGCCTGGCAGCTGTGTGAGGGCTGGGTGGGGAAGGGGGAGGAAAGATTGCAGAATGAGATCAGAGAGAGGACTATGGAAGGACAAATCTGTTTTCCCTCCTCCCCCTATCCCATGCATACCGAATAACAGTCTCTAGAATCAAAACAAGCATTTTATTTTATTTTGTTTTTCAAGACAGTGTCTCAATCTGTCACCCAGGCTGGAGTGCAGTGGCATAATCTCGGCTCACTGCAACCTCTGCCTCCTGGGTTCAAGTGATTCTCCTGCCTCAACCTCCCGAGCAGCTGGGACTAGAGGTGAGTGTCACCACACCTGTCTAATTTTTGTATTTTTAGTATAGATTAGGTTTCACCATGTTGGCTGGCTGGTTTCGAGCTCCTGACCTCAAATGATCCTCTTGCCTCAGCCTCTCAAAGTGCTGGGATTATAGGCATGAGCCACTGCGCCTGGCCAAAGCAAGCATTTTAATAACCCATTTTAAAATTTTAGACCCAAGTCAGTGACCCCTGTATTAATTTCGGTAATCAAAAGTTGGCTAAATTGAGCCAGCTGAGTGAGACAAGGTTGTGCACTCAGCACTACCCTGGCAGGTGGCTGCTAGGAAGACATGCTAGAAAAGATTGGCCATCGTGACAAAGGGAGAGCAGGTGAAGGCACTGACGGGGTTTGGGATTTAGGCAGACCTGAGGTTGATTTCTGGCTTAGCCATTTACTAGTCATGAAACATTGAAAACATCATTTAATCTCTCCGATTTTCTTTACTTCATCTTTAAAATAAGGGTCAGCTGGGTGTGCTGGCTCACACCTGTAATCCCAGTACTTTGGGAGGCTGAGGCAGGAGAATCACTTGAGCCCTGGAGTTCGAGACCAGCCTAGGCAACACAGTGAGACCCCCCCCCCCCCGCCAATCTTTACAAAAAAAATACAAAAATTAGCCAAGTGTAGTGGTGTGCACCTGTAGTCCCAGTTATTTGGGAGGCTAAGGCGGGAGGATTACTTGAGCCCCGGAGGTCAAGGCTGCAGTGAGCCCTGATCACTATATTCCAGCCTGGACAACAGTGAGACCCTGTCTCAAAAACTACACTACACTACACTACACACTACACTACACTACACTACACACTACACTACACTACACTACACTACACTACACTACACTACACCACACTACACCACACTACACTACGGGTCATCAACTTTCTCTTGCATGATTGCACGAGTACTATATTCAAAGTGACTAGCACACCAGTGGTGCTTGGTAGGGACTAGCTAAAATATCCTCATTCCGACCTGGGAGCCACAGTGATGGCGCACATCTGCCTGGCCCCTTCCTGTGGAGCAACACTGCCCTTCAGTGGCTAAACAGTGAATGACAGGTGTGCCGGCTGCTCCCACCCAGCCCTGCATTCCACACGTCAGAAGAGTTGTTTAAGGGTCAGACCTGCCGCATGTACTTTTCACAAAGTTGGAGCCCTACCTTGGCCAGCAGGTGACAGGTCCCACTGTCCCCAGGACAGGGCGAACTCAAGGCCAGTGGATTCTGAATCTTGGGCTGGGAAGAAAACACAAGCTCAAGTAGTCTTGGAACAGCTCTCTAGAGATGGCCATGACCTCCAACCCACTCCACCCTAGCCACAAGAATAGTGTAAATGAAAAGCAAATGCCAGTGGCACATTCTGGCACCCCTTGGCAAAACAAGGAAGGAAGCCATTCCACAAACACTTAGCGGGCACCGTCCAGGCCTCTGGGTCCGTGCTAGGCTGCAGATACCATGGCCAACAAAAAGGAAGCTGACTATTTAGTTGGGAGAAGGACATTAATGAAACAATCACCCAGATACGTAATTGCAGACTATAACAAGGATCTGAAGGGAAGGCTCAGGGTGCTGACTCCATCCAGGACAAGATAAGGAGTGCTCCTTGGTGCTACTGTGGGCTTCATGAGCACCTCCTGGTGAAGCCACTGCCCCTGGGGCCTGTGCACACTGTGGACATTGAAATGCTCACTGCTTCTGGAAGTGGGCTGATGTGGCTCTGGGCTGTCTACGCCTCCAGCTGGTAGATAGGAGTCAGGGAAGTCACCAAAAGATGAATAGGCATTAGTAAGTACTGGTGGAAACCCAGGAGCGGGAATGCCATGCTCAAAGGCTCTGAGGTGGGCCCGGCACAGTGGCTCACACCTGTAATCCCAGCACTTTGGGAAGCCGAGGCAGGAGGATGGCTTGAGCCCAGGAGTTCGAGACCAGCCTGGGCAACATGGCAAAACCCTGTCTCTACAAAAAAAAAAAAAAAATAGCTGGGTATAGCAGTGTGCACCTGTAGTCTCAGCCACTCAGGAGGCTGAGATGGAGGATTGCCTGAGCCCAGGACGTAGAGGCTGCAGTGAACTGTGATTGTGCCACTACACTCCAGCCTAGACAACAGAGCAAGACCCTGCCAAAAAAAAAAAACAACAAACAAACAAAAAAACAAAAAGGCCCCGAGGTGGGGTCCCATGGGGATATCTTTAAGGAAATGTGTCTGGAGCTCAGAAACCCAGAACAAGAGTAGTGCAGGTGACACTAGGGCAGTAGGCAGGGCAAGGCCTTAGGCACTGGGGGGCAATATCAGGGGTGTGGTCTTGATCCTAAGACAGTGGGACACCACAGACAATGCTCCTGCCTCCCTGCCAGCTGTCCTCCTTCAGGGATAAGGCCCCTTTTGCTGCCTCCCTCCTCCCCTCACTGCCCAGGGTGCCTCCATCAAGTCTTCTCTGGATTTCATCCTTTTCTCCCAACTCCCAGTAACATCCTCTCAAATTAAGTCTGGGATTTTTTTTCTTCCTCCCTTCTTACCACAGTAAAATTCTGTTAGATAAAAACTAGCATTTAAAACCATACTCCAGGGCAGGTTCAGTGGCTCACACCTGTAATCCCAGCATTTTGGGAGGCTGAGGTGGGCGGATCACCTGAGGTCAGGAGTTCGAGACCAGCCTGGCCAGTATGGTGAAACCTCGTCTCTACTAAAAATAATGAAAAATAGCTGAGCATGGTGGCACATGCCTGTAATCCCAGCTGCTCAGGAGGCTGAGGCAGGAGAATCGCTTGAATCCGGGAGGTGGAGGTTGCAGTGAGCTGAGATCACACCACTGAACTTCAGCCTGGGGGACAGCGCAAGACTTCGTCTCAAAAACAAACCAAAAAAAGCATACTCCAGTCAGGCCCAGTGGCTCTCGCCTGTAATCCCAGCACTTTGGGAGGACGAAGTGAGAGGAGAGCTTGAGCCCAGGAGTTTGAGACCAGCCTGGACTACATGGCAAGACCCTGTCTCTAAAAAAAAATTTCTTAATTAAAAATAAATAAATAGAAACCACACTCACACTTCTAAGCTGCAAGGACTTGTTGCCAGCCCCGTATGCTCATCCCTGTGTGGGCTGAGCCCGGGAATGAAAGAGGAAATGTACTCCGACCTTGCCCCTGAGGGGCTTCCCATCTCGCCCTGAATCCAGGGGCTACCTTTCAGCCAGCTGCACTACTCCATTCAATGGAAATGGCACTTGGAAATGCTTCTTCTCTTTCTGAACATTTAGGTCCTCACACAGCAACCAAGCCAGTGGTCAGTGAGTGCATTTTGTGAACGCTTTGAGGTATAGAAGGAAAGAGCACTGGACCCCTGCAGTCTGAAAACATGGGTTTGTAACCTGGCCCTGCCATTTTTCAGGCTGTGTGTCCTTAAACAAGACTTCTCTGAGCCTCGATTTCTTCGTTAGTAGAGTGGGGTAAACAAGACTTTCCCTGTCTACCTTGCAGAGGGTTTATGGGGATCGTATGAAGTACCACAGTGGTTCCTGGATGGCAGTCCTTAAACAGGTGCTACACATGAGGACGTTTTCACCAGCCCACGGTGAGATGAGGAAAATCAGGACAACGAAAGGAGGTGTTTACAAAGGTAGATTTATTCAACCTAAAGGCCTGGACTGTACTCTGAGATTGTGTCTTTCTTGGGGTTTATTTGCATTGAAATTACATTTACTTTATGAAATGATAGTGATGTTAGCAGATTTTTAAAAATGTTTTTACTTAACAAAATTAAAGTACAACTACCCAGTTTGGGAGATCTTACCAGTCTGTAAAGCCCCAAACCCTTTTGAGTCAGTGAACCAGAAAGCCTTGGCAAACCACAAAGAGCTACGACCAGAGGCCACCTCTTGCTGTCTTCCTTTGCTGCCCCTCTGCTAGCTAAAGCCTGTGTGGTAGGGGTGGGTTCCAAGGGTCAAGGCCCAGACATGCTTTTCATCTTGACTTTAAAAGCACAGATTCTGGAACCAGACTGTTAGGGTTTAAATATCAGTTACACTCCTTTCTAGTTGCGTATGACCTTGGACAAGTTGCTTCTGCTCTCCATACTTTGATGCTCTCATTTATAACATGTGTGTATTAATAGTGAAGATTAAATGTAAGGCAAGGGCTGGGAACGGTGGCTCCTGCCTGTAATCCTAGCACTTTGGGAGGCTGAGGCAGAGGGATCTCTTGAGTCCAGGAGTTTGAGGCCAGCCTGGGCAATATGGTGAAACCCCACCTCTACAAAAAATATGAAAATTAACCAGGCATGGTGTCGTGCACCTGTAGTCCCAGCTACTTGGGAGGCTGAGGTGGGAGGATGGCTTGAGCCCGGGAAGTCAAGGCTGCAGTGAGCAGAGATCACATCACTGCACCCCAGGCTGGGTGACAGACCTTGTCTCAACAAACAAATAAATAAATGTAAATATGTAACTGCCCAGTGGGTTCACCTTGCCTGCTGCCTAGACAGAGCTAATTTATCAAGACAGGGGAATTGCAGTGGAGAAAGAGTAATTCACACACAGCTGGCTGTGCGGGAGAGGGAGACTGGAGTTTTATTATTACTCAAATCAGTCTCCCGGAGCATTCGGAGAGCAGAGTTTTTAAAGATAATTTGGCGGGTAGGGGCTCGGGAAGTGGGGAGTGCTGATGGATCAGGTTGGAGATGGAATCATATGGGGTCAAAGTGAGTTTTTCTTACTGTCTTCTGTTCCTGGGTGGGATGGCAGAACAGGTTGAGCCAGATAACCAGTCCGGGTGATGTCAGCTGATCCATCAAGTGCAGGGTCTACAAAATATCTCAAGCACTGATCTTAGGTTTTACAATAGTGATGTTATCCCCAGGAGCAATTTGAGGAGGTTCAGACTCTTGGAGCCAGAGGCTGCATTACCACTAACCCGTAATTTCTAATCTTGTAGCTAATGTGTTAGCCCTGCAAAGGCAGACTGGTCCCCAGGCAAGAAGGGGGCCTTGGAAAAGGGCTGTTATCAATTTTGTTTCGGAGTCAAACCATGAACAGAATTCCTTCCCAAAGTTAGTTCGGCCTATGCCCAGGAATGTACAAGGACAGCTTAAAGGTTAGAAGCAAGATGGAGTTGGTTAGGTCTGATCTCTTTCACTGTCATAATTTCTTCAGTTATAATTTTTGCAAAAACAGTGTGTGGCACATATGGGCACTCAAGAATGCCAGCAGTGATTATTGGCCTGGCGCATTGGCTCACGCCTGTAATCCCCCAGCACTTTGGAGAGCCGAGGCGGGTGGATCACGAGGACAGGAGTTTGAGACCAATTTGGCCAACGTAATGAAATCCTGTCTCTACGAAAACCACAAAAAATTGGCCGGTGTGGTGGTTCATGCCTGTAATCCCAGCATTTTGGGAGGCCAAGGCGAGGGGATCACTTGAGGTCAGGAATTCGAGAGCAGCCTGGCCAACATGGCAAAACCCCGTTTCTACTAAAAATACAAAAATTAGCTGGGCATGGTGGCACATGCCTGTAGTCCCAGCTACTCGGGAGGCTGAGGCAGGAGAATGGATCACTTGAACCCAGGAGGCTGAGGTTGCAGTGAGCTGAGATCACACCATACACTCTAGCCTGGGCAACAAAGCGAGACTGTCTCAAAAAGGAAAAAAAAAAAATCTGCCATTGACTTGCAAATGAGGAATTGCTTCCAGGTTCTCAGCGACCATTTGCTACAGATATGCCAGGTAGTAAACTGGGAAGCCAAGAACCTGAGAGAAGCACCTGCTTGTCAGAGGGCAGGTTTTTGTTTGTTTGTTTGAAGAGAAACTTTTCCTAGTTTACTATTCCTTTTCAGAACACAGCCTCACAATACCTTCCACGTGTGTCAGATCTGTGTGCTCTTGGCTATTTGCTAAGAGGACATTACAGCATTGGTCCCTCTTGTGATTACAGGGGTACAGGGAGCTGAAATGTGGATCCCCTGAAAACTTTCATTACAATAAGAGAGAACTCAGGTGTGGTGGCTCACGCTTGTAATCCCTGCAATTCTGGAGGCTGAGGCAGGCAGATCACTTGAGTCCAGGAGTCTGAGACCAGACTGAGCAACAAGGTGAAACCCCATCTCTACAAAAAACACAAAAATTAGCTGGACGTGTTGGCACATGCCTGTAGTCCCAGCTACTTGGGAGGCTGAGGCAGGAGGATTGCTTGAGCCCAGAAGGTCGAGGCTGCAGTGAGCCATGATTGTACTACTGCACTCCAGCGTGGGCAACAGAGTGAGACCCTGTCTCAAAAAAAAAAAAAAAAAAAAGCTCACAGCTGGTTCCCTGAACTGGGGAGAATCCCATTCAGGTTAAGAAGACAAGATACATAGTCCTGGACTTCTAGAACAAACTGAAAATGCCAACTAGTTCCCAACTCCACACTCCTGGGAGTCGGCGACAGGTGCCCCCTACTAAAGGCAACATACTTTTGCTTTGGGCTATAGCTTTGGGGTCTCTGCTTAATTGGAAGCTGGAAGTTTGTAAGCAAAGGAGTTTCCATATTTCTTTATACTTTGAACAATATAATGGACATCTTAAATTTTTTTTGTTAGACTCTCTATTATTTTAGTCCCCAAGTGCCTTAAAAAGTATCCAGAGAGTCTTGCCTTTCAGAGTTGCCTTAATCCAGGTCTGGCTCCCCTTATCTGGGGTTCCCTCGGTTCTGCCCTCTGCTTTATGTTGTCCACATCCTCACTCTGGTGGCCAGATGGCTCAGTCAGGCCAACAAGGTCTCCAGGAAGAACAGGAAACAAGTCTACACCAACATTACTGGTGAGAGTCCCAAGAATCTCCCCGATTGGACAGCTCAGGTACCAGGTGCCCCTCTGAAGACTGTGACTGTGCTCAGGAGAATGGACTGTGCCAACCAGGGACCACCCCAGGAGCTGAGGGTAGGGTCCCCTTCCCCTGCAGATGTGGACATAGAAGATGGATAGGCTACCAACAATATCCATGGCACAATAGTTCCTGGCCTGCTCACACCTGTAATCCCAGCACTTTGGGAGGCCAAGGCGGGTGGATCACGTGAGGTTAGGAGTTTGAGACTAGCCTGGCCAACATGGCAAAACCCTGCCTCTACTAAAACTACAAAAATTAGCCGGGTGTGATGGCGGGCGCCTGTAATCCCAGCTCCTGAGGATGCTGAGGTATGAGAATCACTTGAACCCAGGAGGCAGAGGTTGCAGTGAGCCAAGATCGTGCCACTGCACTCCAGCCTGGGCGACAAGAGCAAGACTCTGTCTCAAAAAAAAAAAAAAAAAAAAAGATTTGGAATATTCAATAGGATGGTCAGAGAAGGGTGCATTGATGAGGTGACATTTGAGCAAAGGCCTGAAAGAGAAGAGTAATCAAGCCCCTGCAGATTGCAGGGAGAAGGGCTTTCTAAGCAGAGGGAGAGCAAGTGCAAAGACCCTGGAGTGGGGGCCGGTCCAGGGTGATGAAGGAACAGCCAGGAGGGTTGAGTAGCCACAGAAGAGTCAAAGTATTTGGTGTTCAGGGCTGTGCTTGGCACTCAGAGCAACTAGAGAGAAGGGACAGTGCCATCCTTGGTCTCAAAGAGGCAATGAGCCTCTAAAGTGCACACAGCAAATGCTAAAAAAAATAGCACATCTAGAAAAAGATGGAGCCTTCCTCATGCTGTATGAGTGCAGGAAGGAAAGCTCAGGGACTGGAGCAGCCAGAGAGGGCTTCAAGGAGAAGATGGACATCACCTGGAGAGGCATAGGACAGGCAGGGAGAAAGTGTGGACACAGCGGGTGCCTTTGAGGCGTTCTGTTTAAATATCAGCCTCATTCACTGTGCACTGAGCAACTGGGAATTATTACAGCTTGAGATTTTTAAAGACAAATCAGCTAAGGTCCATAACATGCTGGTACTTCCTCTCAGGAAGAGAAATTCTCAATCAAGACTTGTGTCTTCTTCTCATTAAAAAGCTCTTATTGTGGCTGGGTGAGGTGGCTCACGCCTGTGATCCTATCACTTTGGGAGGCCGAGGCAGGTAGATCACTTGAGATCAGGAGTTCAAGACCAGCCTGGCCAATATGGTGAAACCCCATCTACTAAAAATATAAAAATTAGCCGGGCGTGCTGGCCCATGCCTGTAACCCCAACTACTCAGGATGCTGAGGCAGAAGAATCGCTTGAACCCAGGAGGCGGAGGCTGCAGTGAGCTGAGATCGTGCGATTGCACTCCAGCCTGGGTGACAAAGCAAGACTCTGACTCCAAAAAAGAAAAAAAAAAGTCCTATTGTACAGTAAGAACCTCTTCTATTTTCTCTTTTTGTTTTTTCTGGGCGACAATGTCTTGCTCTGTCACCCAGGCTAGAGTGCAGTGGCACAATCATTGCTCACTGTAGCCTGTGGGCTCCAGTGATCCTCCTATCTCAGTCTCCTGAGTAGCTGGGACTATGGACACACACCACCACGTTGAGCTAATTTTTAAATTTTTTGTAGAGATGTGGTCTCACTAGGTTGCCTAGGCTGTTCTTGAACTCCTGGGCTCAAGCAATCCTCCCACCTTGAACTCCCAGAGTGCTGGGATTACAGGTGTGAGCCACCATGCCAGGCTGGAACCTCTTCAAGATATCAACATTGAAGCAGCATGTGGGAAGCTGTAGTGGGCAGAAAAAGGCTTAGCTGTAGCGGGCAGAGAAGATTGGATGGCCCAAGACCAGTCTCTACAGAGAGACTTTAGATTCCTCCCACCCATACCCAGAGCCCCCAAGGGCTCTCAATTGCCACAGATTTTTCCAGCTTAGCCTTTGCCTCCTTTTTCTAAGGCAAATATCCCTATGAGGATCATATTTTGAGCCCATCACACATTCATGCATGCCATGCCATTTTTCTTAGTTTGTTGTTTCATTCATTCATTCATGTATTCATCAATACCTTCCACAGATACCTATTGATCTGTTTTTACAGGCCCATGTCACTATTCTCAGGTTGTCAGTGGCTATCTGTGTGACCCCCACCTCCCAATCCCATACCTTCTAGAGCAGCAGTCCCAACCTTTTAGGCAACAGGGACCAGTTTCATGAAAGACCATTTTTCCACAGACTAGGGCGGCAGGGGATAGTTTAGGGATGATTCAAGTACATTACATTTATTGTGCACTTTATTTCTATTATTATTACTTTGTAATATATAATGAAATAATTATACAACTCACCATAAGGCAAAATCAGTGAGAGCCTTGAACTTGTTTTCTTGCAACTAGGCGATCCCATCTCGGAGTGATGGGAGACAGTGACAGATCATCAAGCATTAGATTCTCACAAGGAGAGTGCAACCTAGATCTCTGCCATGCGCAGTTCACTAGAGGGTTCACGCTCCTATGACAATCAAGGTCGCCACTGATCTGACAGGAGGCCAAGCTCAGGCAATAATGCTAGTGATGGGGAGTGGCTGTAAATACAGATGAAGCTTGATTTGCTTGCCTGCCACTCACCTCCTGCTGTGCGGCCTGGCTCCTAATAGGCCAGTACTGGTCTGTGGCCCAAGGGTTGGGGACCCCTGCCCTAGAAGAGTTCTTCATCTGTACTCATGAAAAGTTGATAAGTCACCTAAATCACCTTTAATAAGAGCCCAGTAAGTTGAGATGTCACAAAAACAGAGCCAGAAAAAGAATCTATACCATCTGCTACAGCCAGGACCAGCTACCTAATTTACAAGTCTCAGCACAAAATGAAAATGTGGGGCCTCAGCCAGATGTGGTGGCTCATGCCTGTTATCCCAGCACTTTAGGAGACCAAGGTGGGAAGATTGCTCGGGCCCAAGAGGTTGAGGCTGCAGTGAGCCGTGATTGCGCCACTGTACTCCAGCCTGGGCAATAAAGCAAGACCCTGAAAAAAAAAAAGAAGAAAAGAAAAGATGGGTAGGGAAAAAAGTGCCATTAGAGGCACTAAACTACAAACTTTTCCTTTCTTCTGTGGTCTCTGTCTTGCCCTCTCTTGGTGTTTCTTATTTACTGTTTGATGCTATGCTTCCTTGGGCACAGGGATACTTACAGGGTGAGTGCAGACCCTCACAGGCACAGGGAGGGTGAGGAGTAGGAGGTGGGCTGCCCGTGACTGCATATCCATGCACAGTTCACCAGCTCCAGGAGTCTTCCTCTGGCTAGACCACCAGACTGACATGCCATATCTGCCCAGGGGCAAGGATGAGGTGAGGCCGTCAATCTTCCCTTCCCACAGGCCTGCTGCCCCAACCCATGGCTGCTGGGAGACCTCCAGGGGATTAAATCTCCATTCCAAAGCAGTCTCAGCACCTGGCTAGGGGATGGCTGAGAGGCCAGTCCTGCTGCTGCTCATCAAAGGCACCATGGCGCTGCCAGCCCAGGGCAAGGATGGCTGCCACCCTGCCTCTCCCCAAAATGCCATAGGGCACACCAGCTCAACCCCAATTCTCCCTGTGCCCACAGCTAGGCCCTTACAGCAGGCAGAGGTCAGCAAGGAAGGGGAAGTCAGGTGGGGCCTGGGGAACCAGGAAGCGGGGAACAGGCAGCTGAGAATTGTTCCAGGGAAGCAGGGAGAGGCAGACCACGCATGGGCCAAGACTCCAAGCCCTCAGTGCATGCTGCATTGTCCCATTGGACTTCACTTGCAAAGTGTAAATGCAACGAAAAAATTATTAAGAATTTCAAGACAAGGTGGGTGCAGTGGCACTTACCTGTAGTCCCAGCTACTCAGGAGGCTGAGGCGGGGGAATCACTTGAGCCCAGGAATTTGAGTCCAGCCTGGGAAGCATAGCGAGACCTCCCACCTCAAAAAAACAGAAAAGAATTCTAAGACAGTGTCATAGAACATTAGCCCCCCAGTGCAGGACCCTTTTGAACAGAGCTCTTCTGAGCACGAGGCCCTGTCTATGCCTGATGCACACCCACGAAACCGACCTTGGCTCCAGCTTTCAATGCGAACTTCTTACAGTTTAGGTCCTCTGCGAAGTCACTTGCTTCCAGTAGCTCCTATCAGAGCTGAGCTGAGGCCTTAGACTGGGGTTAAAAGAGAGGTGAAGTTTCCCGCTGCAGCACTAAACACATCACTGAAGGCCTACGGAGTAATCCTTGAGCATCCCCTGACTCAGAGCACTGCCACCGCATCAGCTTCTTCCAGATGCCAAGAAGCACCTCTGGGTCTTGGGGTTCCGGCTTGTTTGTGTCACAAGTAATAACTTGTATTTTATTTGCTTTTAAAAACTGGATATGCTCCCACTTCTCAGCCTCTACAATGAGACCTGTGTTTCGTGTTTTTCAGTGTGCCTTTGAGAAAGGCCCATAAACCTATAAACACCCTTTTTCTCCCCAAGGTGAGGTTTGACCCTAGTACTTACTACCACTGTTTACTGGAGAGTCATGTTGAGAACATCTCCTTTAGGCTCTATTTCTCATCCTAAGGGATATATCCAGCCTTCATTATGGAAGGTTTTGAAGGCCTCAAATAAAATCAAAGTAGAATTTGAATAAAACATCTTGGCTGGGCACGGTGGCTCGCATCTGTAATCCCAGCACTTTGGGAGGCTGAGGTGGGCGGGTCACAAGGTCAGGAGATCAAGAACATCCTGGCTAACACGGTGAAACCCCCATCTCTGCTAAAAATACAAAAATCAGCTGGGCGTGGTGGCGCGTGCCTGTAGTCCCAGCTACTCGGGAGGCTGAGGCAGGAGAATCGCTTGAACCAGGGAGTCGGAGGTTGCAGTGAACCGAGATCACACCACTGCACTCCAGCCTGGCGACAGAGAGACTCTGTCTCAAATAAATAAATAAAACATCTTAAAGAAATAGAAAATACTAGTAGAGTATTCACTCTGATTTCAGAATCAATTTGTGGAAATTCAGTTTCACAAGAATGAAAAAAGCCCCCTAAGCAAGGTAGCTTTTTTTTTTTTTTTTAAAGATGGGGTCTCACTATGTTTTCCAGACTGATCTCAAACTCCTGGGCTCAAGCAATCCTCCTCCCTCAGCCTCCTGAGTGGCTGGGACTACAGGTACACATCACCACCACCCTGCTAGGATATGGTAGCTTTTTAACCAAAACACACCACCATGCAATGGAGAGCATGTAACTTGTTATTTGGTCATACAAATACATCAGAATAAATTCCACCTCTCTTGTGGAGCCCTTTTTCCTACATCTGCACAGAAACTGGCACTAGCAGGACTGCAACCGAGGCAGACTCGAGAATTAGCAGACTCTGGCTCAGGCAGGACAATAGAGCAGCGGGAAATTTCTTTCAAGGGCTTTTGTTGCTGTTGTTGAGATGGAATCTTGCTGTGTCACCCAGGCTGGAGTGCAGTGGTGCTGTCTCGGCTCACTGCAATCTCCGCCTCCCAGGTTTAAACGATTCTCCTGCCTCAGCCTCTCAAGTAGCTGCGATTACAGGCATGTGCCACCATGCCCAGCTAATTTTTGCATTTTTGGTAGAGATGGGGTTTCACTATGTTGCTCAGGGAGGTCTCGAAACTCCTGACCTCAGGTGATCCGCCCACCTCGGCCTCCCAAAGTGTTGAGATTACAGGCATGAGCCACTGCGCCCGGCTTGAGACCTTGAGGGGCTTTTTAACCAAGAGATGGTGTAGGGACAGAAGCCAGCAAGAAGAACATGGTGGACTCTCTGTGAGGCCCCAAACCCCAAATCATGAGCCTCCGCCCCCTGAAAGTATTCCAGGATCTCTGAGGGAGGTTTTGGGAGGGGGCCAAGGTCCTGCAATTGGGTGGGTGGGGCTCCAAGCCATTGTTCTTTGCACATTCATGCCAATGTGACCTAATTGGCTAAGCACAGGCTGGAGAAGCTAGATAAACCTATTTAAATTCAGAGCCAAAAGACACTCAAGGATGTTTTCTGAGGGGGTGTGAGGGTTGGAAAATCATCCTATATTTGATTTATCTCCCACCTCATGTCCTGAGTCAATTCCTTAGTCTTAGATGAGGGAGACGACTTGGGAGTCATCCTTGTTTTTGATGAGCTATATAACCCTATGGCCAGCAGAGGGAAGTACTGCATTTCAGAGCGACAATTTGAGATCTATGAAAGAATTTCAATCGAGAATAAGAGGCCGGGCGCGGTGGCTCACGCCTGTAATCCCAGCTCTCAGGGAGGCTAAGAGGCGGGAGGATAGCTTGAGCCCAGGAGTTCGAGACCTGCCTGGGCAATATAGCGAGACCCCGTTCTCCAGAAAAAGGAAAAAAAAAAACAAAAGACAAAAAAAAAATAAGCGTAACTTCCCTCAAAGCAACAACCCCCCCCCCCCTTTTCATATTCTTGCCTGGAAGAAAGGCCTTGCTTTCCTCAGCTTCTTAAAGCTGGGAGAAGTTAAAGCCATTCTGAAATGCTGCTGCTACTGCTATATGTGGGGGAGAAAGCAAATTTTCTTTTTACTTTTTTAATCAGTATTTATTTTAAGTTCGAGGGTACATGTGCAGGATGTGCAGGTTTGTTACATAGGTAAACGTGTGCCATGGTGGTTTGCTGCACAGGTCAACCCATCACCTAGGTATTAAACCCAGCATCCATTAGCTATTCTTCCTGATGCTGTCCCTCCTCCCACCCCACCAACAGGACCCCAAATTTTCTTTCTTTTTTTTTTTTTTTTTTTTTTGAGATGGAGTCTAGCTCTGTCACCCAGTCTGGAATGTAATAGCTCAATCTCGGCTCACTGTAACCTCCATCTCCCAGGTTCAAGTGATTCTCCTGCCTCAGCCTTCCAAGTAACTGGGATTACAGGCATGCACTACCATGCCTGGCTAATTTTTGTATTTTTAGTAGAGACGGGGTTTCACCATGTTGGCCAGGCTGGTCTCAAACTCCTGACCTCAAATGATCCGCCTGCCTCAGCCTCCCAAAGTACTGGGATTACAGCTGTGAGCCACCGTGCCCAGCCTCCAAATTTTCTTATTTCCATGGCCTTGAGCAAAATTATACCATCCTAGACAAACACACACACACACACACACACACACCATTCTCCCCCTCTTGCTGTCTTTCTCAGATATGAGTCTCTCCTCCAATGGCCATTTTAAGCTTGCTCTTTTGCTCTGTAATACAAGGCCTGTTCCCTGTTAAAAGGAATGTCAGGCATCTGTGAGCAGGTAGGGAAAACATTGCAGGAGGCAAGTAAACTTCTCAGCATACCTGCCATCATTCATACCTTGAAGGCAGGTCAAGCCTGTAGCGTCTGAGTCTTCCATCCCTGAAGCACCAGCAGCTCTGACTAGAGGTCCTGTCTCCCAGCTGTGGCCCCAGCTCTCCCTGATGGTGACAGTTGCGACTTCCAAACTTGCTCCTCCCCATATCTGTAACTGAGCCCAGCGTACATTTGCCTCATGGGTGCCATTGGACTTCCTTTGTGAGCCATGTTTTCTTTCACCTTGTCCCAATCCACAGTTAACCAAATCTTGGCCCAAATTATGTGCTGGCTGGTGTTGGGCAGCTGTGAGACCCCTCCTTGCCCCATCTCTGTCTTCTAGGCTCTTCTGAGAACCAGTGTCCTTTGAGATCTCAGATGGGATTTAGAGGAGGGTTTCCACCCAGACCACTTTCCACAAATTTCACTTCTGCATTTCATCTGGTAGGGTGTGGTTTTCAACTAGAAGCCCAAATGAGGAAGAAAAAAATTCATTCACCATTCAGGACAGGGTGTTCACATTTGAACCAGGCAGAAATAGCTGAAAGAAACTGAATTCTAAAGGGACTCTCAGCTTTTGGGGGAGACATATTTGAGTGCAGGAGGCTAGACCACCCACTGGCTGGCTCTTTGCTCCTCACTGAGGCCAGCCTTGACTCTAAACAGATAACACAGGGCCAAAACACACCCAGCCAGCTTTGATAAGCAACCGTCTCTGCCAAACAGTTTCTTTCACAGGGCCCAGATGATCTCATCACAGAGGCTGCATTCTCTGGTATCTGTTCCAAGCACAGACTCACTTCTCATTACCTTTGCAAATAATAGTCAATCTATCCTGAGAAGCTCCTTTATATCCCATACTGGGCTAAGGTCTGAAGAGGGTACAGTTAAAGAACCCATGATCTCAGACTGGGCATGGCAGCTCATGCCTATAATCCCAGCACTTTTGGGAGGCCAAGGCAGGAGGACCGCTTTAGCCCAGGAGTCCAAGACCAGCCTGGGCAACATAGTGAGAACTCTTGAGACCTTGTCTCTACAAAAAATAAACAAAATTAGCCATGCATGGTGGCTTGCACCTGCCTGTAGGAAGCTGAAGCAGGTGAGCCTGGGACGCAAAGGTTGCAGTGAGCCAAAATCGCACCACTGCACTCCAGCCTGCGCGACAGAGACTGTCTCACAAAAAAGAAAAGAAAAGAAAAAAAAAAAAGGACCCATGATTCCTCATGAAGCTTGCCTCTGGATCTAATTCATGGTTCTCTATTTCCACAAGCTTTGTGGAGCAAGGGGCTCATGACACTTCATCTTTATGGTACAGATAACTCACCGAAACTGGATTCCTTTAGCTACTGGTCCCACACCACTCCCTCCAGGAGCCACCTTCCCTCTCCATGTTTTTCTCATGAATTTTGAACCGGCCATTTCTATTTTATTTTATTTTACATTTATTTATTTATTTATGGAGACAGAGTTTCACTCTTGTCACCCAGGCTGGAGTGCAGTGATGCTATCTTGGCTCACTCCAACCTCCACCTCCCAGGTTCAAGTGGTTCTCCTGCCTCAGCCTCCCAAGTAGCTGGGAGTACAGGCACGTGCCACCACACTCGGCTAATTTTTGTATTTTTAGTAGAGACGGGATTTCTCCATGTTGGCCAGGCTGATCTCGAACTCCTGACCTCAGGTGATCCACCCGTCTCGGCCTCCTAAAGTGCTAGGATTACAGGTGTGAGCCACTGCGCCCAGCCAAAATAAAAATAGATTTTAAAAATGAAAATAAAAATAACATAATAAGATGAACACCACCTCGGTGATCTGTGGGATAGTATCAAGTGGTCTAACATAATTGGAGCCCCCCCAAAATGAGGGAAGGCTAAAAAAAAAAAGCCAAAATTTTTCTAAACTTGAAACTGTTTAAAGCAAAAAATAATAACAATGCCTTATGAGGTTTATAACATATGTAGAAATAAAATGAATAATCATAATAGCCCATCAGGGGGCTGAGGTGGGAGGATTGCCTGAGCCCAGGAGTTTAAGGCTGTGATGCACTATGATCATGCCTGTGAATGGCCTCTGCACTCCAGCCTGGACAACATAGTGAGACTCTGTCTCCAAAGAAAAAATGGAGGAAAAAAGAAAAAGAAAAAGAAAGAAAATAATGGCCCAAAGGATAGAAGAGAAGAAATGAGAATAGACTGTTATAAAGCTCTTCGATTTTGTGTGGAGGAGTATAATAACATTTGAAGGTATTCTGGGTTAAGCAGTTTATCCGAGGTGTCACATATGATGGAGCTAGGATCCAAATTAAGCTTTCCAGATTCAAAGCTTTTTGTGGGGAGAGGAGATGTGAGGTTAGGCTCACACATGCCACAAGACAGTTTCCCCAAAGGCTGCGGGAATTAAGTGCTTTCATCTCTGTAGTGGGTATTCCCTCAAAAGACGTGTTCAAGTCCTAACCTCCATACCCAAGAGAGTCAGCTTACTTGGAAATAGGCTCTTTGCAGACGTAATCAAGTCATACTGAGTTAGGGTAAAGCCTAACCCAATGACTGGTGTCCTTATTATAAAGGGGGGGGTGCGGTACCAGGTGTGGTGGCTCACATCTGTAATCCCAACACTTTGGGAGGCCAAGGCCAGTGGATCACCTGAGGTCAGGAGTTCAAGACCAGCCTGGCCAACATGGTGAAACCCTGTCTCTACTAAAAATACAAAAATTAGCCGGGCATGGTGGCAGGCACCTGTAGTCCCAGCTACTCGGGAGGCTGAGGCAGGAGAATCACCGGAGCCCGGGAGACAGAGATTGCAGTTAGCCGAGATTGCACCATTGCACTCCAGCCTGGGTGACAGAGCAAGACTCCATCTCAAGAAAAAAAAAAAAAAAAAAAAGGACATTTGAACACAGAGAAGACACACAGGGAAAATGCCATGCAATGATAGATATCTATAAGCTGAGGAACACGCCCAGAAGTAAGAAAGAGGCAAGGAAGGCTCTCTGAGAGCCTTCAGAGAGTGTGAGGCCCTGCCCAACACCTAGATTTTGGACTTCTGACCTTCAGAACCAGAGAGAATATATTTCTGGGTTTTGTTTGTTTTTTTGTTTTTCTGAGATGGAGTTTTGCTCTTGTTGCCCAGGCTGGAGTGCAGTGGCATGATTTTGGCTCACCGCAATCTCCACCTCCCAGGTTCAAGCGATTCTCCTGCCTCAGCCTCCCAAGTAGCTGGGATTACAGGCGCCCGCCACCATGCCCGGCTAATTTTTTCGTATTTTCAGTAGAGATGGGGTTTCTCCATGTTGGTCAGGCTGGTCTCGAACTCCTGACCTCAGGTGATCCTCCCACCTCAGCCTCCCAAACTGCTAGGATTACAGGCATGAGCCACCATGCCCGGCCATATTTCTGTTGTTTTAAGCCACCTTGTCTGTGGCATTTTGTTACAGCAGCCCTAGGGAACTAATACAATCTCTAAAACTTCCTCTTTTTGATGCTCCCAGTCTTTAGAATGTAAAGAAGCTCCGCCCCTACCCATGCATGGGCCAAGTATAAAGTGAGTGTTGATAGCAGGATATTAAGTTGACAAAATAAACCAGATTCAGGATCTAAGAGCCACAGGGGAAAATCATGAAGTGGGGACTGGTTGGACTGGTTTTTCTCATAAATCTCAATGACTTTGATCCCAACCAGGTGGAATTTTAAAGTTAATTGATTTAGGGAGGAACACCTGAGCAGCTGCACCGTGTGTGAGCCCTGTGCTAGGCCCAGTGGGGAAGCCAGGTGAGTCAGGTGCTGCTGCCTTACGGGAGCTCATAGGATTCGCCTCTACAGAAGGTGTGATGGAACAGGTCAGTCACTAGCCAAGGTGTGAGTAACAGGCTGTGCAAGTTCAAAATCAAGAGAGTGATTCATTTCCCCTGGGGGAGCATCAGCCAGACTGCTTCACTGAGGAGAAGGCAGTGGCGACATCTCTCTAAATATCTGACTGTGGAATCCATAGCCCAGAGAAGGTCTTGTGTGTCGATTAGAGACAAGCAAAGGAAAACAAATCTACCAGGAATGCTGGTGTTTTCCTGGAGAGTGTTTCACTGATCACGGGGTAGTGCTCTTTGCTCAGTGGAGAGGTACAAAGCTGTCTAGCCCCTGCTTGCTCTGAGGGGGAATTCTCTGGGCTCTCGGAACCTCTTATTTTCCCTTCTGGTTCTCCACTTGGGGTGAGTGCTTATCACCACCTTCTGTAGAGATTGAGGAAAGTGGAGAAGGTACACAGAGGCTTTGGAGTTGCTAGCGATCTCAATGACATCTTGTAAGAGAGCTGGTGGCTCAAGAAGGAGAGAGCAGGCCCTTGTGTTGCATTTGCAGGATCTGGGGCAATAGTACAGCCCACATATCTAAGCTCCATTTACGTTGCCAAAAATAGCATAGGCCACACATCTAAGCTCCATCTACATTGACACTCCATGACCCCACGTGGGCCACCCCAGTGTCATGGCCCAGTCTGGAGAAGTGACCCTGCGAAAAAGCTGTGTATGCCCTGTAGGTAGACTTGACCCTTCTGTGCAAGAAATTTTGATGTCCTGCGAGCACCCAGAATGGTCTAGGAGAGAGGGAACAGGCTCCAGTGGACATATTCTCTTCGCCCTGTTGACTCCCTCCTCCATGGGAAGAGACTTGGCTTAAACAAGCCTAGAGCAGGTCTGTTTAAGGTCTGGGGCCCTGAGTAGGAATCTACTTACCCACGTCGAAGGTAGAATTGGGAAGAAGCACTGTTATAAACTCAACAGAAAGTGATACTGAGTTTCATTTTTTTTTTTTTTTTTTTTTTTGGAGACAGTCTTGCTCAGTCGCCCAAGCTGGAGTGCAGTGGTGTGATCTCGGCTCACTGCAAGCTCCGCCTCCTGGGTTCACGCCATTCTCCTGCCTCAGCCTCCTGAGTAGCTGGGACTACAGGCGCCCACCACCACGCCTGGCTAATTTTTGTGTTTTTAGTAGAGACGGGGTTTCACCATGTTGGCCAGGATGGTCTCTATCTCCTGACCTCGTGATCCGCCCGCCTCGGCCTCCCAAAATGCTGAGATTACAGGTGTGAGCCACTGCACCTGGCCAATACTGAGTTTCTTGGTTTTGCTCTGGAACTAGACTAATGAATTCCAATCCTCATGGAAGCCCTGTGTGAAGCATTTCATGGAGAAAAATTTGTATGATGCAGTGGTTTGCAAATGGGGGAAATTTGGCATACAGTGACATTTGGTGATGTCTATAGGCATTTTGCATTGTCATAATTGGAGGATACTGCAAGACGTCTGGTGGGTAGAGGCCAGGGATATTGCAAAATATCCTACTATGTTGCCCTGCAGGATAGCACCCCATAAGAAACAATGATTTTGGCCGGGCATGGTGGCGCACGCCTGTAATTCCAACAGTTTGGGAGGCCGAGGAGGGCAGATCACTTGAGGTTAGGAGTTTGAAACCAGCCTGGACAACATGGTGAAACCCCATCTCTACTAAAAATACAAATAAATTAGCCGGGTGTGGTGGCAGGCACCTGTAATCCCAGCTACTCTGGAGGCTGCGGCAGGAGAATTGCTTGAACGGGGAGGTGGAGGTTGCAGTAAGCCGAGATCGTGCCACTGTACTCTACCCTGGGCAACAGAGCAAGACTCCGTCTCTAAATAAATAAATAAATAAAAATAAAATAAAATAAAAGAAACAATGATTTGGCCCCAAATATCAATAGTGCTGAGGTTTGAGAAATGAATTTTTAGTACCCTTAGCACATGGTTTGGACTTGTTTGCTGCAGGATGCTGGGCCTGGAAGATATAAGATTGCAAGTAGCCACGGCTCCTAAAGAATGACTGAGTGGCTGCTTCCAGAAAAGTAGGTCAGAATCAGCAGAAAAACAACTTAATGAGGCCGGGCGCGGTGGCTCACGCCTGTAATCCCAGCACTTTGGGAGGTCGAGGCGGGTGGATCACGAGGTCAGGAGTTCGAGACCAGCCTGGCCAACATGGTGAAACCCCGTCTCTACTAAAAACACAAAAATTAGCCAGGCGTGGTGGTGGGCGCCTGTAGTCCCAGCTACTCGGGAGGCTGAGGCAGAAGAATTGCTTGAACCCCGGAGGCGGAGATAGATGGCAGTGAGCCAAGACTGTGCCACTGCACTCCAGCCTGGGCAACAGAGCACGACTCCATGTCAAAACAAAACAAAAAAAAAATTAATGGTGTACTTGGGACTATACTATCAGCCTCAACAAATAGACTTGGGGCCCAGCAGCTGTGCCAAGCTCCCGAAGACCCACCAGCCTGAACTGTCCATCCCTTTTCCTCATGCAACTTTGCCACCCACATCACCCACCATCCCTCACCTTTGGTCTTCACTGGGGCAGCTCTCCATTCAACTAACTCCCCCGCGCTTAAGTTAATTATCTGAGTTTTCTTTGCAGCTTAATACTTACCAGGCCTCATGGTGTCTACTCTTCTTTTTTCTTTTTTTTCCCAGACAGAGTTTTGCTCTTATTGCCCAGGCTGGGGTGCAATGGTGCCATCTCGGCTCACTGCAACCTCCGCCTCCCAGGTTCAAGCGATTCTCCTGCCTCAGCCTCCCGAGTAGCTGGAATTATAGGCATGTGCCACCACGCCCGGGTAATTATGTATTTTTAGTAGAGAAGGGGTTTCTTTCATGTTGGTCAGGCTGGTCTCAAACTCCCAACCTCAGGTGATCAACCTGCCTCAGCCTCCCACAGTACTGGGATTACAGAAATGAGCCATTGCACCTGGCCCAGTGTCTACTTTTCTTTATCAGGCTAAACAGCTCAGGACACAGATAGAATTTGGACTTAGGTCCGTGTGAATCCAAAGGGCCATGCTCAACTGAGCAGCCGGCACTGCCTCGCTGAACAGCCAGGATTCTGGGAGTGCTACTTTGTACAACATTTTATGAAATGTTTCTGGCCTCCTTCTAGACCAGAGCAGAAAGGGGTGGTTAGGATGTTCTAAATACCAACCCCCTCTACTCCATCCCCAGGTTCATGACAACTTTTTAAGCTGAGCATACTGCAATCACTTAATTCTTCTAGACCTAAGATAAGCCAGTAGCCACGTCCACTCTGAGCCTGTGAGCAGGCAGGATCAAGTCTAAGAGCATCTCTTCTTTGGAATCTTAAGGCCTAGGATCCCAGCAGTTTTGGGGTCTAAAGACTTTTCAGGCTCCCGAAACTCCCTCTATTTTTAATAATTTTAAATGTTTCCCCAATACTTAGCTAAGCAAAGAAGGAAAAAGTGTACTTTTATTACACAGTCAGTTCTGGATAATTCTAGGGGAAATTCTTCCATTTTAGAAATCTCTGCTTTCTTCTTTTCTCCCAGATTCTTCTCATTAATTCCCTCAGTAAATATTTGTCTGTGGCAGGGTGCAGTGCTCGTGCCTGTAATCCCAGCACTTTTGGAGGCTGAGGTGGACGAATCACCTGAGGTCAGGAGTTTGAAACCAGCCTGGCCATCATGGTGAAACCTCGTCTCTACTAACAGCACAAAAATTAGCTGGGCATGGTGGTGCGTGCCTGTAATCCCAGCTACTTGGGAGGCTGAGGCAGGAGAATTGCTTGAACCAGGAGGCGGAGGTTGCAGTGAGCCAAGATCACGCCACTGCATGCCAGCCTGGGTGACAGAGCAAGACTCTGTCTCGGGAAAAAAAAAAAAAAAAAACTATATATACATACATACATATATATATATATATATATAAAATGTACATATATATTTATCTGGCACCTACTAGATGCCCCAGGTACCATGGTAGGCACAGGTGTACAGTGATGAAGAGCATTTTCCTATAAAATATTACCCAGGCTGACTCCAAGTTTTAATACCTCAGGTAGGAAAAGGAGGAGAGTGTTAGTAAAATGTTTGCCGTTGAATTTCACCAGCGTAAAAACAACATTCTGGGAAATAATTATCTGCACTTCAGTTCTTTGGGGTGGTACCGGAGGGAATCTTTACAAAGGTGGTATTAATGGAGAAGAGGAAGGGAAGGATCCTTAGTGATGGGTTGTTTTTCCAAGCACCTCGATCTAGTGGATTTCCTTTTTTTTTTTTTGAGATGGAGTTTCGTTTTTGTCGCCCAGGCTGGAGTGCAATGGCGCGATCTCGGCCCACTGCAACCTCCGCCTCCCAGGTTCAGGCGATTCTCCAGCCTCAGCCTCCGGAGTAGCTGGGATTACAGGCACTCACCACCACGCCCAGCTAATTTTTGTATTTTTAGTAGAGACGGGGTTTTGCCATGTTGGCCAGGCTGGTCTCAAACTGATCCGCCCACATTGGCCTCCCAAAGTGCTGGGATTATAGGTATGAGCCACCACGCCCAGCCAGTATTTCCTATAAATAAATGCTCCTATAAATAAATAGTACAAATACCTTTCCAAATCTGAGAACTACTAGTGAGCATCAGTTTTAGAGATAAATAGAACAAAGCTCCTTTTCTGCAGTAAGAATATATTAGCTTAATGTTGCTTTTTAAAAAAGTTTCCACTGACCTTAAAAACACTGAAATCCAAGAAATTGGATTCTGGAATCTGAGGGCGAGGGAATCCCAGGGTTGTGGACACGCGGTCACATCAACAACAAAAACAAAAAGGAAATGAAAAAAAAAAAGGGACAGCAGCCTGAAATACTAAGAATCCAGGTCCCTGCAGGAAGCCCAGGGGACTGCCAGGAACACAGCCCCATCCCGGCCACGTGATCATTCTCTAGCCTTCCCCTGGGGCCTGGAGACAAAGGAGAGGGGAGGAGACTTGGGGACAAAGAGCAAGAGCTGTAGAGTCTAGCCCTGGGGTGAGGATGCCACGGCTACCCGGCTGTGAGTTTCTGCCTTTGTTTTTTGATCTTTCCCAAAGGAAGTTAAACATTAATCCGAGCTGTAAAAGGACTAAGTAAGCAAAGGTGCCTGTGAGAACCTCTAAGGCACCTGGTCATCCAGTCTGCCCGCCACACTGAGAGCAAAGCGTAAAGGGGAAAGGCTTTCACAACCAGCTCGAGCCCCCAGCCCCTCCTTTCGGGGTTCTTCCCTGCCTTTCAGAGTCTCCCCTCCCACTTCTCCTTTGGATCTCTGGGCGAACCTCTTTCCTTTCTGCCTCCATCTTAGCATTTATGCCTTAAGTTGCTGTCCCTATGCTGAAATAAATTCATTACAGAAAAGTATGCTCCCTGATAAATGGGTATCAGGTAACGACCAATGGTGAGAAGGGAGATAGTTTTTGTTCTTTGATGTTGTTTAAAAAAATTGCAAATGTCATGACAACGAGGCCAGTCAAGAAGACAAGGTGAAAGCCGGACAGAGATTCAGGTCCTTGCATGGCTGTGGAATCCATTTCCTCTGGGTACAGTGAAACTGCTTCCCCTAGCTTCCATTTATGATGATTTCCATTATTTGGAACGTTTGTTACTCTTTCTCTCTCTTTCTGTCACACACATGGGTACAGTGAGAGCTAGATGCAGTTTAGAAACCAAATCTCTGTTGAACAGACTGTTAATTTAAATTTTTGAAAACAAGGAAAAAGGAATAAAAATTCTAGTTCTGTAGTTCAGTGTTGAGTTTATTTTCCTTGTCTTGTTATTAGGAGTTTTGCCTTTGTCTCCTACCTGCTTCTGTTCCTCTCTGATTTCTCTTGTGGCTGATGGAGAGGAATTTTGGTATTGCATGTTCTTCTGAGACTCCTGGCGATGCTTTCCCAATTATAGAGCGAAAATACTCATTATGAGGCCAGTTTTAAAAATGGCCAGCTAGGCAGATATAAGGTTTTTCATGGTTGTTTAATTAATCTGTAATTAGCTCTGAGGGCACCACTTTTCTTTAATTTTGTTTTTGTTTGTTTCTTTGTTTGTTTTTGTAATGGAGATACTTACCTACAATAGGCTGAACACAGTGAGTCACACCTGTAATCCTATCACTTTGGGAGGCCAGGCTGGAGAATAGTTTGAAGCCAGGAATTTGGGTCCAGCCTGGGAAACATAGTGAAACCCAAGTCTCAAATAAAAATAAAAATAATAATTTACATATAATAAAACGCACAGCTCTTAGAGGTACAGAGAGTGTTGACAAATGCATACACGTGTGTAGCCCACACCTCTATCAAAATATAGAACATTTCCATCACCTCCTAAGGATTTCCTCATGCCTTTTCCCAAGGGAGGGGACTCCCAACTCCCTCCCTGTCCCAGGCAACTTTGTTCTGATTTCTGTCACCATAGATTAGCTTTGCTTGTTTTAGAATTCTGTATCAATGGACTAATACAGTGTGTACTCTTTTATATATGGCTTTTATTACTTAGCATAATGCTCTGAGGTTTCTCCGTGTTGTTGCAGATATCCGTAGTTCCTTCTGACCTTCAAAACAAAGGTACCTTTGATGGAAAACCCCCACAATTTATTAAGTGCCCTATGTATAGGATCTGTTCGTAGGCACTGTGCTTGGTGTTGAAGAAGTGCAGTGGCTTTCTTCTGTGTCAACTTAGCTGAGCTGGAACATTTCCCAGAATTCCTGTCCCTGTATATTCTGGGTTAGCGTTGGCTACCAGAGAAATTTGCAGTGTTTGGAAGGTGTAGGAAACAGCAGCCTTTTTTCTTTTTTACTGCTCTGAAGGTAAAGCGCAGGCAGCAGGCACTGAGGCAGCTCCCATGCATTGTTCCAGTGACGCTTAGTTCACCGGCATGAGGCTGTATCTGGACCGCGGCTCCCCTAGCCCCATCAGAACTTCATCAGCACTCCTAGCATGTAGGTTCAAAGTGGGGAGAAGTAGACCTGGGTTCCAGTTGTCCTTGTGAGTTTCCATGTGTCCTCACTCTCATTCAGGTCCAGCTTTCTTTTCCGACGCCAGTGAGACCACAGAGACTTTAGGCTAAACAAACTAGATACAGAGGCAGCAGTCTTGTTGTTTTCCACCAGTTCCCACAATTGTGTGATTCTATATCATCCCTATATAAGTCCCTTATTCTCTATCCTTCCTAATGGCTCTGCTTCTCTGATCAAATCCTGACTGATTCAGGAGAGACATCAGCATCCATGTGGACAACACATCCAGCCAAACCAGCTTGGCCTCCTGGCTGCTTAGATTTGGAAGCCATTCGTGGTTACCTGCTATCCACTTCCGCAGTCCTCTGCTGCAGCCACGCACTGGACACTAAGAACCCTTGGAACTGCTCCACCTCTCCATCTCCCTGCTCAAATTTCGGGTTCCTCCCATTTTCTTACTCCCTTTCTCTCACTTACCTGCCCTTGGACCTCATCTAGAATTCCTGCCCTTGGCTTCTCCTTTTTGTCTCAGTCCATCAGCCTCCTCCAGCTTCCTTGTACCTCCTCTCCAATCTATACCTCACTGAATATCACCTTACCCACTTGCCTGCCAGGAGCTTCGGTGCTGTTAAGAAAAATTATTGGCTGGGCACAGCGGCTCATGCCTGTAATCCCAACACGTTGGGAGGCCGAGGCAGGCGGATCACCTGAGGTCAGGCATTCAAGACCAGCCTGGCCAACATGATGAAACCCTGTCTCTACTAAAAGTACGAAAAATTAGCCGGGCTTGGTGGCAGATGCCTGTAATCCCAGCTACTTGAGAGGCTGAGGCAGGAGAATCGCTTGAACCCAGGAGGCGGAGGTTGCAGTGAGCCAAGATCGTACCACTGCACTGCAGCCTGGGAGACAAGAGAAAAACTGTGTTAAAAAAAAAAAAAAAAAGAGAGAGAGTCCGGGCACAGTGGCTCATGCCTGTAATCCCAGCACTTTGGGAGGCCAAGGTGGGTGGATCACCTAAGGTCAGGAGCTCAAGACCAGCTTGACCAGCATGGAGAAACCCCGTCTCTACTAAAAAAATACAAAATTAGCCAGGTGTGCTGGTGGTCGCCTGTAGTCCCAGATGCTCAGGAGGCTGAGGCAGGAGAATTGCTTGAACCTGGGAGGTGGAGGTTGTGGTGAGCCGAGATCGTGCCATTGCACTCCAGGTTGGGCAAGAAGAGTGTGAAACTCTGTCTCAAAAAAAAAAAAAAAAAAATGTATCCAAAACTTGGAAACAAGAAAAGAGGATGACTGCATGTCCTTTCAAAGTTGTTTAATGTGGTTTACAGGCTCACTCAAGGATTATTTAATTATTTAGAAGAATAAATCCTCTTAGAACCCTGGGTTTTTAGGCCAAAGTCTCACCTATTTATTTTCTTTTTTTTTCTTTTCTTTTTTTTTTTTTTTTTGAGGTGGAATCTCGCTCTGTTGCCCAGGCTGGAGTGCAGTGGCACAATCTCAGCTCACTGCAACCTCTGCCTCCCGGGTTCAAGCAATTCTCCTGCCTCAGCCTCCGGAGTAGCTGGGACTACAGGCACATGCCACCATGCTTGGCTAATGTTTCTATTTTTAGTAGATACAGGGTTTCACCATGTTGGCCAGGATGGTCTCAATCTCTTGACCTCGTGATCCAACCATCTCGACCTACCAAAGTGCTGGGATTACAGGCGTGAGGCACTGCGCCTGGCCAGCCTCACCTATTTCATTATATTCCCTTAAATGTACAGTCATGGGTCACTTCACAATGGGGATACATTCTGAGAAATGTGTTGTTAGGTGATTTTGTGGTTGTGCAAGCATCATACAGTGTGCTTACCCAAACTTGGATGATGTAGCCTGCTATACAACTAGGCTATATGGTGTAGCTTATTGTTCCTAGGCTATAACCTGCATAACATGTTACTGTACTAAGTACTGTAGACAGTTGTAGCACAATGGTAAGTATTTGTGTATCTAAACATACTTCAACAGAAAAGGTACAGTAAAAATATGGTATAACAGATTAAAAATGGTACATCCATATAGGGAAGTTACCATGAATGGAACTTGCAGGACTGGAAGTGAGTGAGTGAGTGGGTGAGTGAATGTGAAGTCCTAGGATATGATCATACACTACTATAGACTTTATAAATGCTGTACACTTAGGCTACATGAAATTAAAAATATATCTTTTTCTTGGACGGGCATGGTAGCTCATGTCTGTAATCCCAGCACTTTGGGAGGCCGAGGTGGGTGGGTCACTTGAGATCAGCAATTCAAGACCAGCCTGGCCAACATGGTGAAACCCTGTCTCTACCAAAATATACAAAAATTAGCCACATGTGATGGCGTGTGTATGTAGTCCCAGCTACTCGGGAGGCTGAGGTAGGAGAATCGCTTGAACCTGGGAGGCAGAGGTTGCAGTGAGCAGAGATAGCACCATTGCACCCCAGCCTGGGCAACAGAGTGAGACCCTGTCTCAAAATAAATAAACAAATAAAAATAAAAAGATGTCCAGTGCCTAATCTAATCAACATTGATTGGAAAGGCAGATGATTAAGCACAAATAAAGCCTGTTTAGTCAAGAAATTTACTATTGGATACATAAGATGAATCTATATATAAAAATGAAAAGGCAATGTTAGAGCTATGTAGGAATGAATGCAAATTAATAAAATGTCATTGGAGTAAGAACAGAACTTACTGACAAGACAAGATTTCCATTGAAATCTTAGTGTGTGTGGCTTTTTTTTTTTTTAGATGGAGTCTTGCTCCGTTGCCCAGTCTGAAGTGCAACGGCTCGATCTCTGCTCACTGCAACCTCCACCTCCCGGGCTTAAGCAATTCTCCTGCCTCAGCCTCCTGAGTAGCTGGGATTACAGGCACCCATCACTACGTCTGGCTAATTTTTGTATTTTTAGTAGAGACGGGTTTTCACCATGTTGCCCAGACTGGTCTTAAACTCCTGACTTCAAATGATCCACCAGCCTCAGCCTCCCAAAGTGCTGGGATTACAGGCATGAGCCACTGTGCCCAGCCATCCTAGTGATTTTTTTAATCTATATATATATATATATATATATATATTTTTTTTTTTTTGAGACAGGTCTCGCTCTATCACCCAGGCTGAAGTACAATGGCACAATCATGGCTCATTGCAGCCTCGATCTCCCAAGCTAAAGCGATCCTTCCACCTCAGCGTCCCAAGTAGCTGAGGCTACAGGTGTGTGCCACCATACCCATTTAGTTTTTTTAAATTTATTTTTCTTTTGTAGAGACAGGGTCTCACCATGTTACCCAGGTTGGTCTTGAACTCCTGGGCTCAAGCGATCCTCCAAGGCCTCCCACCTCAGCCTCCCAAAGTTCTAGGATTATAGGTATGAGCCACTGTGGCCCCTCTAGATTTTTAAATGATGTTATTATTTGCAGTAATTCTTCAATTCATAGGAACTTAATCTCAGGGCACAGCAAGAGACAGAACTTCAATGCATTTTTTTTTTTTTTTTTTTTTTGAGACAGAGTCTCACCCTGTCGCCCAGGCTGGAGTGCAATGGTGCGATCTCAGCTCACTGCAAGCTCCGCCTCCTGGGTTCACACTGTTCTCCTGCCTCAGCCTCCCGAGTAGCTGGGACTACAGGCATCTGCCACCACGACCAGCTAATTTTTTTTTTGTATTTTTGGTAGAGACAGGGTTTCGCCCTGTTAGCAAGAATGGTCTTGATCTCCTGACCTCCTTCGTGATCCACCCACCTCGGCCTCCCAAAGTGCTGGGATTACAGGCATGAGCCACCACGCCTGGCAATGCATTTTTTAAATAACCATTTTTTCCCATACCATTGAATGAATTATCCATCTCTTTCCAGGGGAATGAAATTCCCCTGTAAAGATGAGCCCTTGACTCACACCTCTAATCCCAGCACTTTGGGAGGCTAAGGCGGGCGGATCACTGGAGGCCAGGAGTTTGAGACCATCCTGGCCAACATGGTGGAAACCTGTCTCTGCTAAAAATGCAAAAAGCAGTCAGGCATAGTGCATGCACCTGTAGTCTCAGCTACCCGGGAGTCTGAGGCACTAGAATCACTTGAACCTGGGAGGTAGAGGTTGCAGTGAGCCAAGACAGCACTACTGCACTCCAATCTAGGTGTGGAGAGACACTCTGTCTCATTAAAAAAAAAAAAAAAAAAAGATGAGCCCTCAATTACAAACTTCTTTTGGGATCAATATCAATCAGAAGTTATTAAGTGCTATAGTTTGTCTGATGCAGAAGTAAACATTTAAAGTTTTGACATAAACTTTAGGGTTGGCAAGAGCATTAAGTGAGTTAATGCATACATGTTAGCTATTACATCACAAATCACTGAAATGTTGTAGTTTAATGTCAAATTATTACAAGTTGCTAAAATAGACTTGCATGGGAATCTAAAGTACAGTAAAAATAATGCTTAATTATTAGCCAAAGTGCTCTCTCAGCTAAAATGTTTACTCATTGGTCTGCCATGAATGCTTTCAAATAACAATCATTCTTTTTGGTGTTCAGGAAAAGATCAGTATCCAGACTTAAATTTGGGAGCTCTGAAAGGAAAGCAATGAACTTTCCCTCCAACACTTTTGGATGTTTTTATGTACTCCCTCAACCCCATGGGCCCCCACGGTACCCTTATGATACTTTTGGGAACCATGATGTCTCTTTCTTCTGAAAAGCTCAATGCTGCACTCTGGTACTATTGCCTGATATTAATATGTAGTTATTTATTTTTTAACTTTATGTGTATGTCTGATCCCTCCCAACTGGGATGGAAGCTTCTCAAGAACAGGATCTGACTTGGCACAGTGGCTCACGCCTGTCATCCCAGCACTTTGGAAGGCTTAGGCAGGAGGATCACTTGCACTCAGCAGTTTGAGATCTGCCTGGACAACATGACGGAACCACGTCTCCACAAAAAAACACAAAAATTAGCTGGGTGTGGTAGCGCTTGCCTGTAATCCCAGCTACTCAGGAGGCTGAGGTGGGAAGATTGGTTAAGCCTGGGAGGTTGAGGCTGTAGGGAGCCATGATTGTGCCATTGCACTTCCAGCCTGGGCATGACTCTGACTAAAAAAAAAAAAAAAAAGTAAATAAGTTACAAATTAATACCATACGAGCCTGTGCTTCATTACAGTGATTAGAAAGGTCCTAAAAGGCTCTGATGCCTGAAATATGTCTCTCAAAGACATGCTTCTGTGCCTTAGAGCCTCCACTATTGCTTACTTCTTTTATTTTTATTTACGTATGTATGTATGTATGTATGTATGTATTTATTTATTTTTGAGACAGAATCTTGCTCTTGTTGCCCAGGCTGGAGTGCAGTGGCGTGATCTCAGCTCACTGCAACCTCTGCCTCCCAGGTTCAAGCAATTCTCCTGCTTCAGCCTCCCAAGTAGCTGGGATTACAGGTGTCCGCCACCATGCGTGGCTAATTTTTTTGTATTTTTAGTAGAGATGGGTTTTCACCATGTTGGCCAGGCTGGTCTTAAACTCCTGACCTCAGGTGATTGCCCACCTCGGCCTCCCAAAGTGCTGGGATTACAGGTGTGAGCCACCGTGCCCGGCCATGTATTTATTTTTTTGAGACAGGGTCTCGCTCTCTTGCCCAGGCTGGAGTGCAGTGGTGTGATTATGGTTCATGGCGGCCTCAGCCTCCTAGGCTCAAGAGATCCTCCTACCTCAGCCTCCTGAGTAGCTGGGACCACAGGCACCACCACATTAGCCACCACGCCTGGATGATTTTTTATTTTTATTTTTTGAGACAGAGTTTTGCTCTTGTTGCCCAGGCTGGAGTGCAATGGCGTGATCTTGGCTCACTGCAACCTCCACCTCCTGGGTTCAAGCGATTCTCCTGCCTCAGCCACCCTAGTAGCTGAGATTACAGGCATGTGCCACCATGCCCAGCTAATTTTGTATTTTTAATAGAGATGGGGTTTCTCCATGTTGGTCAGGCTGGTCTTAAACTCCCGACCTCAGGTGATTTGCCCACCTCGGCCTCCCAAAGTGCTGGGATTATAGGCGTGAGCCACTGCTCTTGGCTGATTTTTGTATTTTTTGTAGAGATGGGGTTCCACCGTGTTGCCCGGGCTTCGCTTGCTTTTTTTAGATAAAATGTTGTCTCCAGGCCAGATGTGGTGGCTCACACTTGTAATCCCAGCGTTTTGAGAGGTCGAGGGGGGAGGATCACTTGAGCCTAGGAGTTTGAGACCAGCCTGGGCAGTATAGTGAGACCCCTGTTTCTACAAAAAATAAAAAATTAGCCAGGCGTGGTGTTTCGTACCAGCTACTTGGGAGGCTGAGGCAGGAGGATTGCTTGAGCCCAAGAGGCTGAAGCTGCAGTGAGCTGTGAGTGTGCCACTGGACTCCGGCCTGGGCAAGAGAGTGAGACTCTGTCTCAAAAACAAACAAACGTGGCCGGGTGCGGTGGCTCATACCTGTAATCCCGATACTTTGGGATGCTGAGGCGGGCGGATCACTTGAGGCCAGGAGTTCAAGACCAGCCCGGCCAACATGGCGAAACTCCATCTCTACTAAAAATTCAAAAATCAGCCAGATGTGGTGGTGTGTGCCTGTAGTCCCAGCTACTCGGGAGGCTGAGGCACGAGAATCACTTGAACCCAATAGGTGGGGGTTGCTGTGAGCCAAGATCATACGAATGTATTCCAGCCTGGGTGATAAGGCAAGATCTTGTCTCAAAACAAAAAACAATAACAACAACAACGAAAACACAAAGAACAAAACAAAACCAAAGAAACACAAACTTTGTCTCCAGAAGGCCTCTATTAGAATCTAAATACCTAACCTTCGAGGTGTAACTCACTAGCACGTTGTCTCTCTAACAGTTTCCTAGCAGACAGTTCAGGTCTAGGATTGTATCCAGGGACAGAGCTAGAGAAGCCGGAGCCCCACTGTGGGGATGCTGATGAGGCAGACCCCTCAGTGAGGCCAGTGAACAGATGAGTCCACTGGGCTGGGCACCTGTGAGATGGGGCAGAGGAACACCCAGATAGGTTAAAGGGCATCTTGACACAACCAGAGTTTATCTGTAGCATAGTCTTCACAAACCAAGCCAGAACCCAAGCCAGAGCCGCATGAGAGTGAATTCCCATCTGGCTTTGGGGGACAAATGACTCATCCAAGGCTACACTCAGCGCTGAGTGGTGACTGGGAGCCAGTGCGCTCTGCTGACTGCTCCACTTTCAGAAATACTTGCAGATCTCAATTATCTAATTGCAATTGCAACGAGAACCAAAGCAGGGGAGCAGAGACAAACAATTTCTGAGGTAACCAGATGGCTTTATTAACTCAAGTTCTCACCTAAAATTGCCCTCAAGAATCCTGTGGGAATGGGTTGCAGTGGTGTGGCCCTGGATTCACAACCGACAGAGCTTCTGAATTCTGAGTGATCTGTACACAAACACACCTCTGCCTGGGTTACACGGTAAGGGCCTCATGTACATAATCGCAGCATGCTTTCCTAGAAATCGCTTGGTAGCGTGATGGGTGGGATTCAGAAGTCAGCAGGAACCCAAAGTGAGTGGAGAGGTCATGGCCATGAGTCAGAGGCCTCTATCCTTCAGCAGCCTCCAACAGGAAGCAGACAGGGAAGGTTCCTATAGTTACAAGGGCTTGGCTGGTTTATTACTTTCATTCTAATGGGCGTTTTTATAAGACATAAGCAAAGTACGAAATATTTTATAGCCATTCGGAGAGGAAGTCCGCCACACATTTCAAAGAATGAATGCCCTCTGTAAGGATAAGCAGCTAACTACAAGCTTCTTTTGGAATTGACTAGAAGTTATTAAGTACCAAAGCTTATCTGATACTCAAATAAATATTTCTCTAAGTTTTGACTCTTGAGAGGTAAACTTCAAGGTTGACAGCACCGAGGCTATGTGGTATACTAAAAGGGTGTGGGATTTAGAGTCCCACAGACCTAGGATCAAGATTTATGGCCACCATTCACCAACACCAACAATAGGATCTTGGGTTTTACTTAATTTTGGTTAACTAGTTTTCTCATTTGTAAAATAAAAATAAATGATACCTAGCTCACAGTTTCTGTGAAGATTAAGTGAGATAATATGAAAGAAATCACATTGTACTTACCAAATGTTTCGTGTTCTTTTCTCTTCCTTCATATGTGTTAAGCTGAATTAACAAACTACTAAGTAAGATTTCTTTTTTTTTTTTTTTTCCCGAGACAGGGTCTTGCTCTGCCGCCCAGGCTGGAGTGCAGTGACATGATCATGGCTCACTACAGCCTTGACCTTCACCTCCCAGGTGCAAGCCATCCTCTCGCCTCAGCCTCTCATGTAGCTGGGACCACAGGCATAAACCACCATGCCTGGCCAATTTTTTTAATTTTTAGTAAAGACAGGGTCTCACTGTGTTGCCCAGGCTGGCCTCAAATTCCTGGGCTCTCCAATCACATTTGGGATTAGGTAAAAAATTAAAAACAAAAAAAAATAAAAAAAAACTTCTGGGCTCAAGTGTTCCTCCCACATCAGCCTCCCAAAGTGCTGGAATTACAGGGATGAGTCATAATGCCTGGCCTAAACCACTTACTCTTTTTTTTTTTTTTTTTGAGACGGAGTTTTGCTCTTGTTGCCCAGACTGGAGTGCAACGGCACAATCTTGGCTCACTGCAACCTCTGCCTTCCTAGTTCAAGTGATTCTCCTGCCTCAGCCTCCTGAGTAGCTGGGATTACAGGTGTGTGCCACCACGGCCAGCTAATTTTGTATTTTCAGTAGAGACGGGGTTTCTCCATGTTGGTAAGGCTGGTCTCGACTCCTGACCTCAGGTAATCCGCCTGCCTAGGCCTCCCAAAGTGCTGGGATTACAGGCATGAGCCACCATGCCCAGCCTTTTTGTTGTTGTTGTTGTTTTTGAGACAGGGTCTTGCTGTGTTGCCCAGGCTGGAGTGCAGTGGTACGAACTTGGCTCACTGCAACCTCTTCCTCCCAGGTTCAAGCCATTCTCCTGCTTCAGCCTTCCCAGTAGCTGGGACTACATGTGGGCACCACCGCACCTGACTAATTTTTGTGTTTTTAGTAGAGACAGGGTTTTACCATGTTGGCCAGGCTGGTCTCAAACTTCTTCTTTCTTTCTTTCTTTCTTTTTTTTTTTTTCCTTGAGACAGAGTCTCACTCTGTCACCCAGGCTGGAGTGCAGTGGCGTGATCTCGGCTCACTGCAACCTCCACCTCCTGGGATCAAGCAATTCTTCTGCCTCAGCCTCCCGAGTAGCTGGGACTATGGGCGCACGCCACCACATCCAGCTAATTTTTGTATTTTTAGTAGAGATGGGGTTTCACCATATTGGCTAGGCTGGTCTTGAACTTCTGACCTCAAGTGATCCACCCGCCTCAGCCTCCCAAAGTGCTGGGATTACAGGCATGAGCCACTGAGCCCAGCCCTACTAAGGAAGATTTCTGGCCAGTAGCCAAATAGGACTTTGAAAATCTTTAAGAATAGGAAGAATCTGAAAAATAATCTTCAAAAAAGAAAGCAGCATGTTTCATGAAAATGTGTAATTATGTATAACTGGTAGTGGCCAGCCAATGCTAATTCTACTAATTCTGTGTACTAGAGTTATCTATGTGGATATCTAGAAACTCCTCAAGGGAATGTGTGAGGATGGAGAATTCATCTTGTTGACCATGAATCTCTACAGAACTAAGTACAGAGCCTTATAGTTTGATAATTCATTGAAACAGAATCATTTTATATCCCCTTCGCACTAACTGGTTCTGAAATACCATTCTCCTTGGGTAATTTTGTTTTTTTGTTTTTTGTTTGTTTGAGACAGTCTCACTCCGTTGCCCAGGCTGGAGTACAGTGGTGGGCACTATATCGTCTCACTGCAACCTCCACCTCCTGGGTTCAAGTGATGCTCCTGCCTCAGCCAACCGAGTAGCTGGAATTACAGGCATGTGCCAGCACGCCCGGCCAATTTTTGTTTTTTTAGTACAGACGAAGTTTCACCATGCTGGGCAAGCTGGTCTTGAACTCCTGGCCTCAAGAGATCTGATTGCTTTGACCTCCCAAAGTGCAAGGATTACAGGCATGAGCCACTGTGCCTGGCCTCTTCAGGTAATTTTGGATCCCCTAAAGGCTCACTCACAGGCCGGCTCTCACATTTTTGCCCACACTTTATGTTCAAAACATGTATCAGTGGTTACCTATGCTTTCGGACAGAATATTCCTACAAGAGTGAGCCAGCTTGCACCACAGACAAGCCAAACTATGCCTGTGTCCTTATCTATCGCTGCATAATCCCAATGGTTAGTGATCTCCATTCCACGGACCCCGTGCTGTCTCATACAAAGCATTTCGGACTTAAGGATAGAAGCAAACTGCCATGTCCTCTATGCCATGATGCTTACTAATCCTTTACCACTCTGAGATTTTCTTGGAGCTATTTATAGCTGATTTTCCTGGGCTGACTTTCGACCAAAGAGGAGATGGAAACTTTGTTCTTAACAGTGCTCCAACTGTGTGATTCAACTTGGCTGCATTCCAGCAAGTTCTGTGAGTTGTTAATGGAGGTGAGAAAGGAGTGGGGTGGGGAGTCACAGGGATGCTAACTGTAGATCTGCTTTTTCTCTTTTTTTTAAATGTTTGTTTTTAGAGACAGGGTCTTGCTCTGTTGCTGAGCCTGGAGTGTAGTGGCATAATCATGGTTCGTTGAAGCCTCAAACTCCTGGGCTAAAACGATCCTCCCACCTCAGCCTCTCAAGTAGCTGGAACTACAGGTATGCATCACCAGGCCTGGCTAATTAAAAAAAAAAAATTTATAGAGACAGGGGTCTTGCTATGTTCCTCAGGCTGGTCTCAACTCCTGTCCTCAAGCAATCCTCTGACCTTAGCCTCCCAAAGTGCTGCAATTTCAGTTGTAAGCCACCATGCCCAGCCCTGCAGATTTGCTTTTTTTTTTTTTTTTTTTTGAGACGGAGTTTCGCTGTTGTTGTCTAGGCTGGAATGCAATGGTGCGATCTCTGCTCACCGCAACCTCTGCCTCTGGGGTTCAAGTGATTCTCCTGCCTTAGCCTCCTGAGCAGCTGGGATTACAGGCATGCACCACCACGCTCGGCTAATTTTGTGTTTTTAGTAGAGACGGGGTTTCTCCATGTTGGTCAGGCTGGTCTTGAACTCTCAACCTCAGGTGATCTGCCCACCTCAGCCTCCCAAAGTGCTGGGATTGCAGGCGTGAGTCACAGCGCCCAGCCTAGATTTGCTTTCTATAGGACTTTATATTGTCATCCTCATCACCACTATTTTAACAAGCTGCTAGTTTACCTAGTAAATCCTACATGAAATAGAAATGTGGTCATTATTGGCTGGTGCAGTGGCTCACGCCTGTAGTCCCAGCACTTTAGGAGGCCGAAGCGGGTCGATCACAAGGTCAGGAGTTCGAGACCAGCCTGGCCAACATGGTGAAACCTCGTCTCTACTAAAAATACAAAAATTAGCCAGGTGTGGTGGTGCGCACCTGCAATCCCAGCTACTGGGGAGGCTGAGGCAGGAGAATTGCTTGAACCCAGGAGGCAGAGGTTGCAGTGAGCTGAGATCGCGCCACTGCACTCCAGCCTGGGGGACAGAGCAAGACTCTGTCTGCGTGGGGGGGAAAAGGAAGAAGTTTGAGACCAGCCTGGACAACATGGTGAAATGCTGTCCCTGCTAAAAATACAAAAATTAGCCAGGCGTAGGCCGGGTGCGGTGGCTCACACCTGTAATCCCAGCACTTTGGGAGGCCAAGGCAGGCGGATCACAAGGTCAGGAGATTGAGACCATCTTGGCTAACACTGTGAAACGCCGTCTCTACTAAAAATACAAAAAAATTAGCCAGGTGTAGTGGCGGGCGCCTGTAGTCCCAGCTGCTGGGGAGGCTGAGGCAGGAGAATGGCGTGAACCCAGGAGGCAGAGCTTGCAGTGAGCCAAGATCATGCCACTGCACTCCAGCCTGGGCAACAGAGCGAGACTGTCTCAAAAAAAAAAAAAAAAAAAAAAAAAATTAGCCAGGCGTGGTGGCTGGCGGCTGCAATCCCAATCCCAGCTACTTGGGAGGCTGAGGCAGGAGAATCACTTGAACCCAGGAGGCAGAGGCTGCAGTGAGCCACGATCACACCACTGCGCTCCAGCCTGGGTGACAGAGCAAGACTCCATCTCAAAAAAAAAAAATGTGGTTATTACTTTATCTATTCACAACACTTCCCTACAGACTCCTGGAGTTCACCTTCTTTCCGTAAACAGGGAACCAACCAACAGACACGACATATCCTCCCTCTCCCACTACTCTATCCACATTCTTGGTTTCCTTTTTTCTTTCACTTCCTTCTGGAACTTGAGAGCTTGTTTGGAGGTTCTAGCAGGGGAGCACAGCTACTTGTATACCCTTGACTGAAGACCAGTCCTCTATCGGGGCTGGTCGTCCTCTTCGACCTAGCATGCAGCTTTGGGAGGGACGCACATGGAGCGGTGAGAGAGGAAGGAGACACCTACCTATCCAGCCAGATCAGCTGAATCAACCCTGGCGATCAATGGGGTGACAGATGTCGTAGGAACCTTATCAATCTGGGTATTCTGAGTCAGTTTCGTGTACAGTGATGATGATGATTATGTATAGCTCAGCCAGACTATGACACTTGACAACTCCCTCATCCTGAGTAGGAGTACAAATAAAATTAAGTTTGTGACATTTAGTTCATTCTTTTTTTTTTTTTTGAGGTGGAGTCTGGCTCTGTCACCCAGGCTGGAGTACAGTGGTGCAATCTCAGCTCACTGCAACCTCTGCCTGCTGGGTTCAAATGATTCTCCTGCCTAGCCTCCCAAGTACCTGGGATTACAGGCACACACCACTATGCCCGGCTAATTTTTTTTGTATTTTTAGTAGAGACGGGGTTTTGCCATGTTGGCCAGGCTGGTCAAGTGATCCAACTGTCTAGGTCTCCCAAAGTGCTGGGATTACAGGCATGAGCCACCACGCCAGGCCCGTTTAGTTCATTCTTACTACACACCTTGATTTTCCATGAACATCTCAGGAATCGGAACATACAGATAATTCCAGAAAGGAGAGGAATCTGTGTATTTTTCTTCTTTTGTTTCCTTATTATGCCTTGTGAGAGGCCAATGCATGAGTTTTTAACTAGGTCCATGAGAACCCACAGAGACAGCCTCGTTTGACCCAGTCTGGTTATCAGAAGAGGGAAGTTCCTTATAATTGTGTATGTATACCTGGTTGGTTCACAGATGTCCTTAAACATGAGAACGACTATGTCTGAAAAAAACTCTCAAGTTTCACCGGGGCTGTTGCACACCCTATAAATGACCCATCATAAAGACCTCACCCCTCTCTGATAGGATAAGGCAAAGGTTAAGGTCCATCCTGTTAGCCACACTCTATTTTCCTTCTAGCTAGGCCAGAACATAATATCTGGAACCAACTGTTCTCTCTCTCAGCTGGCTGTAAGAATGCTGTATGCTTTTTTTTTTTTTTTTTTTTGAGACAGGCTCTTGCTCTGTCGCCCAGGCTGGAGTGCAGTGGTGTGATCTCGGCTCACTGCAGCCTCTGCCTCCTGGGTTCAAACGATTCTCCTGCCCCAGCCTCCTGAGTAGCTGGGATTACAGGCACACGCCACCATGCCAGGCTAATTTTTATATTTTTAGTAGAGACAGGGTTTCACCATGTTGGCCAGGCTGGTCTCGAACTCCCGACTTCAGGTGATCCGCCCCCCTCGGCCTCCCAAAGGGCTGGGGTTACAGGCTGTATGCTTTTTATAGTGTTGGGTGGTTAAGTCTTACACAAAGTAAATGCCCAGTAAATACTTATTACTGGTCATGACTCAACCATTCAGGTTGTTACTAAGCTAAGACCAGTCACCCCATAGTCCCTGCCATACCATATGCTCCCAGAGAGAGCACTTCTGGCCCTCCCTATGATGGCTGCCACCACCACTACTTTGTGGGGAAGAATAGTCATCCTGACGGTTAGTCATCCCTAACCTTTGGACTAACTATTCACAATTCAGTTTAGGCTGATTTCTCTTTGCACCTTATATTCCTATGTGCCTCAGTCACTAGAAGAATAAGCCTTCTAGATCATCCAACATGGATAGATCATCAACAGTGGATACTATCCCAGTACCCTGAGTCCACTGCTAATCTGATCAAGCCCCTCTCCCTCTCCTTCCCAAATTCTTCAATGTGCCTTTGCAACTCCAGATCTGTCGCCATCAAATGTCTTTGTAGCCTCGTCCTCTTCTTTGAATGTTCCCTTCACCACTTGGCAATAAATGAACCTGGCTGTCCCTGAGCAGCCCATCTCCTGAGCAGTCCTCTGAGGTAGAAGCTGCTTTACTTTTCCCCTGACATTTCAGGCTCCTAAGGGCCAGGGGGTATAGTAGGTTTCCTACTTGCCATTTCCAAACTGTTCCTTGCCTCTCCTCCTTCAGACACGCAGCTTCTTTGAAGCCTCTCTGATGACCTCCTAACCTTCCAGCTCACTTACTCAAGAACTCCCACTGTCTCAGTTCTTCAACTGTATCTGACACCATTTCTCTCTTCTCTTATCTTCACTTCCCAACCTCACTTAAGTTCCAGGGCCCAGCATTTTTATTCCACATTTGCAAATACTGTCCACAACAAACTTATCCTTCTCTCTTCTATCGTATTTTATTTCTAAACAGAGTCTCGCTCTACAATAGTCACTTTTAAAATTATTTATTAGCCAGGCGAGGTGGTTCATGCCTGTAATCCCAGCATTTTGGGAGGCCAAAGCGGGCAGATCACCTGAGGTCAGGAGTTTGAGACCAGCCTGGCCAACATTGCGAAACCCCATCTCTACCAAAAATACAACAATTAGCCAGGTGTGGTGGCACGTGCCTATAATCCCAGCTACTCTGGAGGCTGAGGCAGGAGAATTGCTTGAACCTGGGAGGCGGAGGTTACACTGAGCTGAGATCACGCCACTGCACTCCAGCCTGGGCAACAGAGCGGGACTCTGTCTCAAAAAAAAAGACTACCATTCAGACCATTCAGCAAACTCCAGTGCCCAGGCGGCCTGGTCCTCCATCTCACCCTTCGCTCCATCTTGCCCTTAGCCTGAGCAACCCTGCACCCTGCTCCTTCTCCCCCTGGTCATTTGCGGTCACAGTGCACCAAGAGAAGAGGACGCCACCTTCCTGGTCTCATCCCTACTCAGGTGTGCACCCTTTGCTAGGGCCCGTGCCTCCACCCAGGTCAGAGCTTGGAGATTCACCCTCTTGCTTTCACGTTTAAATAAGATGCAAGCAAGGGCCGGGCGCAGTGGCTCACTCCTGTAATCCCAGCACATTGGGAGGCCGAGGCGGGTGGATCACGAGGTCAGGAGATCAAGACCATCCTGGCTAACACGGTGAAACTCCGTCTCTACTAAAAATACAAAAAATTAGCTGGGCGTGGTTGTGGGCGCCTGTATATTCCCAGCTACTCAGGAGGCTGAGGCAAGAGAATGGCGTGAACCCAGGAGGCGGAGCTTGCAGTGAGCCAAGATCACGCCACTGCACTCCAGCTTGGGCAACAGAGCCAGACTCCGTCCCAAAAAGAAAAAAAAAAGATGCAGGCAAAGGCTGCTGTAGAATAGGCGCTGCACACTTGCTCATAAGCACTTGGTAGAAGCACATAATAGGTGCTTAATATTTACTGAAAAGTCTAGTCCCTAGTAAGTGCCCAAAACCTGGTGAAAGGCCAGGTGCGGTGGCTCACGTCTGTAATCCCAGCACTTTGGGAGGCCAAGGCGGGTGGATCACCTGAGGTCAGGAGTTTGAGACCAGCCTGGCCAACATGGTGAAACCCGTCTCTACTAAAAATAAAAAAATTAGCTGGATATGGTAGCAAGCGCCTGTAGTCCCAGCTACTCGGGAGGGTGAAGCAGGAGAATTGCTTGAACCTGGGAGGTGGATGTTGCAGTGAGCCGAGATCGCGCCACTGCACTCCAGCCTGGGTGACAGAGTGAGACTCTGTCTCAAAAAAAAAAAAAACCACAAGCAAAACCTGGTGAAAATAAAGCACCTGTCAACAATGCTTGGTGCCCAATGCCTGGCACTTAATATATGCTCCATGAGTGGCAGTTATAATTGTTGCTATATTCTATCAGTGTTCCACACTAATTGACATAAACTTTACAAATATGCTGAGTTGGCCAGGTGCGGTGGCTCACACCTGTAATCCCAGCACTTTGGGAGGCAGAGGTGGGAGGATTACTTGAGTCCAGAAGTTCAAGACCAACCAGAGCAAGATGGCGACACCTCCAACTACATTAAAATAAATAAATAAATAAATAACATTCAAAATCCTAACCTTTCCTTAAGGCATTGTATAAGCTCACACCTGCCCTCTCTCAGTCACCACATCTCTCTCAATCACCAAACTCCAGCCCCATTGACCTCCTTTCTGTTCTTCCAGCATACCTTGTCCATCTTATCAATAGCAATATGACACATTAGGTCAAATGTGTTCCTGAAATCAAGGTAGGTTATTATTTAAAGCAGTAGCTCTCAGTCAAAAGTGGTATTGCCATTCTCAGAGGGCTGGGAAATGTGTGGAGACTTTTTTGAGGACTGTCAAAATGACTAAGGGGATTGAATGGGTAGAGGTTAATCTCCATGAAACGTTAAGAATATCCTATCTAAAATTCCAGTAGTGCTCCATGTAGAGACATTTAGTGCAAAACATTCTTGTGTCCACAAAAAGACTTGTGTAAGAATGTTCATAACAACTTTATTCATAATAGTCCCAAATTGGAAACATCCTGCATTTTGCTAATTTGCTGCATTACGTTGTTGTTGTTGTTGTTGTTGTTGAGATGGAATTTCGCTCCTGTTGCCCAGGCTGGAGTGCAATGGCAAGATCTCAGCTCACTGCAACCTCCGCCTCCTGGGTTCAAACGATTCTCCTGCCTCAGCCCCCTGAGTAGCTGGGATTACAGGCATGTGCCACCACACCCAGCTAATTTTGTATTTTTAGTAGAGACGGGGTTTCACCATGTTGGTCAGGGCGGTCTCAAACTCCCAACCTCAGGTGATCCACCTGCCTTGGCCTCCCAAAGTGCGGGGATTACAAGTGTGAGCCACTGCACTCGGCCTTGCTTTTAATTGTAATAGATATCACTTAATAAGCGTCTACATGTTAATTAACTAAACTTTAGTTTAAGTGCTTACTATATAGTGCTTTATATTTTACAAAAGAATTTAAAGTGGAAAAAGATATGAAAAAGGGCTTTTTTCATGGTAAAGGGTTAGAAGTTTGGCTTTTGGAAACAAAGCTAATTTTTAGGCTGGACGTGGTGGCTCACACCTGTAATCCCAGCACTTTGGGAGGCTGAGGCCAGTAGATTACTTGAGGTCAGGAGTTTGAGACCAGGCTGGTCAACATGGCAAAAACCCATCTCTACCAAAAATACAAAAATTAGCTGGGCGTGGTGGTGCATGCCTGTAATCCTAGCTACTCAGGAGGCTGAGGCATGAGAATTGCTTGAACCTGGGAGGCGGAGGTTGCAGCGAGCCAAGATCCTGCCACTGCACTCCAGCCTGGGTGACAGAGTGAGACTCCATGTCAAAAGAAAAAAAAAAGTTGGCCGGACGTGGTATCTCACACCTGTAATCCTAGCACTTTGGGAGGCTGAGGTGGGCAGATCACTTGAGGTCAGGGGTTCCAGACCAGCCTGGCCAACCTGGCAAAACCCCCGTCTCTACTAAAAATACAAAAATTAGCTGGGCCTGGTGGCATGTGCCTGTAATCCCAGCTACTTAGGAAGCTGAGGCAGGAGAATCGCTTGAACCCAGGAGGCAGAGGTTGCAGTGAGCCAAGATTGTGCCACAGCACTCCAGCCTGGGCAACAGAGTGACACTCCATCTAAAAAAAAAAAGAAAAGTTAATTTTTAATGACAGATACAATGACATGGTAGAAATTCTACATATACATTTACATATTATATATATATTAAGGTGAACTCTGAATGTACAGATGCAAACTATTGTTATAAACTTAAACCAACCAAATATTATCCCCCACTCTGTGGAGTATATCCTATGAACCCAGGTTCTTTGGGATATGTGAGAAAAACTAATGAACAAGTAGCATAAATATAAAACTATTAACAAAGAAGATCTAGAATAGAGAGGGATTTGCTGCATAGTGGTTAAGGACTTTTACTCTTCATTCTATATAAAGGACTTTTGTTTTCTACTCATCTATTACTCATGGGATAACAAAAATTTTTAGAACTGGTAGTCTAATTTTATATATATATATATATATATATATATATATATATATATATATATATATATATATATTTTTTTTTTTTTTTTTTTAGACAGAGTTTTGCTCTTGTTGCCCAGGCTGGAGTGCAATGGCATGATCTTCGCTCACCACAACCTCCGCCTCCTGGGTTCAAGTGATTCTCCTGCCTCAGCCTCCCAAGTATCTGGAATTACAGGCATGTGCCACCATGCCCAGCTAATTTTTATATTTTTAGTAGAGACAGGTTTTCACCAGGTTGCCCAGGCTGCTCTCAAACTCCTGACCTCAAGTGATCCACCCGCTTTGGCCTCCCAAAGTGCTGGGATTACAGGCGTGAGCCACCATGCCTAGCCTGAAAATATTAATAAATGTGCTTAAATATGGCACTAGAACTACAAAAGATTCACAATTAAAACATAAAACGAGTAATTTTGAGCAAAGAATGACAAATTGAGAAGGTGTTAATGAGGTACTAAAATAAACAATACCGGCCGGTGCAGTGGCTCATGCCTGTAATCCCAGCACTTTGGGAAGCTGAGGCGGGTGGATCACCTGAGGTCAGGAGTTCAAGACCAGCCTGGCCAACGTAGTGAAACCCGGTCTCTACTAAAAATACAAAAATTAGCCGGGCGAGGTGGCAGGCGCCTGTAATCACAGCTACTCGGGAGGCTGAGACAGGAGAATTGCTTGAACCCAGGAGGTGGAGGTTGCAGTGAGCTGAGAACACGCCATTGTACTCCAGCCTGGGTAACAAGATTGAAACTCTATCTTAAAAAAAAAAAAAAGGCGGACACGGTGGCTTGCACCTGTAATCCCAGCACTTTGGGAGGCCGAGGCAAGAGGATCACAAAGTCAGGAGATCAAGACCATCCTGGCCAACATGGTGAAACTCTGTCTCAACTGAAAATACAAAAATTAGCCGGGTGTGGTGGTGGGCGCCTGTAATCCCAGCTATTCAGGAGGCTGAGGCAGGAGAATTGCTTGAACCCAAGAGGTGGAGGTTGCAGTCCGCCAAGATCATGCCACTGCACTGCAGCTTGGGTGACAGAGCAAGACCCCATCTCAAAAAAAAAAAAAAAGAAAAAATACCCTGGATCAGCCGGGTGTGGTGGCTCAAGCCTGTAATCCCAGCACTTTGGGAGGCTGAGGTGGGCAGATCACCTGAGGTCAGGAGTTCAAGACCAGCCTGACCAACATGGAGAAACCCCATCTCTACTAAAAATACAAAAAATTAGCCGGACGTGGTGGCACATGCTTGTAATCCCAGCTACTCAGGAGGCTGAGGCAGGAGAATTGCCTGAATCCGGGAGGCGGAGGTTGTGGTGAGGTGAGATGATGCCATTGCACTCCAGCCTGGGCAACAAGAGCAAAACTCTGCCTCAAAAAAAGAAAGAAAAAAAAAAAAGAAAGAAAAGAAAAAATACCCTGGATGTATACTCAGATACAATGAGTCAGAGATTAGTCTGGTATTTTGTCATTTATTTAATAATTATGCTTACTCAATTCACTTTATTGTAATTAACAATAAATAGCTGTCCAGTTATAAGAAGATGAAGTTCTCCCGATTAGGTAAACAGATTTAGACCTCAGAATGGAACATTTTGCCAATAAAGCCACAATAACCAGTTAGTTTATTCTTGGGAAAAGTATATGTAATTTGGAGAAAGGCAAACTTCCTGAAAACATCCAAAATTCAGCAGACAACAAAAATCTGGTTAACTTGTTCCTGATTTGTTAGTACTATTCTTTTTTTTTTGTTTGTTTGTTTTTTTTTTTTGAGACGGAGTTTCGCTCTTGTTGCCCAGGCTGGAGTGCAATGGCGAAATGTTGGTTCACTGCAACCTCTGCCTCCCAGGTTCAAGTGATTCTCCTGCCTCAGTCTCCTGAGTAGCTGGGATTACAGGCGCCCGCCACCACGCCTGGCTAACTTCTTGTATTTTTAGTAGAGACGGGGTTTCACCATGTTGGCCAGGCTGGTCTCGAACTCCTGACCTTAGGTGATCCGCCCGCCTCGGCCTCCCAAAGTGCTGAGATTACAGGCATGAGCCACCGTACCTGGCCTAAATACCTTATTTCATATACCACGTGAAATTTAAATTATACAAAACAAATTATAGAGGTACTTAGAACAGCATGACTATTTACATTAATCAACTTGCCGGCACTTCAACAGAATACAACATAGAAATGATTGTTTTAATATAAACATAAGCTTTGATTTGACATATACTTGTAGAAATTAATCAAACTTAGCTGAATCTTAAAATTGCTTTTTTACCTTTCCTCTTTTTTTTTTATTTTTTTATTTTTTGAGATGGAGTCTTGCTCTGTTGCCAGACTGGAGTGCAGCGGTTTGGTCTCGGCTCACCGCAACCTCCGACTCTCTGGTTCAAGCGATTCTCCTGCCTCAGCCTCCTGAGTAGCTGGGATTACAGGTGCCTGCCACCACACCTGGCTACTTTTTGTATTTTTAGTTGAGATGGGTTTCACCATGTTGGCCAGGATGGTCTCGAACTCCTGACCTCGGATCTGCCCACCTGTGCCCCCAGCAAGGTGCTGGGATTACAAGCATGAGCCACCGTGCCCAGCCTCCTTTCCTCTTTTTAACTCTTACTTTTATGATTTCTTTAGTGGATAAAAAGCTTTTAAAAAATAGGTTACAATGATATTACAGCTAACAAAAAATAACATTTAAAAACACTAAATAGTATATATATGAAGTATTTATAATTATTTTAATATTGTAATAATATAGTGTGTTGTGATTTGAATTCATCTGCACGGAAATCGATTACTGTCCTTTCTTTCTATTTCCCTATATTTTCTTTCCGAAGGCGTCATCAACATTTTGGTTCTTTAATAGTAACCAAAACCCGAAATCATCTCGGTTCTCAGTATTTGGCTCTATGGGAACACCTTTTCTTTTCTCTCTTTTTTTTTTTTTTTGAGACGGAGTCTTGCTCCTGTCGCCCAGGCTGGAGTGTAATGGCACGATCTCTGCTCACTGCAACCTCAGCCTCCCCAGTAGCTGGGATTACAGGCATGCGCCACCACGCCCGGCTAATTTTGTATCTTTTAGTAGAGACGGCGTTCCTCCATGTTGGTCAGGCTGGTCTCGAACTTCAAACCTCAGGTGATCCGCCCGCCTCGGCCTCCCAAAGTGCTAGGATTACAGGCGTGAGCCACCGCGCTCAGCCTGGGAACACCTTTTCTTACATCTTCAAGTGCTAGAAATGCTTATGAAAACGAAAAAAGAATTATTAAGAGTAATTATAAAGAAACACTCATTTTCTTCCCAAGAGAGCCAAGATTTCTTCTTTCCTCTTCTTTCTTTTTTTTTTCTTTCTAATTTCAAAGGAGTATAATTAAATTGCCAGGTAAAAGCTCAAAGGTCTTTTTTATAGTGTTCTGGAAGGTTCTCTGCCTGTGTTTGTATTTCCTTTAGCCTCCACGTTCCTCTATCCAGTTCCCGCACCCTTCCCCCCAGGCCCCATTCTTCAAGGCTTCAGAGCAGCGCTCCTCCGGTTAAAAGGAAGTCTCAGCACAGAATCTTCAAACCTCCTCGGAGGCCACCAAAGATCCCTAACGCCGCCATGGAGACGAAGCACCTGGGGCGGGGCGGAGCGGGGCGCGCGGGCCCACACCTGTGGAGAGGGCCGCGCCCCAACTGCAGCGCCGGGGCTGGGGGAGGGGAGCCTACTCACTCCCCCAACTCCCGGGCGGTGACTCATCAACGAGCACCAGCGGCCAGAGGTGAGCAGTCCCGGGAAGGGGCCGAGAGGCGGGGCCGCCAGGTCGGGCAGGTGTGCGCTCCGCCCCGCCGCGCGCACAGAGCGCTAGTCCTTCGGCGAGCGAGCACCTTCGACGCGGTCCGGGGACCCCCTCGTCGCTGTCCTCCCGACGCGGACCCGCGTGCCCCAGGCCTCGCGCTGCCCGGCCGGCTCCTCGTGTCCCACTCCCGGCGCACGCCCTCCCGCGAGTCCCGGGCCCCTCCCGCGCCCCTCTTCTCGGCGCGCGCGCAGCATGGCGCCCCCGCAGGTCCTCGCGTTCGGGCTTCTGCTTGCCGCGGCGACGGCGACTTTTGCCGCAGCTCAGGAAGGTGAGGCGCGGATTGGAGCAGAGTTGTGGAGCTGGGCTGGGCTGGGGGGCAGCGGCCCCCGGCCCTCGGCCCCCGAAACGGGCATAATAGGGAGGGGACCAAGAGGCCGCGCTTTCCAGCGTGGAGACCGGACGGTGCGGCCGTGCTCCGGCTCAGGCCCTCCGCGCGGTAGGAAACGGCGAGGGCCGTCCCGGGGAGCAGCCTCACTTCGCAGCTTTGCTCGCCTTGGTAGGGAAATGGCCTTGGGCGGAGGCGGGGGACAGGCAGGGAACGGAGTGGCCACGTCCAGGTTTCCTGCGGCCACCGAACCGGTGCCTCGCGCCCTGGCGCACCCACGTCCTCGGTTCGGGGTGGACTTGGGGTTCCAAAACAGCCCCAGCCGGTGGCGGAGTCTTTACGACAGGGACCAGCGGGCTCGCCCTTGTCCTTGCAGCGGGCCCCGGATGTGGGCCTCAGGCGGGGACAGGCGCCCGCAGGGAGGCCTCCAGGGCCGCTATGCACCTGCGCGCGGCAGGCGGCCCGGACCACACAGGGCGTGTGGGTGTTTTCCCTTTTCTAAGGATCATATGAGTAATGCCAGGCTTATTGTAGGGAACGCAGAAATAATAACCGTAAAGAGTAAAAACATATAATCCCAGCATTTTGAGAATCCCATAATTAGTAATTAGGTGTATCTTTCTTTCTTTTTATTTATTTATTTAATTTTTTGAGACTGAGTCTTGCTCTGTCGCCCAAGCTGGAGTGCAATGGCGCGATCTCGGCTCACTGCAACTTTCGCCTCCCGGGTTCAAGTGATTCTCCTGCCTCAGCCTCCTGAGTAGAGTAGCTGGGATTACAGGCGCGCGCCACCACCCCCCGCTAATTTTTGTATTGTTAGTAGAGACGGGGTTTCTCCATGTTGGTCAGGCTGGTCTCTAACTCCTGAGCTCGTGATCCGCCCGCCTCGGCCTCCCAAAGTGCTGTGATTACAGGCGTGAGCCACCGTGCCCGGCCTATTTTATTTTTTTATTTGAAACAGCCTTGTTCTGTCACCCAGGCTGGAGTGCAATGGCAAGATCTTGACTCATTGTAGACTACGCCTCCCGGCCTCAGACCATCCTTCTGCGTCAGCCTTTATGCCTGGCTAATTTTTGTATTTATTATTTATTATTATTATTATTATTTTTGAGACAGAGTTTCGCTCTTGTTGCCCAGGCTGGAGTACAACGGCGCGATCTCATCTCACTGCAATTCAGGCGATTCTCCTGCCTCAGCCTCCCGAGTAGCTGGGACTACAGGCATGCACCACCACGGTCAGCTAATTTGTATTTTTTGTAGAGAGGGGTTTCGCCATGTTGGCCAGGCTGGTCTCGAACTCCTGACCTCAGGTGATCCACCGACCTTGGCCTCCCAAAGTGCTGGGATTACAGACGTCAGCCACAGTGCCAGCCGAATATTTGTATTTGTAGAGACGACATCTCACTATGTTGCCCAGGCTGGTCTCGAACTCCTGGGCTCAAGTGATCACTCCGTCTGGGCCTCCCAGAGTGCTGGGATTACAGGCGTGCATCACCACACCCGGCCTTAAAAACAAGATTTAAAATGGTGACTGGTATGTTGCACCGTTATTCAAATGTTAGACATGTAGTTTGATTTCAGTTTCTCTTAACTGTGGAATAAACAACTTGGCTGCCGTCTCTCTCTCTCTCTTTTTTTTGGAAACAGTGTCTCCGTCTGTCGTTCAGCCTGGAGTGCAGTGGCACATTTACATGTCACTGCGTCCTCCATTTCCCAGGCTCAAGCGATGCTCTTACTTGGACCTCCCAAAGTGCTGGGATTACAGGCATGAGCCACCGGTCCGGCATCTCTTGGTTTATTTGTAAGATGGTGCCTAGAAGTGGAGTGGCGTTTGCCAAAGGTCTCTGGAAGGGCTTTTACACTTTCACCAATGGAGTGGCCTAAATTCAGTAATTATACTCTCAAAGTAATGCAGTTTTAGTCAACTCATGTTTTTCTGGCTTCAATCTGGGACTACGTACTTAATGTTAAATTGCTTTAAAGTGGTCATAGCTGCTACAGGTTTGTGCTCAGAAAGTCTGCACCTGACTGGTCTGATTTAAATTTTACGCCCCTTAGGTATGAACAGTGTGTTTTAAACAAGTACAGGATGGGGCTGCAGAAGATTTAAACGCTTGAGAACAAGTGCTGTATTTTCCCCTTTTGTGACCCCAGTATTGAGTTTAGTGTTGGGCAGATTAAAGGTGGTTCATATCGACTATAACTTGAACAGGGAAAAATTGAAATCAACTTAGGGTACTTGGGATACGAAGGATCAATATAAAAACTCTGGTTTGTCATGCTAGCTTTTTCTTTTTTTTCCTCTTCAGTTGAACTGAGGAGATAGTTTTTGTTTTTAATGATTGTGCTCTTTTAACTAGACAAAAGGAATTAGATAGTCTTGCCTATTCGAAGTTAAATGAACTTTTGAGGTTGTTAAGGACAAAACTATTAAACTGACATCAATAATACAGAATGGGCTGCTTAGTATCACTTTCCTTATCAGGTACTAGGATTTAATTTAGTTAGGAAACTCACTTAAAGGGAGGACTATAACTGCAGTTGAAAGTGTAATTTTTCCAAGATATAAAATTGTTTAAAGATTGAATATATTCCTGTTAAGCCCCAAAGGAAACATCCCTCATTTAAGAAAATGGGGTGGGAGAGCAAGAGAAGGTGAGGATTCACAGATCCTAGAATTGGAATAGTTGATTTTTTTTTGTAAAAGAGGCGGTGACAGCCGGGCATGGTGGCTCACGTCTGTAATCCCAGCACTTTAGGAGGCCGAGGTGGGTGGGTTACCTGAGGTCAGGAGTCCTAGACCAGCCTGACCAACATGGTGAAAACCCGTCTCTACTAAAAATAGAAAAAAAAAGCCGGGCGCGGTGGCTGACACCTGTAATCCCAGCACTTTGGTAGGCCGAGGCGGACGGATCATGAGGTCAGGAGTTTGAGATCAGCCTGGCCATTATGCTGAAACCCCGTCTCTACTAAAAATACAAAAATTAGCCAGGTGTGGTGGCATACCCCTGTAGTCCCAGCTACTTGGGAGGCTGAGGCAGGAGAATCGCTTGATCCTGGGAGATGGATGTTGCAGTGAGCTGCGATTGTACCACTGCAATCCAGCCTGCACGACAGAGTGAGACTCTGTCTCAAGAAGAAAAACAAAAAAAGGCAGTGACTAACAGGGATGTTACTTAGCAGGACAGGACTGTGGAAGGAGCTAAGACTGGGAGTTTCACAAAGACAAAGCTAGAAATGATACTTGGAGAGCTGTGTTCTTGTTTTAAAAAAATTGTAACAGGAGGCCAGGCACAGTGGCTCATGCCTGTAATCCCAGCACTTTGGGAGGCTGAGGCAGGAGGATTGCTTGAGGCCAGGAGTTCAAAACCAGCCTGGGCAACATGGCGAAACCCCGTATCTACAAAAAGTTAAAAATTAGCCAGGCATGGTGGTGCATGGCTGTAGTCCCAGCTACTTGGGAGGCTGAGACAGGAGGATCACTTGAGCCCTGTAGGTCCATGCTGCAGTAAACCAAGATTGTGCCACTGCATTCCAGCCTGGGCCACAGAGTGAGACCCTATCTTTAAAAAAAAAAAAAAAAAAAAAAAAAAAAAACAGGAATGCATGCAGATTAAACTATGTGTCTGTATACAGTATGCAAACTTTAGCAAGTGCCAGGCACTTAGGCAGTAGTCTATAGCTGAAAAATAAAACATTCAGAACCACTTTTTAAGGTTTTGTGTCCTTGTAACTTTAGGCATTATTATTACAATATAACTTAGCTGGGACATGAGAGTTAATAGATCCACATTTTAAAGTAGATTTTTTTTTTAATTTTCTAGAATGTGTCTGTGAAAACTACAAGCTGGCCGTAAACTGCTTTGTGAATAATAATCGTCAATGCCAGTGTACTTCAGTTGGTGCACAAAATACTGTCATTTGCTCAAAGCGTGAGTAAAATATCCTAATTACCTGTAAGCTTTATTTTGACTTAATACTTCTTTAATTGATGTGCCTTGAGTTGGAAAGAGTTTTATTGGCTTAAATCTGAATCATGTTACAAAGTAAGTGTGGGAACACATAAATTTCAAATAATCTTTGACCCTGGAACTTTAGAGTTAATTTTTTTTTTCCCGTAATCATGAAATCAGTTATTTTTCAGTTTGGCATTAAGGTTTCTTTTTCAGTGGCTGCCAAATGTTTGGTGATGAAGGCAGAAATGAATGGCTCAAAACTTGGGAGAAGAGCAAAACCTGAAGGGGCCCTCCAGAACAATGATGGGCTTTATGATCCTGACTGCGATGAGAGCGGGCTCTTTAAGGCCAAGCAGTGCAACGGCACCTCCATGTGCTGGTGTGTGAACACTGCTGGGGTCAGAAGAACAGACAAGGACACTGAAATAACCTGCTCTGAGCGAGTGAGAACCTAGTGAGTGGGGCTGCCTATACTACTTGTTTTCATGCTGTTCAGATTCATTTAATTAAATTTATTTTTGATTATGTAATATGATTTCATGGTTTAGAATTCAGAAGATATGAGTGTCCAGTGAAAAGCTTCCTTCTCATTCCAGTCCCCCTCGCTACCCATTGGACCTCCACAGAATTGATGTTATTGATTATTCTATAACCTTCCAGAGATAGTTGATGAATTTGTTATATATCTGTTTTATTATTTTTACATAAATGATAGCATACTAGGTATAATTTTTCTTTTATATCTTTACTTAACATTATTCAGTATTTCATTGTTGCATTAGTAGTAAATGTATGTAATTTAACCTATGTATTTGCTTATTGATTGTGTTTTAAAAGTGAGATATGCTTGTTTTAGGGATTGTTTAATGAAAAGGCACAGAAACCCACTCAAGCTAGCTTAAGCAAAAAAAGACTTCATTGGAAGGGACTAGAAACTGGAAAGGATGTCAGGACCAAAGTGGGCACTTTGTTTTTCTGTTCTGGTCTTCTGGAGCCTCGTTGTCAGTTTTCTCTTTGTGCCCTTTCTTTTGTTTTTTCTTTTTTCTTTTCTTTTCTTTTTTTTTCGAGATGGAATTTCCACTCTTGTTGCCCAGGTTGGAGTGCAGTGGCACAATCTCAGCTCACTGCAACCTCTGCCTCCCGGGTTCAAGCAACTCTCCTGCCTTAGCCTCCTGAGTAGCTGGGACTACAGCTATACCACACCTGACTAATTTTTGTATTTTAGTAGAGATGGGGTTTCACCATGTTGGCCAGGCTGGTCTCCAACTCCTGACCTCAGGCAATCCACCCACCTCCACCTCCCAAAGTGTTGGATTACAGTTGTGAGCCACCATGCCCGGGCCTTTCATGCCTTTTCATCTTTTTAGTTGAACAGGGCATGACACTGCCAGCTAAACTTTGACTTAATGTGACTTTATGTATTGTGTCCAGAGAACAGAGGGTCAATATTAGAAAAGGTGTTCCCTCCTGGGTGTGTCCTTTATGAAGGATGTGTAAGGGAAGAAATTATAGGAATAGCTACTGCATAAATTTTTTTTCTCTTAGTCCTTATAATTCGAGAATTTTAGGATTAGCTTATTAGGAAAATAGTATGGAAGACTGAGTTATAGTCAACTGACATTGTCTTTTTACTTTATAGCTGGATCATCATTGAACTAAAACACAAAGCAAGAGAAAAACCTTATGATAGTAAAAGTTTGCGGACGTAAGTGCAATTAAATGCATCATATTCTTGCACAGTTGGTGGCTCAAATCTTCCATCCTACACCATTAGAAAAAGCAAGTCTAAATGCTTTTTTATATTTCTGAAAAATAAAGTTACTTGAAATAGAGTTGCAAGAATAGCACAGAGATTCTGGGAATACACTTCACTCAGATTCACCAATTAACATTTTGGCACATTTGCTTTTTATATGTGTATGTGTGGATGAATATGTGTGTGTGCTTTACATCAGTGTATCTATGCATGTATAAATATTTTTCCCAGAAGCACATGAGAGCAAGTTGTAGACATCAGGCCCCTTTACCCCTAAGTACTTCAGTGTATGTTTTCCTAAGAACAAAAGGCATTCTTTTATATAAACCACTATACAACGATCAAATTTAGGAAAAATTTTTTTTTTTTTTTTTAGACGGAGTCTCGCTCTGTCACCCAGGCTGGCGTGCAGTGGCGTGATCTCAGCTCACTGCAACCTGCGCCTGCCGGTTTCAAGCGATTCTCCTGCCTCAGCCTTCCAAGTAGCTGGGACTACAGGTGCCTGCCACTACGCCCTGCTAATTTTTGTAGTTTTAGTAGAAACAGGGTTTCACCATATTGGCCAGGCTGGTCTCGAACTCCTGAACTTGTGATCCTCCCGCCTCTGCCTCCCAAAGTGCTGCAATTACAGGTGTGAGCTTCCGCGCCCGGCCAGGAAATTTAACGTTATATCACGTTGTGCCCATTTTCCCAATATTGTCCTTTGTAGTAATTTTTCCCCTCTGATTCAGGACCCAGTCCAAGATCCATGTATCACATTTAGTTGTCATGACTCTTTAGTCTCTTAATATCGAACAGTTTCTTGGCCTTTCTTTGTCTTCCATGAACTTGCTATTTTTAAAGAGCATGGGCAAGTCATTATATATAATGTCCCTCAAATTTTGATTTGTCTGATATTTCCTCCTTTTTTTTTTTTTTTTTTGAGTTGGAGTTTTCCCTTTTGTTGCCCAGGCTGGAGTGCAATGGTGCAATCACGGCTCACCGCAACCTCTGCTTCCCGGATTCAAGCGATTCTCCTGCCTCAGCCTCCTGAGTAGCTGGGATTACAGGCGTGCGCCACCATGCCTGGCTAATTTTTTTTGTATTTTTAGTAGACACGGGGTTTCTCCACGTTGGTCAGGCTGGTCTCGAACTCCCAACCTCAGGTGATCTGCCCACCTCAGCATCCCAAAGTGCTGGGATTACAGGCATGAGCCACCTCACCCGAGCCTTGATGTTCCCTCTTAACTAAAAGCAGGTTATGCATTTTTGACAGGAAAACTACTTAAGCGATCTTGTGTCCTTTATAATACTTCACATTAGGAGTTGCATGATGTCAGCTTGTCCCTTTACTAGTAAAGTAAACTTTGGTTAAAGTGGTATCCACCAGGTTTTTCCACTGTGAAGTTACCATTCTCCCTTTGTAATCCATAAATAATCTATGGGCAGATACTTGGATACTAAGTAAATGTTCTTTTTCTAATTAAACTGGTACCCAGCAGTTTGAATATCAATGGATGATTCCAGCCTGAATCAATTATTATTATGATAGTTGCAAAATGGCAGAAAAATTTTAACTTTAATGACAGTTTTAGACCCTGAGCTGTCTGCTTAAAGAGTAGTGCTTCTTACTGTTGTGTGGTACAAACATTTTTTTTTAATACAGATTTTAAATTCTTTACAGTGCACTTCAGAAGGAGATCACAACGCGTTATCAACTGGATCCAAAATTTATCACGAGTATTTTGGTATGATTTTTTAATAAGTGAGCTTTAGCAGACAGTTGGTGAGACAGTATGTTTTGAGTATAAGGACAGCCAGTGATTTAAGTGGTGGTTAAATGCACTTACTGGAGCAACAGTTTCGGATCTGGGTACTTAATGTGAATTTCCTGTTACTGTTTTTTTTTGTTTGTTTGTTTCTTTAAGACAGACTATTGCTCTCTTCCCCAGGCTGGAGTGTCATGGCAAGATCTCGGCTCAATGTAACCTCTGCTTCCAAGGTTCAAGCAATTCTCATGCCTCAGCCTCCCGAGGAGCTGGGACTACAGGCACATGTCACCATGCCCAGCTAATTTTTGTATTTTTAGTGTCGGCGGGGTTTTGCTATGTTGGCCAGGCTGGTCTCGAACTCCTGGCCTCAAGTGATCTGTCTGCCTCAGCCTCTCAAAGTGTTGGGATTACAGGTGTGAGCCACCACGCCCGGCCCATTGTTTTTGGTTATCGTTGTTTTCCTTCCATAGCCTTTGAAAAGCCTAGTTTTACTCCTAAAGAAAACGTAGTATCTCTTAGTATCCCTAAAACATTTGAGTTTTCTTATCCTGGAGAACCTGTCCCTGTGGATGAGCTCCAGTAACATCTTAAAGTAAATATGCACCAAAATTACTTTTGGTAAATACAGTTTTGGTGCATATTTACTTTAGGATGTTACTGGAGCTCCCATCTTCTCTGCTTTAAGGAACTAGTCCTTAACTAGTTAGCCCTTACTTAACTCTTTAAACTCTGGTTTAAAAAATAAAAAGAAGCTTGAATAGTGTGACGGAACTCTTTAAAGGTAGTATGAATTTATTCAAGAGTCTTTAGAAAGAATGTACTTTTTTTACTCTTTAAAAACAAAATGATGGCCGGGCACGGTGGCTCACGCCTGTAATCCCAGCACTTTGGGAGGCCGAGGCAGGTGGATCACAAGATCAGGAGATCGAGACCATCGTGGCTAACACAGTGAAACCCTGTCTCTACTAAAAACATACAAAATAGCCGAATGTGGTGGTGGGCACCTGTAGTCCCAGCTACTCGGGAGGCTTGAGGCAGGAGTATGGCGTGAACCTGAGAGGCGGAGCTTGCAGTCAGCTGAGATTGTGCCACTGCACTCCAGCCTGGGCGACACAGCAAGACTCCGTCTCAAAAACAAAACAAAAAAACAACATGGAAAATGCATGCTGCGTTTTACCTTGCATTTCTTTTTCTTTTCTTTTTTTTTTTTTTTTTTTGAGACGGAGTTTCGCTCTTGTTGCCCAGGCTGGAGTGCAATGGCGCCATCTCGGCTCACCACGACTTTTGCCTCCCAGGTTCAAGCGATTCTCCTGCCTCAGCTTCCCTGGTAGCTGGGATTACAGGCAATGTGTCACCACGCCTGGCTAATTTTGTATTTTTAGTAGAGATGGGGTTTCTCCATGTTGGTCAGGCTGGTCTTGAACTCCGGACCTCAGGTGATCCGCCCACCTCAGCCTCCCAAAGTGCTGGGATTACAGGCATGAGCCACTGCACCCGGCCTTACCTTTCATTTCTTTAGTAATTTAGTTTTAAAGTAGTTCTAATCCAAATAAAATACTTTCATATCTTATTTAAAAATCTTTTCAATATAAGAAAATCCTCTTAGGAAAAATTGTACATTGTAATTATGTTTGGTTGCATGGCTGTCTTATTTCCCTTTGATAGATTTAGAGACCTCCCAAAGATTTCTTGATTAGTGATAAACTTAGTTATCCACTAATGGAAAGGAACAGTGATGCATGTAGATTATAGAAAATCAAACACTGAATATTCTGATTCTCAATTAATGTTATTTTCAAATGATTTTGATTATATTAGTATTAATTTGTATTATTCAATTTTTTTCCCCAGTATGAGAATAATGTTATCACTATTGATCTGGTTCAAAATTCTTCTCAAAAAACTCAGAATGATGTGGACATAGCTGATGTGGCTTATTATTTTGAAAAAGATGTGAGTATCATCTTCTTTATTCCTGTGTTCAGGAATGTAGTCTATCATGCCTCAATGAATTAAATATATTTCATCACCTTTTTATCCACTTACAGATCAACCAAATGGTTCGCTGCTGCCGTTAATTTTGTCCTCCCTGTCACTCACATGCATCTTGCTTGTTTGTATATTTATGCCTCTTATCAAATTGTTCTGCCTAAAATATCTCCCCTCTTTCTTATAATTCTTATTTATTATCTACTTGGTGGTTACTTAGTTTGTGCATATATGCTCCCCTATGATATTTATAATTTACACAAATAAAAGTCTGTTAAAAAAGACTGTAACTGATATGATTAAAATATTTTGTTGAAACTTTAATATATTATAGTGAGGTATTTTCTGCTGAAATATGAGGTTTGCTTCAAAATAATCTGGGCGGGGGTGAAAGGATGAAAGGAAGAAAAGATGAAGTAAGAGAGGCTATGTGTTGTTGGCCTTGCATCTGGGTGATAGGTACATGGGCATCATTGCACTACTCTTTCTACTTTCGTGTATGTTGAAAGGTTCCTGTAATAAACAGTTTTTTAAAGTTCCAATAAATTAGATTGTTATCACTAAAACCATAAAGATTCTTGGCAGCGGTTCTTTTGGCATACAATTTGTATGTAATTATATGTGGCCATGGTTGGTTTCCTTAAATATTTTTAATTCCTTTTCTCCTTTTCAATACAGGTTAAAGGTGAATCCTTGTTTCATTCTAAGAAAATGGACCTGACAGTAAATGGGGAACAACTGGATCTGGATCCTGGTCAAACTTTAATTTATTATGTTGATGAAAAAGCACCTGAATTCTCAATGCAGGGTCTAAAAGCTGGTGTTATTGCTGTTATTGTGGTTGTGGTGATAGCAGTTGTTGCTGGAATTGTTGTGCTGGTGAGTACAGAACAAGTAAAATTTCATTTAAGGGTATATTTTTTCAAGAAAAAGTAATAGTGGCTGGGCGCGGTGGCTCACCACACCTGTTATCCCTACACTTTGGGAGGCTGAGACAGGTGGATCACTTGAGCCCAGGAGTTTGAGACCACACTGGGCAACATGGTGAAACCTTATCTGTAGTAAAAATACAAAAATTAGTCAGATGTGATGGCTTGCACCTGTGGTCCCATCTACTTAGGAGGCTGATGTGGGAGTGGTCAGTTGAGTCCAGGAGGTCAAAGCTGCAGTGAGCCATGATCACACCACTGCACTCCAGCCTGGGCAACACAGCAGGACCCTGTCTCAAAAAGAAGAAAAAAGGAAATATGAAAAAGTAACATCCATATTCCAAAACATTCAGGGAAAAAAATCTTCATTTTTAAATAATTTTTTTATGGTGAATGAATCTATTGTATCTCTGGTCTCTTTTTACAAAAGTCATTTTATGAAGCAAGAAAGGATGCTAATATTAAAAAGCTTGTGGCTGTGCACCTCACAGGCCAGTTAAATTGCCATCTAGCAGCAAGCGTCTTTCAGTTGTCACTGCAAACAATTCAACACCTAGTGCAAAATACCTGAACCCCCAAACCACTCAATAAGATGGAACAACAGAACACAAAGTTAACGTTAGCCATACAAAAGAGTTAAAAGTGATATGTGAATCAATACTTCCAAGTAAAGATGAGCAAATTGAATTTAACAGTGCTTCAGCAAAAGAATGTATTGCTTGAAGAAGTGAAAGGTTTATTTTAGGAATGTAAGGATGCTTCGGTATCAAGAAATCTTACTAACACTGGCCAGGTGTGATGGCTCAGGCCTGTAATCGCAGCACTTTGGAAGGCTGAGGCGGGTAGATCACTTGAGATCAGAAGTTCGAGACCAGCCTGGCCAACATGGTGAAACCCTGTCTCTACTGAACATACAAAAAAATTAGCTGGGCGTGGTGGCACATGCCTGTAATCTATTCGGGAGGCTGAGGCAGGAGAATAGCTTGAACCTGGGAAGCAGAGGTTGTAGTGCGCCAAGATCATGCCACTGCACTCTAATCTGGGTGACAGAGCAAGACTCTGTCTCAAAAAAAAAAAAAAAAAAAAAAAAAAAAAGGCCAGGCACAGTGGCTCATGCCTGTAATCCCAGCACTTTGGGAGGCTGAGGCGGGTGGATCACCCGAGGTCGGGAGTTCGAGACCAGCCTGACCAACGTGGAGAAACCCCATCTCTACTAAAAATACAAAATTATCCGGGCATGGTGTCTCATGCCTGTAATCCCAGCTACTCAGGAGGCTGAGGCAGGAGAATCACTTGAACCCAGGAGGTGGAGGTTGCAGCTGAGATCATGCCATTGCACTCCAGCCTGAGCAACAAGAGTGAAACTCCGTCTCAAAAAAAAAAAAAAAAAAAAGAAATCTTACTAACACAACAGAATTCAGAAAGAGGTTTGAGGGTATTTAGGAACTTAGATTTCCAGTTCAATCAACCATGTTTGGCTATCCATCTGGAACAAAATGAAAGTTGAATTCCTATTTCACTCCACCAGGCTGGCCATATTGCCCAGCTGTGTGAGGGTGGCATGTCCAGAGCACAGTAGTAGGAAAGGCGTTGGGCAGTGTATCCATTTTCAAAGACATTTACATATTTAAAAATACAAAAAAGTAAACTCCCAAGAAAATTAATTGAGGGAATGTTTGTACAACCTTGTGGTAGGGGAAATTATGTAAGGCAAGAAATCTGGAATCCATGAAAGAAAAGATACATATATGTGTATGTATATTTTGAGAGAGGGTCTTGCTGTGTCACCCAGGCTGGAGTGCAGTAGCATGATCATAACTCACTGCAACCTCCAATTCCTGGACTTAAGTAATCCTCCTGACCTATCCTCCCAAGTAGCAAGGACTACAGGTATGTGCCACTATACCTGGCTAATTTTTTAATTTTTAGTAGAGACGAATTCTTGCTATGGCTGCCGAGGCTGGGCTTGAACTCCTAGGCTCAAGCAGTTCTTTTGGCTTAGCCTCCCAAACTGCTGGGATTACAGGCATGAGCCATTGCACCTAGTCCTATATATATATATTTTGGCTTCATTAAAATTAAGCATTTTATATGGCAAAGAAACTGTAAAGTAAAAAATAACGATGGGCATGAAAAAAATATGGCGCATAAAGCAAAAATGGATATTATACATAATATACAAAGAGTTCTTACAAATTGATGAGGAAACCTAAAGAAAGAATGACAACAGGTAGGGATAGACAGTTAATAGAAATTTCAGATGGCAAATGAACACAAGTGGTTAATGCTGGAAGTCTAATTGTTCTGTAGAAATAAATGAAAACACAAGTGCAATAAGGAAGCACATTGTTATTGTATCATAGCATTGCTTGTAAAGGTGAATCTGGCCAGGCGTGGTGGCTTACGCCTATAATCCCAGCACTTTGGGAGGCTGAGGTGGGCAGATCACCTGAGGCTGGGAGTCCGAGACCAGCCTGACCAACACGGAGAAACCCCGTCTCTACTAAAAATACAAAATGAGCCAGGCATGGTGGTGCATGCCTGTCATTCTGGCTACTCAGGAGGCTGAGGCAGGAGAGTCACTTGAACCCAGGAGGCAGAGGTTGTAGTGAGCCGAGATCATGTCATTGCACTCCAGCCTGGGCAACGAGAGCAAAACTCTGTCTCAAAAAATGAATAAAAACAACAACAAAAGTGAATCTGGAAAATAGCCTGAGTGTGTATCAGTAAGAGAGTAAATTATGTTTATTGTATCTACGATAGGGAATAATGTGAATGGTGAATGAGTTCGATCTTTATCTTTGGATCTGGAATGGTTGCTATGATGTTGATACAAGCTGTGCACAGGTGGTGATGATACTGCATGGTCCCATTTTTAGACCCCAAAACTTAGATGCATGTGTTTATATATGATATTTGTATTAGTGTGGAAAAGGAGGATGTGGAAGAATGCACACCAAACTGTTAAATTTCTTTCTTTTTTTTTTTTGGAATGGAGTCTCGCTGGCCGGACGTGGTGGCTCACTGCTGTAATCCCAGCACTTTGGGAGGCCAAGGCAGCTGGGTCACGAGGTCAGGAGATCGAGGCCATCCTGGCTAACACGGTGAAACCCTGTCTCTACTAAAAATACAAAAAATTAGCCAGGTGTGGTGGCGGGCACCTGTAATCCCAGCTACTTGGGAGGCTGAGGCAGGAGAATGGCGTGAACCTGGGAGGCGGAGCTTGCAGTGAGCCGAGATTGCACCACTGCACTCCAGCCTGGGTGACAGAGCGAGACTCCATCTGAAAAAAAAAAAAAAAAGAAAAGGAGTCTCTCTGTGTTGCCCTGGCTGGAGTGCAGTGTCATGATCTCGGCTCACTGCAGCCTCCACCTGCCGGGTTCAATTGATTCTCCTGCCTCACCCTCCCGAGTAGCCGGGACTACATGCAGAAGCCACCATGTCCAGCTAATTTTTGTATTTTTTGGTAGAGACAGGGTTTCACCATATTGGCCAGGCTGGTCTCGAACTCATCACCTCGTGATCCGCCTGCCTCGGCCTCTCAAAGTGCTAGGATTACAGGCATGAGCCACTGTGCCCGGCTTCTTCTTTTTTTTTTTTTTTTTTTTTTTTTTTTTTTTTTTTTTTTTTTTTGAGATGGAGTCTTGCTCTGTTGCCCAGGCTGGAGTGCAGTGGCACGATCTCGGCTCACTGCAACCTCCATCTCCCAGGTTCAAGCCATTTTCTTGCCTCAGCTTCCCAAGTAGCTGGGACTACAGGCGTGCACCACCATACCTGGCTAATTTTTTTGTATTTCTAGTAGAGATAGGGTTTCACCATGTTGGCCAGGCTGATCTCGAAATCCTGATGTCAGGTGATCTGCTCACTTCGGCCTCCCAAAGTGCTGTGATTATAGGCGTGAACCACCATGCCTGGCCTAAACTGTTAAATTTCTTTAAAGATTATTCATTGTTTCCTTTTTTTCTTTCTCTTTCTTTTCTGTTGTCCCATTGGATCCAGCATTGTTTTTGATTTTGATTTTTGTTTGTTTGTTTCACTTGTCGTGGTAGACTTTTTTTTGTTTAGTAGTGAAAGTTTTTATTTTATTTTATTTATTTATGGAGACAGAGTCTCCTTCTGTTGCCCAGGCTGGAGTGCAATGGTGCATGATCTTGGCTCACTGCAACCTCTGCCCCCCAGGTTCAAGCTATTCTCCTGCCTCAGCCTCCCGAGTAGATGGGATTACAGGCGCCTGCCACCACGCCTGGCTAATTTTTGTATCTTTAGTAGAGATGAGGTTTCACAATATTGGCCAGGCTGGTCTTGAACTCCTGACCTAAAGTGATCCACCCACCTCAGCCTCTGAAAGTGGTAAGATTACAGGCATGAGCCATCATGCCTGACCTATTTTATTTTATTTTAATTTTTTTTTAGAGATGGAGTCCCACTCTGTCGCCCAGGCTGGAGTGCAATGGCGCCATCTCGGCTCACTGCAACCTCTGCCTCTCGGGTTCAAGTGATTTTCCTGCTTCAGTCTCCCAAGTAGCTGGGATTACAGGCGACCACCACCGCGCCTGGCTAATTTTTTTGTTTTTTTAGTAGAGTCGGGGGGTTTCATCATGTTGGCCAGGCTGGTCTTGACCTCCTGACCTCAAGTGATCCGCCCACCTCGGCCCCACAAAGTACCGGTGAGCCACCACGCCCAGCCCACCTTATTTATTTTTAAGAGACAGGGTCTTACTCTGTAGCCCAGGCTGGAGAGCAGTGATGCCATCTCCACTCACTGCAACCTCTGCCTCCTGGGTTCAAGCAATTCTGGTGCCTTAGCCTCCTGAGTAGCTGGGACTACAGGTGCGTGCCATGACACCTGGCTAATTTTTGTATTTGTAGTAGAGATGGGGTTTCACCGTGTTGGCTGGGCTGGTCTGAAACTCCTGACCTCAGATGATCTTCCCGCTTCGGCCTCCCAAAGTGCCGGGATTACAGGCATGAGCCACTCCACTGGTGTGAAATTTTTAATTTAAGAAGCAATAAATGTTTATGGATAGATGTTAAAATTAGTTTTTTTTCAGATCAAAATTATGTCCATTAAAAGCATATATGTCTGTTTAGATAATCTTTTTTTGAATAGCAGTCCTAAAACAATAGTTGTCTTTCTTCCACTCAGGTTATTTCCAGAAAGAAGAGAATGGCAAAGTATGAGAAGGCTGAGGTAAATGGATTACTTACCTAAATAGAAAGGCCCTGTTGAATCTCTTACTCCTAATCACTCTACCTTCCTACACACTGATGCATTTCAGTTATACTGGAGTCCCTTTATACTGTTGTCTTTAGGGTCTTAGGGACAGTCTTAGAATGTACTCTTACCTAAATATTCTTGCGTGAGTTCCATGGCAGATCACCATCTGTTTTCTGCCTCATAGAAGAGTGGAATGGGAAGCCTATGGTTTTTATTCTACAAAGAGTCAACATCTAACAGAATCTTCTGAAGGCATACTCCAGTGGATTCACCTTGGAGAAACTCATTGTGACTGATGATCTGATTTATTATCTCTATGCCAGTGAAATAATCATTTAATATGAACTTAATTTGTCATAATCTATTGTGTACTAACTAGTCTATACTAGTGTGACATCAAAGTGTCAGATTGTTAGTGTGTTTCAGTCCCTTGGAATTGAATATGAACACTTATCCTTGAACCCTATCAATAACATTTTTCACATATCTCAATTTTTGTGTGTCTTTGTAGTTGTATGTGGGCCACTTACTAATATTTTAGCAAGTAATAAAAATAGAAACGTAAAGGAATATTGGAAAAAGTCTAATGGAACCAGAAAGTTCTAGCATTTTTTTCCCATTCTGTAGTAGGTCATCTGGTTTATTTGGTTTGGTGACCGCAAGTCTAGAAGACTAACCCTGAATTGAATGGTAACAGACAGGCAGAATGACAATGTAGTGTTGCAGTGCAGAGCAGTACAGACCTGGGTTTGGCTGGGCAAAATTATATAACTTCTTTAAGCCTCCATGTTTCCTCATCTGTAAAATGAGGATAATAGATAGTATGGACCTGTTGCAAGGATTAAACATAATCAGTGTAAAGTGTTGGTCCCATGCTTGCCACATAAGAAAATATTTGTCAACAGAGTGGTAGTTGTCATTATCATTGTCTCAGTTTGCCTGTAACTAGTTGTGTGATCTGAGACAAACACTAATTTTGAACTTGAGTTTCCCCACATGTAAAATGAAAGATTGATAATAGAAAGTAAATCAATTTTTTCTAGCATTAAAAATAGTATGCATTTAATAAAAATCTTATTCTTAATGATCTAGCTTACCTCCAACTTGCCCTAGTCACTTTGGCGATCTTGTCTCTAAATAGAACCTTGAAAACACTTAAATGTGTGTTTCCTTGCAATATAACTTTTTCTTTTTTTATTTAAATAAGTCTTATAAATGTGGGAAAAAATTATCTTGTGTTCCTTTAATTTCATTTTTATTTAATACTATTTTCAGAATGAACAAAAGATTGAAAAATTATTTAGAATTTTTTTCTGTGCTTTTTCCTGTTTCAGATAAAGGAGATGGGTGAGATGCATAGGGAACTCAATGCATAACTATATAATTTGAAGATTATAGAAGAAGGGAAATAGCAAATGGACACAAATTACAAATGTGTGTGCGTGGGACGAAGACATCTTTGAAGGTCATGAGTTTGTTAGTTTAACATCATATATTTGTAATAGTGAAACCTGTACTCAAAATATAAGCAGCTTGAAACTGGCTTTACCAATCTTGAAATTTGACCACAAGTGTCTTATATATGCAGATCTAATGTAAAATCCAGAACTTGGACTCCATCGTTAAAATTATTTATGTGTAACATTCAAATGTGTGCATTAAATATGCTTCCACAGTAAAATCTGAAAAACTGATTTGTGATTGAAAGCTGCCTTTCTATTTACTTGAGTCTTGTACATACATACTTTTTTATGAGCTATGAAATAAAACATTTTAAACTGAATTTCTTAACTTTGACATTTCAAATTTCTTCTTCTTTTTCTTTTCTTTTTTTTTTTTTTTTGAGATGGAGTCCCACTCTGTTGCCAGGCTGGAGTGCAGTGGCACAATCTCGGCTCACTGCAACTTCTGCCTCCTAGGTTCAAGCGATTCTTCTGCCTCAGCCTCCCGAGTAGCTGACTACAGGCGCCCACCACCATTCCTGGCTAATTTTTGTATTTTTAGTAGAGACAAAGTTTCACCATATTGGCCACGCTAGTCTCGAACTCCTGACCTCACGATCCACCCACCTCTACCTCCCATAGTGCTGGGGTTACAGGCGTGAGCCACCGCGCCCGGCCTCTTTTTTTCTTTTTGTTTTGTTTTTTCTTTTTTTTTTTGAGACAGGATCTTGCTCTGTGGCCTAGGCTGGAGTGTAGTGGTGCGATCTCAGCTCACTGCAGGATTCAAGCGATTCTCCTGCCTCAGCCTACCAAGTAGCTAGGATTACAGGCTCCCACTACCATGCCCGGCTAATTTTTGTATTTTTAGTAGAGAAAAGGTTTCTTTTTCTTTTTTCTTTTCTTTTTTTCTTTTTTTTTTTTTGGGGGGGTGAGACAGAGCCTAACTCTGTTGCCCAGGCTGGAGTGCAGTGGCACAATCTCAGCTCACTGCAACTTCTGCCTCCTGGGTTCAAGCAATTCTCCTGCCTCAGCTTCCCAAGTAGCTGGGACTACAGATGTGCACCACCATGCCCGGATTATTTTTGTATTTGTAGTAGAGACAGAGTTTCGCCATGTTGGCCAGGCTGATCTCGAACTCCTGACCTCAAGTGATCCACCCACCTTGGTCTCCCAAAGTGCTGGGATTACATGTGTGAGCCACCATGCCTGGTCCTATTTACTCTTTGTTAAGTGGAAGTGGATCATCATAAAGGTCTTGATCCTCATAGTTTTCACTTTGAGTAGGCTGAGGAAGAGGAAGGGTTGGTCTTGCTGTCTCTGGGTCGCAGAGGCAGAAGAGGTGGAGGAGGTAGAAGGGAGGCAGGTGCACACTGGGTGTAACTTTTATTGAAAAAAAATGTGTTCAAATATACCCGCACAATTCAAACCCATGTTCAGGGTCAATTGTAGTTGTGACAGACCCAATGACCCACAGAGTCTAAAATGTTTATTGGAAATGTTTGCTGACCCCTGCTCTAGGATGCTGGGGGAAAGCTATTCCTAGGTAGGTGTCTCAGCAGACATGGAAAGCAGCCTATAATATTGCCCCAGCAGGTGGGGTATGGAACAGATGCTCAGGGAGGCTGCTGGCTGCTGTCCACTGCAGGCCCAGAAGCGTCCTGGAGAAGCCACCCCATGCTGCAAGAGCCAGATCATGGAGCAGCCCTGGATGCTGCAGGAGCCTGTCAAGCCAGGACACCAGAGCTAGGAAACAAAACCTTCCTTTTCAGTGCCTCTCTAGCACCCTCTGCTGACAGAGCTTCAGATCCATTTTCACAGAGAGGTGCAAAGGGTGAATTTGTTTTTTAGGTTTGTGTGTGTGGTTTTGTTTTTTTTTTTTTGAGACGGAGTTTTCACTCTTGTCTCCCAGGCTGGAGTGCAATGGCATGATCTCAGCTCACTGCAACCTCCACCTCCCAGGTTCAAGTGATTCTCCTGCCTCAGCCTCCCAAGTAGCTGAGATTATAGGCACCCACCACTATACTTGGCTAAAATTTTTTTTTGTATTTTTAGTAGAGACGGGGTTTCACCTTGTTGGCCCAGGCTGGTCTTGAACTCCTGACTTCAGGTGATTCACCTGGCCTGAATTTGAACTAAGAGGCAATAAGTTAATAACTGGCACACTCTTCAACCCATTGCCTTCTAGACGCTGTCCTGTCTCTTCTGAAGCTACTTTCGCTAAGGTCAACACTGACCTGCTAATTGCTAGTGATCCTCTTCCCCCGGTGTTGAATCATTTGCTTTCTCTGCAGCCTGTCACCAGGATGACTTCCCCATTCTCTACCCCACTGTGTTTTCTTTTTTTTCCTTTGGCTTCACTGGTATGAATCTCTCCTGATTTTTTCCCTCTTCTACTGATTGTGTAATACTGATGTTCCCAGGATTTGTCCTTAGTTCTATTTTTCCTCCCTTTTTCTTCCTGGAGGATTTCATCCACTTTCTTGCCTTTATTACCTTCTGTGAGGCTCAATGAGAACAGAAGCACCATCTCCATTTCTGTTCTTTTTTCCTGAGATCTATAGTAAAGTATGTATATTTCACATAACTAGTTTTTAATGATTTGATCATCTTCATCCACAAACATATTTTATGGCTTGTATTCTCAGAATCAATTGATGGCATTGCCATGAACCAAGTCCCAAATTCCTTCTCTTTTACTTCCTCCATTGTTTTAGTCACCAGAGCCTGTGATCCTCCCCGAGAAACAAATGCTCCTCTAATCTGCCTTCTCTTACACACTTTCCCTGGTCTCTTTATAAACAATCTACTCCCTCTCCAGCCCAAACCTCATATTGCTCCCAGGATTATTTGCCTAAAGTTGATCACAGCACTTTTTTACAACATAAGATGTACCCCTTTCCCCTGCCAGAGGGGCATATATAAAGCCTTTCAGTGTGGCCCTGTAGTGTGAACCTTTTCTCCTTTTGTCTGTCTGGCATCCCATTTCCTCTGCAATTTGGGAAGAATTGTCTGCATGTTTTGTAAGAGCCAGGTCTCTACCTCCCTCTTTAGAAGTTTAAGGGCAGAGATCCTCTCATGGCTCTCAGCATCCAGGGCACAGGCACCCCCACATAGTACTTGGAATCTTGTGATGGAAAGAAGTAAGAACAGTTGAGAAAACACCCATGGGCAGTGGTGGCATGTGACCAATGGCAGTTATAGGCATGTTGCAGTGGTGGCATCCCAGCCCTTGGTCATCTCTGCCCTACATGACCCTGTGGCCATCCAGCTGTGGTTGCTCTGCTTGGCCTCCCTTGGCTGCTGATTCCTCTCCCCTCCCATTGCCAATACCCTGCTCCAGAGCTTTATCACATGCCTGGATTAATTTAATTTCCGACTTTCCCAATACCAAATTCTCCCCACTCTCAATCCTTTCCCAACGTCATTCCCAGAATAACTAAAATCTAGTCACAGTCTACCTTATTTCTCACTGTACCTCCAATACATCAAATTTTCCTGCATTTAAGATTTCCCTTCCCATTCCTCCAATGTTCCTTCTTTCCTTGCTTCCTTCCTTCCTTCCTTCCTTCCTCCCTCCCTCCCTCCCTCCCTCCCTATCTTCCTTTCTTCCCTTCTTTTTTTCTTTTTTTCCCTGGACAGGTCTTGGTCTCTTGCCCAGTCTGGAGTGCAGTGGCACAAACACAGCTCACTGCAACCTCTACCTTCAGGGCTGAAGTGATCCTCCCGCCTCAGCCTTCTGAGTATATGTAGGATCACAGGTGTGCACCACCACGCCTGGCTAATTTTTTAAATTTTTTTTTTTTTTTTTTTGAGTCAGAGTCTTGCTCTGTAGCCCAGGCTGGAGTGCAGTGGTGCAATCTTGGCTCGCTGCAACCTCTGCCTTCTGGGTTCAAGCGATTCTTGAGCCTCAGCCTCCTGAGTAGCTGGGATTACAGGCGCCCTCCACCACACCCAGCTAATTTGTTGTATTTTTAGTAGAGATAGGGTTTCACCATGTTGGCCAGGCTGAAATAATTTTATAATTTTTTTGTAGAGACAGGGTCTCACTGTGTTGCCCAGGAGTCTCGAACTCCTGGACACAAACCATCCTCCTACCTTGGAGGATGCAATACTGAAGTGTTAGGATTACAGGCGTGAGCCACTGTGCCTGGCCCCTCTGTCCTTTTATACCTTGACTTGGGTTCTATCCTGCCTTTGCTTATGTTCTTTCTTAGGCTTGGGAAACCCTCTGCTTAGTCAAGGCCTAGCAGAAGATCTTCTTTTACAAATCCTTTCACCACTTTAACCTCATCTTTTTCTACTATCAACACTCACAGCACTTTTGGTAGATACACTTTCCCAATTCTTTCCTATCATCCTAAGACATGTTCCCCCTCCCTCATTAAAAATTCCCACTGAAGGCTGGGTGCTATGGCTCACGCCTGTAGTCCCAGCACTTTGGAGGCCGAGGCCAGCGGATCACCTGAGGTCAGGAGTTTGAGACCAGCCTGACCAACATGGAGAAACCCCGTCTCTACTAAAAATACAAAAAATTAGCTGGGCATGGTGGTGCATGCCTGTAATCCCAGCTACTCAGGAGGCAGAGGCAGGAGAATTGCTTGAACCTGGGAGGTGGAAGTTGCGATGAGCCAAGATCACGCCATCACACTCCAGCCTGGGCGACAGAGCAAGACTCCGTCTCAAAGAAAAAAAATTCCCACTGAAGGCGGGGTGTGGCAGCTCAAGTCTGTAATCCTAGCACTTTGGGAGGCTGAGGTGAGAGGACTGCTTGAGGCCAGGAGTTCTAGACCACCTGAGCAACATGACAAGATGCACCATCTCTAAAAAAATAAAAATAAAAATTCCCACTGATCTTAGCCCTCTAACAAGCTACCATTGCCATCTCTTTTTCCTTCTTATCAAACTTTATTTTTTATTTATTTTTGAAATGGGGTCTCAGCCTGTCGCCCAGGCTGGAGTGCAGTGGCGCAATCTTGGCTTATGGCAACCTCCTGAGATGGGATAATTCCCTTGACCTTGACCCCCTTCGTGGGCAGGAACTGGAGTGGCTCCTTTCAGCCCACTGCTGGCCACTTTTTGGAAGAGGAAATGTGTGAGCAAGCAGTGTGGGAACCAGAGTGAGCGAATGCTGGAACTGGTTGGTCGGTCCTCTCTGGCAGGAGCAGGCTCTGTACAGCCCTGGCAGCAGCATCCAAGCCCCTGCCCTCTTGGCACCCGGGTTCTTGTCTGGCATCCAGGAAGAATCAGGACAAATGAATGGATTGAAGGGGTAGTGTATGTGGAGGATTTTACTGGGTGATGGAAATGGCCCTCAGTGGGATGGCAGCTAGAATGGGGATGGTGCAGGAGGTACCCTCCGAAGTTAGCTGCGTCTGCAGTCTCTGACACTCAGTAGCTTCTCTGCTCGCTGCCCAGGCGCTTATGTTGCTCTGCCAGCTGAAGTCATTATGGGCACAGGATAGGGGCATGGCAGGCCAAAAAGGTAACATTGGGCAGAAAAATGGGGTCAGCTGTTTTCACTTAGGGCCATGGTTCCAGGCCTTAGGGGTGGGGTTTGGCCAGTAGCCCAGCCATTCTGTATCACTCTGCGTCCCAGGCTTAAGCCACCCTCCTAACTCAGCCTCCCAAGTAACTGGGACTACAGGAACCCACCACCAAGTCTGGCCATTTTTTTTGTATTTTAGTAGAGATGGGGTTTTGCCATGTTGGCCAGGCTGGTCTTGAACTTCTGACCTCAGATGATCCACCCACCTCGGCCTCCCAAAGAGCTGGGATTACAGGCATGAGCCACTATGCCCGGCCCCTTTCTTATCAAACTTTAGAAGGGAACTAGCCCATTCTGCTTTCAGAATGAACTGTTCAACCTATATAGAGTTTCCGTTCCCCACGTCAACCAACCAAAGAGCTTTCTCAAAAAATGACTTAATGGCTGGGCGCGGTGGCTCATGCCTGTAATCCCAGCACTTTGGGAGGCCGAGGTGGGTGGATCACCTGAGGTTGGGAGTTCGAGACTAGCCTGACCAACATGGAGAAACCCCGTCTCTACTAAAAATACAAAATTAGCAGAACGTGGTGGCACATGCCTGTAATCTCAGCTACTCAGGAGGCTCAGGCAGAAGAATTGCTTGAACCCAGAAGGCAGAGGTTGCTGTGAGCTGAGATTGCCCATTGCACTCCAGCCTGGGCAACAAGAGCGAAACTGTATCTCAAAAAAAAAAAAAAAAAATTCAGATCCTTTGTCTATTTTTACTTTTTATTTTATTTATTTAGAGACAGGGTCTCGCTCTGTCCAGGCTGGAGTGCAGTGGCGCGATCTTGGCTCATTGCATTCTCCTCCTCCCGGGTTCAAGCCATTCTCCTGCCTCAGTCTCCCAAGTAGCTGGGATTACAGGCACCCACCACCACAGCTGGCTAATTTTTTGTGTTTTTTTAGTAGAGATGGGGTTTTTACCATGCTGGTCAGGCTGGTCTCAAATGCCTGACCTCCAGTGATCTGCCCGCCTCGGACTCCCAAAGTGCTGGGATTACAGGGGTGAGCCACTGTGCCCAGCCGCTTTGTCCATTTTTAAATTGAGTTCTTTATCTCCGTATTATTAAGATGTAAGATATATATGTTCTGGATACACAAGTCTATTATCAAGTATAAATTTTGAAAATAATTTCTTGGCTGGGTGCAGTGGCTCACGCCTGTAATCCCAACACTTTGGGAGGCCAAGGCAGGTGGATCACTTGAGGTCAGGGGTTTGAGACCAGCCTGGCCAACATGGTGAAACCCCGTCTCTACTAAAATACAAAAATTAGCTGGGCGTGGTGGTACACGCCTGTAATCCTAACTACTCAGGAGGCTGAGGTAGGAGAATCGCTGGAACCCGGAAGGCAGAGGTTGCAGTGAGCCGAGATTGTGCCGCTGCACTCCAGCCTACATGACAGAGCAAGACTCAGTCTCAAAAACAAAACAAAACAAAATTTCTCCGATAAATAAATAAATAAGTAAATAAATCAGTTTCAACACCAGCTGGTGCGGGGGGAGGGCAGAATAAATGGAAATGATTTCTCCAAGAAAATACAGAGAACATAAAAAGATACTCCACATTACTAGTCATTCGGGAAATGCAAATCAAAACACAGCAAGATACCATTTTCCACACACTAGGATAGTAATAATCAAGAACACAATATAATAACAAGCATTGGTGAAACTTTGGAGAAGTTGGAACCCTCACACATTGCTGATGAGAAAGTAAAATGTTGCAGTTGTTTTGGAAAATATTTTGGCAGTTACTCAAAATGTTAAACATAATCATATGGGTTGTAGTTTAACATAAGTATTACAGTTAAACATATGTTAAAAGGCTGGGCCTGGTGGCTCACGCCTGTAATCCCAGCACTTTGGGAGGCTGAGGCAGGCGGATCACCTGAGGTCGGGAAGTTCCAGACCAGCCTGACCAACATGGAGAAACTCCATTCTACTAAAAATACAAAATTAGCTGGGCGTGGTGGCACATGCCTGTAATCCCAGCTACTCAGAAGGCTGAGGCAGGAGAATCGCTTGAACCCGGGAGGTGGAAGTTGCGGTGAGCCGAGATCTCGCCATTGCACTCCAGCCTGGGCAACAAGAGTGAAACTACGTCTAAAAAAAAAAAAAAGTTAAAACTATGAGCCAGCAATTCCACTTCAAGTTATACATCTAAGGGCAATAAAAACATGTCCACATACAAACTTGTACACAAATGTTCACAGCAGCATTATTCATAATGGCCAAAGAGTGGAAATAACCCAAATGCCTATCAACTGATGAAGAGATAAATAAAATATAATATAGCCATACAGTGAAATATTTAGTAATAAAACGATGTGAAGTACTGATACATGCTACAACATGGATGAATGTTAAAAATATGCTAAATGAAAAAAGCCAGTCAATAAAGGCCCTATATTGTATGATTCCATTTATATGAAATGTCCAGAAGAGGCAAATCTATAGAGACAGAAAGTAGATTAGCGGTTGTCAAGGGCTGGGGAGGAGGATATGAAGAGTGACTGCTAATGAGTATGAGGTTTCTTTCTGGAGTGACAAACTTCTAAAATTAGATTGCAGTGATGATCATGCAACCCTGTTAATATACTAAAAGCTATTGAATTGTACACTTTAAGTGGGTGGATTGTATGGTATGTGAATTATATCTCCATAAAGCTGGGTTTTGTTTTTTGTTTTTTGTTTTTGTTTTTGAGACAGAGTCTTGCGCTGTCACCCAGGCTGGAGTGCAGTGGCGCAATCCCGGCTCACTGCAACCTCCGCCTCCTGGGTTCAAGCAATTCTCCTGCCTCAGCCTCCTGAGTAGCTGGGACTACAGGTGAGCACCACCACGCCAGGCTAATTTTTGTATTTTTAGCAGAGATAGGGTTTCACCATGTTGGCCAGCTGGTTTTGAACTTCTGGCTAACATGGTGAAACCCCATTTCTACTAAAAATACAAAAAATTAGCCGGATGTGGTGGCACCCTCCTGTAATCCCAGCTACTCGGGAGGCTGAGGCAGGAGAATAGCTTGAACCTGGGAGCTGGAGGTTGTAGTGGGCCAAGATTGCACCATTGCACTCCAGCTTGGGCAACAAGAGCGAAACTCTTGTCTAAAAAAAAAAAAAACCCACACACACACACAAGATTATTTAGGCCAAGTGGGGTTGCGTATGCCTGATGCCTGTAATCCCAGCACTTTGGGAGGCTGAGGCGGGCAGATCACCTGCGGTCAGGATTTCAAGACCAGCCTGGCCAACATGGCAAAACCCCATCTCTACTAAAAAAATATAAAAATAAGCCAGGCATGGTGGTGCGAGCCTGTAGTCCCAGCTACTTGGGAGGCTGAGGCAGGAGGATAGCTTGAACCTGGGAGGTGGAGGTTGCAGTGGACTGAGATTGAGCCACTGCACTCCAGCCTGGGTGACAGAGTGAGACTCCGTCTCAAAAACAAAACAAAACAAAACAAAAAAAAACCCAGCCATGTTGGGGTGATAATTTTACTGGATTCTATCAATCATGCTATGTCTTCCAGTTATATTTTTGCAAAATTCCTCTTAGTTATTTTCAGAAATTCAGATTACCATGTGGGAGTGGAAAGTATATAAAATATCTGTAAGACAACTGAGACATGAATAATACAGGGTTGTTGTGGGAGAATAGAAAACTCCAGGCAGGAGGCCGGGCATGGTAGCTCACACCTGTAATCCTGGCTCTTTGGAAGCTGAGGCAGGCAGATCACCTGAGGTCAGGAGTTCGAGATCAGCCTGGCCAACAGGGTGAAACCCTGTCTCTACTGAAAATACAAAGATTAGTCGGGCGCGGTGGTGCACACCTATAATCCCAGCTACTAGGGAGGCTGAGGCAGGAGAATTGCTTGAAACCGGGAGGCGTAGGTTGCAGTGAGCTGAGATTGCACCCCTGTACTCCAGCCTGGGCAACAGGGCAAGACTCTGTCTCAAAAACAAAAAAGAAAAAAGAAAATTCCAGACAGGCATTTCATATGACTAGTAAAAAGGAAACTGTTGAAATAGCTGCATAAGCTAGAGGCTGATTAGACCCTGAGAACCAGGATGTGGGCCAAGCTGGCCAGGTCCCACTGGATGTAACATGGCACTGGATTTGACCTAGGTTTCACCTGGAACCTCATTGTTTGCTCATTAACATATTCAGTCACACCCCCTCGGCACCATGACAGTTCCGAGAACACCTGTATTTGGTGTAAAAATGGGTGGCACCACAGTTCAAGAAATCTTCACCTTTTTCCAGAAATCTTCATGAATATTCCACTCCCTGGTAAAAAAAAAACAAAAAACAAAAAACAAAACCCATAAATAAAGAGGCCAGATGCAGTGGTTCATGTCTATAATCCCAGTACTTTGGGAGGCCAAGGTGGGTGGATCGCTTGATCCCTGGCGGTCGAGGCTGCATTGAGCCGTGATCGCTCCACTGCAATCCAGCCTAGGCAACAGAAAGAGACCCTGTCTCAAAACAAACAAACAAAACAGAAAAACAAAAACCCATAAGGATAGAAACCTCAAACCCCATAGCATGACATTCTTGAGTATGCTCACACTCCCCTTTCTTGAGTGCGTACTTCTCGATTTGCAATAAATCTCTGTACTTTCACTATTTTCCAATTCGTCCCTGAATTCCTTCTCATTTGGTGTCAAGAGCCTGGACACTGGCTGGGGTCAAAGTCCCACTGGAATCGTGGGACCTCCCCTAGTCCCCCGGTATCACAACTGTTTGATATACTTTTTTTTTTTTTAATATTTATTTATTGGCCAGGCACAGTGGCTCATGCCTGTAATCCCAGCTCCCTGGGAGGCCGAGGCGGGTGGATCACCTGAGGTCAGGAATTTGATACCAGCCTGGCCAACATGGTGAAACCCCGTCTCTACTGAAAATACAAAAATTAGCCAGGTGTGGTGGCGGGCGCCTGTACTCCCAGCTACTCGGGAGGCTGAGGCTGGAGAATCGCTTGAACCCAGGAGGTGGAGATTGCAGTGACTGGAGATCACGCCATTCCACTCCAGCCTGAGTGATAGGAGCGAAACTCTGTCTCGAGAAAAAAAAGCCGGCGTGGTGGTGCATGCCTCTAATCCCAGGTACTCGGGAGGCTGAGGCAGGAGAATTGCTTGAACCCCAGGGGCAGAGGTTGCAGTGAGCCGAGATCACGCCATTGCACTCCAGCCTGGACAACAACAGCAAAACTCTGTCTCAAAAAAAATAAAAAAGAAAAAATTATTTATTTATTTATTTTTGAGATGGAGTCTCACTCTGTTCTCAGCTCACTGCAACCTCTGCCTCCTGGGTTCAAGTGATTCTCCTGCCTCAGCCTCCCAAGTAGTTGGGATTACAGGCATGCATCACCACACCAACTAATTTTTTTTTTGAGACCAAATCTCACTCTGTTGTCCAGGCTGGAGTGCAGTGGAGCAATCTTGGCTCACTGCAACCTCTGCCACCTGGGTTTAAAGCGATTCTCCTGCCTCAGCCTCCCCAGTAGATGGGATTACAGGCGCCTGCCACTGCATCTGGCTAATTTTTGTATTTTTAGTAGAGATAGGGTTTCACCATCTTGGCCAGACTGGTCTTGAACTCCTAACCTCGTGATCCACCCACCTCGGCCTCCCAAAGTGCTGGGATTACAGGCCTGAGCCACCGCACCCAGCCTAATTTTTGTAATTTCCTTAGAAATGAGGTTTCACCATGTTGGCCAGGCTGGTCTTGAACTCATGACCTCAAATGATCCACCTGCCTTGGCCTCCTAAAGTGCTTGGATTACAGGGGTGAGCCACTGTGCCCGGCCCTGGCCTGATCTACTTTGAATAAGAATTTATCAGCCAGGCTCAGTGGCTCACTCCTGTAATCCCACTTTGGAAGGGCCTGGGCAGGTGGATTGCTTGAGCCCAGGAGTTCCAGACCAGTCTTAACATGGTGAAACCCTGTCTCTTCTAAAAATATAAAAATTAGTGGGGCGTGGTGGCCTGCACCTGTAGATGCAATTACTTGGGAGGCTGAGGTAAAAGAGTCACCTGAGCCTGGGGAAGTGGAGGCTTCAGTGAGCTCTGATCATACCACTGCAATCCAGCCTGGGCGACAGTTAGACCCTGTCTCAAAAAAAAAAAAAAAAAAATTAAAAAAAGAATTTATCATGAACAGTTAATACACGCACATGGTTGGAAACAAAGGATACTGTTAAAACAGTTTCAGCTGGGCGCAGTGGCTCACACCTGTAATCCCAGCACTTTGGGAGGCCGAGTTGGGTGGATCATGAGGTCAGGAGATCGAGACCATCCTGGCTAACACGGTGAAACCCCGTCTCTACTAAAAATACAGAAAAATTAGCCGGGAGTGGTGGCAGGCGCCTGGGAAGGCTGAGGCAGTAGAATGGAGTGAACCCAGGAGGCGGAGCTTGCAGTGAGCCGAGATCACACCACTGGAGTCCAGCCTGGGCGACCGAGCGAGACTCCGTCTCAAAAAACAAACAAACAAACAAACAAAAAAAGTTTCTTAGACAAATTGATTACAATTGCATATCAAATTTTAATTTCAAGCTTATTTCCTTTCCAAGCAGGCTAAATATTCCTCTTAGACATTTTGTAAAAAAGAAGCATATTAGAATCATCAGTATTAGCCTGGAGAAAGCAAACAATGTCTGGAATTATTAGCTATCTTCTAAGTCTAGTTAAAGGTAACTGTCTTGTGCCAAGACTGACAGTGAGCTAAATGAACTGTTTTTTTTTGAGACAGGATCTTGCTCTGCTGCCCAGGCTGGAGTGCAGTGGTGCTATCATAGCTCAATGCAGCCTTAAACACCTGGACTTAAGGAATTTTTCCACCTCGGCCTCCCAAGGATTACAGGTACATGCCTGGCTGGTTTTTTAAACTTTTTTTTTTTTTTTTGAGACAGAATCTTGCTCTGTTGCCCCCACTGGAGTGAAGTAGTGTGATCTTGGCTCACTGCAACCCCCACCTCCCGGGCTGAAGCTATCCTCCTGCCTCAGCCTCCCAAGCAAATAGAACTACAGGCATGTGCCACCAAGCCTGACTAATTTTTGCATTTTTAGTAGAGACAAGGTTTCACCATGTTGCTCAGGCTGGTCTTGAACTCCTGAGCTTAAGCGATCCTCCCACCTCAGCCTACCAAAGTGCTGGTATTACAGGCATGAGTCGCTGTGCCTGCCTTACAGTTTTTTGTAGAGATGAGATCTTGCTATGTTGCCAGGCTGGTCTCCAACTCCTGGGCTCAAGTGCTCCTCTGGCTTCAAGTCTTCTAAAATGTTGGGACTACAGGCATGAGGTACCATGCCTGGCCAGCTCATTAAAGTGTATCAGAAATGGTAGTAGCTTCTCTAAAGGGATAGCACATGACATCAGACTATAATACTCAGGTTTGAGGCTGGGTGTGGTGGCTCACACCTGTAATCCCAGCACTTTGGGAGGCCGAGGTGGGCGGATCACTTGAGATCAGGAGTTCCAGACCAGCCTGGCCAACGTTGTAAAACTCATCTCCACAAAAATTACAAAAATTAGCCAGGTGTGATGGTGTGCACTTGTAGTCCCAGCTATTTGGGAGGCTGAGGCAGGAGAATCACTTGAAACCAGGGCGGGTGGAGGTTGCAGTCAGCCGAGATTGTGCCACTGTACTCCAGCCTGGGAGACAGAGCGAGACTCTGAAAAAAATAAAAATATAAATATAAAATAAATAAAACTCAGGTCAGAAACACATCTTCTTTCTCAGTATACAGTCTTGCTGCAGATTCTGTAAGCACACAGACGGTTAAGCATACAGAATCTGGAAGAAGACTGGATTCTAGATCTATCACTTACTAGCTCTGTGATCTGGCGCAAGGCCAGGCAATTGAATTTTAATCTGTAGGCCCGAGATTTCTTTCTTTTTTTTTTTCTATGGAGACGGAGTCTCGCTCTGTCGCCCAGGCTGGAGTGTAATGGCGTGGTCTCGGCTCACTGCAACCTCTGCCTCCCGGATTCAAGCGATTCTCCTGTCTCAGCCTCCTGAGTAGCTGGGATTACAGGTGCCTGCCACCATGCCAGGGTAATTTTTGTATTTTTAGTAGAGACGGGGTTTCACCATGTTGGCCAGGCTGATCTTGACCCGCTGACCTCGGCCTCCCAAAGTGCTGGGATTACAGGCGTGAGCCACTGTGCCCACCAGAGATTTCTAAATTGAGCTGATTGTCAGGAACATCCAGGGAGCTTTCAAAAATGATTCCAGGCTGAGGCTGGGCGGGGTGGCTCATGCCTGTAATCTCAGCACTTGGGGAGGCCGAGGTGGGTGGATCACCGGAGGTTGGGAGTTTGAGACCAGCCTGACCAACTTGGAGAGACCCTATCTCTACTAAAAATACAAAAATTAGCTGGGCGTGGTGGCGCATGCCTGTAATCCCAGCTACTCAGAAGGCTGAGGCAGGAGAATTGCTTGAACCCAGGAAGTGGAGGTTGCAGTGAGCTGAGATTGTGCCATTGCACTCCAGCCTGGGCAACAAGAGCGAAACTCCATCTCAAAAAACAAACAAACAAACAAACAAAAAACAAAACCAAAAAAAAAAAAAATGATTCCAAGCTGGGCATGGTGGCTCACACCTGTAATCCCAGCACTTTGGGAGGCCGAGGCGGGCAGAACAGGAGGTCAAGAGATCGAGACCAGACCATCCTGGCCAACACAGTGAAACCCCGTCTCTCCTAAAAATACCAAAATTAGCTGGGGGTGGTGGTGCACACCTGTAGTCATAGCTACTTGGGAAGCTGAGGCAGGAGGATCGCCTGAACCCGGGAGGCAGTGAGCCGAGATTGCGCCACTGCACTCCAGTGTGGTGACAGAGCCAGACTTCCTCTCAAAAAAACAAACAAAGGTTCCAAGGCTCTACTCCAGAAATTAAGACCCATTATGTGTGGGCTGGGCACAGGAATATGTTTAAATCCCCCCCCACCTCCCCAGGGTGATTCTGCTGCTGAATTAGGTTTTGGAACCACTTCCATGGGGAAAGGGTAAACTAAACTGGAGAATGCAAAAACCTTTTTTTTTTTTTTTTTTTTTTTTGAGACAGAGTCTCACCCTGTTGCCCAGGCTGGAGTGCAATGGCGCGACCTCGGCTCACTGCAACCTCCACCTCCCAGGTTCAAGGGATTCTCCTGCCTCAGCCTCCCAAGTAGCTGGGATTACAGGTGCCCACCACTACACCCGGCTAATTTTGTGTGTGTTTTTAGTAGAGACGGAGGTTCACCATGTTAGTCAGGCTGGTCTCGAACTCCTGACCTCAGGTGATCTGCCCGCCTCGGCCTCCCAAAGTGCTGGGATTACAGGCGTGAGCCACCGCGCCCGGCCAGCAAAAACCTTTTCTAAGAGTTAATTTTGCAGGATGGATCCTGAGCTCCTTCAGGTGTTTGATAACATTTTATTTATTTTTTGAGACAGAGTCTCGCTCTGTCACCGAGGCTGGAGTGTAGTGGCGCGATCTTCGCTCACTGCCCCCTCCACCTCCCAGGTTCAAGAGATTCTCCTGCCTCAGCCTCTCGAGTAGCTGTGATTACAGGCGCCCACCACTATGCCCGGTAATTTTTGTATTTTTAGTAGAGACGGGGTTTCGCCATGTTGGCCAGGCTGGTCTCAAACTCCGGACCTCAGGTGATCCACCCGCGTTGGCCTCCCAATACGCTGGGATTACAGGCGTGAGCCACTGCGCCTGGCTGTTTGCTAACATTTTAAAATTTCAACCTTCCTCTTCCTTAACTGGTCTTCCCCTACCCCCCCTCAAGACGGGGTCTCTCGCTCTGTCGCCCCAGCTGCGGTGCAGTGGCGTGAACATAGCTGACGGCAGAAGACCTCCTGGGCTCAAACGATCCTCCTGGCTCGTGCTCCCAAAGTACTGGGATTATGGCGTGTGACACCACGCCTGGCGTCAAACGTTTGTCTTTTTATTTATTTTATTTTGTATTTTTTGAGACAGGGTTTTCAATCTGTCGCCCACGCTGGAGTGCAGTGGCACAATTTACGGCTCACCGCAGCCTCGACCTCCCGGGCTCAGGTGATCCTTTCGCCTCAGCCCTGCTAATATCTGGGATCACAGACGTGGGTTTTACCATGTTGCCCAGGATGGTGTCAATCTCCTGGGCTCAAGTGATCCGCCCACCTCGGCCTCCCAAATTGCTGGGATTACAGGCGTGAGCTACCGCGCCCTGCCACAAACGCATATCTTCTAACGTACCATTTCATTTACTTGCTATATTCATTATCTGAATTTTCTCATATTAGAATGTAAGCAGAATAAAGGCAGTGATTTTTCTTTTTACTGGCGATCCTCAGAGCCAAGAAGAGTCTGGGACATAGCAGGCCATATAAATGTTTTCGAATGAGTGAATCATCAACGAGTGGATGAAACGATAATGTGGCTAACAGGCAGCAGTAAGGAGGCTGTGTAGAATAAACCCGTAATCCCGATGTTGGCAGTTTGCTTAGAAAGAAAAAGGGAGGCAGTCGGAGAGGGGCACACGTTTTAACAAAATACTGGGAGGAGGAGGAAGGCTAGTTTTTTTTTTGTTTTCAAGTTTCCTTCTGATGTTACTCCCATGCTTCCGGGCACATTACGAGCTCAGTGCCTGCCGGAAATCTCCCACCTGGTGGCAACCTACCCTTGCATACACCCCACCCAGGGGCTTCAAGCCTTGCAGCTGAGTAAACACAGAAAGGAGCTCTACTAAGGATGCGCGTCTGCGGGTTTCCGCGCGACCTAGGCGCAGGCATGCGCAGTAGCTAAAGTCACCAGCGTGCGCGGGAAGCTGGGCCGCGTCTGCTTATGATTGGTTGCCGCGGCAGACTCCCACCCACCGAAACGCAGCCCTGGAAGCTGATTGGGTGTGGTCGCCGTGGCCGGACGCCGCTCGGGGGACGTGGGAGGGGAGGCGGGAAACAGCTTAGTGGGTGTGGGGTCGCGCATTTTCTTCAACCAGGAGGTGAGGAGGTTTCGACATGGCGGTGCAGCCGAAGGAGACGCTGCAGTTGGAGAGCGCGGCCGAGGTCGGCTTCGTGCGCTTCTTTCAGGGCATGCCGGAGAAGCCGACCACCACAGTGCGCCTTTTCGACCGGGGCGACTTCTATACGGCGCACGGCGAGGACGCGCTGCTGGCCGCCCGGGAGGTGTTCAAGACCCAGGGGGTGATCAAGTACATGGGGCCGGCAGGTGAGGGCCGGGACGGCGCGTGCTGGGGAGGGACCCGGGGCCTTGTGGCGCGGCTCCTTTCCCGCCTCAGAGAGTGGGCGGTGAGCAGCCTCTCCAGTGCGGAGGCACGGGGGCGGAACGTTGGTGCTTGTGCGGATTCCGCCGTCCCCAGGTTCTGCTTGGCTCCGGAGGGACGCCCCCCTCAGCCCTGAAACCCGTGCCTCTCCAGCCGCCCCGGATCTGAACTTGTGATCACGGAGTGTTTACGTCGTGCCAGGCATTTTAATGCATTGTTCTAGTTCATTTTCCAGCAGTCGCATTCCTCGCCTTGGCCCTACATGTAGCGCTCATTACAAACACGGCCAGAATCTCTTATTAACAAACAGCAGCCAGGAGTGAGATTTAAAATAGACTGGGGGTTTAGGAGACCCTTTTATGACACGTAATTCTGCTCCCACGACGCTCCCATTTATACCGCCGGTCCAGCTAAGGGTCTGGTAATGGAGCGCCGTTGAAGAGCAGTATGATGAAGTGGTCAGGACCAACGGACTCTGGAGCTGGGCTGCTTGGGATCAAGTCGCTGCCCCTCTGCTTATTAACGTGTGACCTTGGGCCAGTCATGGACGCTATCTGCTTCAGCTCAGCATTCAGTGCTCTCCGTCACCCGACCCCATCTATCCAGGATTATCTCTCCCTGGAAAGCTACAAACGTCTCACCCTATGTGGGCCAAATGTTCTGGATAGGCCTAGTTAACCTCTTCTCTCCCTGTTTTCTTTGCGCTTTCTTGCAGCTATGTAGTTATGCTAATGAAAAGAGCATCCTAGGGGGAGCAGAGTTGTGGATTCTAGTCCTGACTAGAGGACTAGTGCAAATGCGATACTCCTGATGAAAAATGTTTCATTCGTTAGATATAAATGTGTTAGGCAGGGTTATGGACACTAGATGAAAAAAGAAATACCTCTACTTTCATAGAGATCACTATTGGACAGCAAGGCAGAAATAATTACAATTCAAGTTGGAGGCTTATGGAGGTGAGCTTGTAAGAGGTTACAAGAGGCGCCAAGGCAGGATCGCCAAAGACGGAAGACTTTGGAAGAGTCTCATACAACGGAAGAGGCGTTATATGAGACACCAAAGTCCACGTTGAGTCTTGGTGGACTAGAAGTTTGCTAGGGAGAGGGCTTGAAACGAGGTAGATTGGCGTTGCTGGTGTAGAAAAGGAAGGAGACTGGCCCAGGTGGGTGGGGTTAGATGACCAAAGGCTTTTAGTGTGGTGTTGAGCTGTTGAAATTTTATGCTGTAGCCAATGAAAAGTCTGAAATGTTTTTTTTTTTTTTTTTTCTGAGACGGAGTCTTACTGTGTCGCCCAGGTTGGAGTTCAGTGGTGTAATCCTGGCTCACTGCAACCTCCACCTCCTGGGTTCAAGCGATTCTCCTGCCTCAGCCACCGGAGTAGCTGGGATTACAGGCACGTGCCACCACGCCTAGCTAATTTTTGTATTTTTAGTAGAGATGGGGTTTCACCATGTTGGCCAGGCTGGTCTCAAACTCCTGACCTCAAGTGATCCACCCACCTTGGCCTCCCGATGTGCTGGGATTACAGGTATTAGCCACTGCACCTGACCTACATAGATTTTACATAAGACTTTAAAACAGGGCGGGCGCAGTGACTCACGCTTGTAATCCCAGCACTTTGGGAGGCTGAGGTGGGCGGATCACAAGGTCAGGAGATCAAGACCATCCTGGCTAACATGGTGAAACCCTGTCTACACTAAAAATACAAAAATCCCAGCACTTTGGGAGGCTGAGGTGGGCGGATCACGAGGTCAGGAGATCCAGACCATCCTGGTTAACACTGTGAAACCCTGTCTCTACTAAAAATACAAAAAATTAGCTGGGTGCGGTGGCAGGTGTCTGTAGTCCCAGCTACTTGGGAGGCTGAGGCAGGAGAATGGTGTGAACCCGGAAGGCAGAGCTTGCAGTGAGCCGAGATTGTGCCACTGCACTCCAGCCTGGGCAACAGAGCGAGACTCCATCTCAAAAAAAAAAAAAAAAAAAAAAAAGACTTTAAAAAAAATTATAAGAAAGGACAGACCAAGTGCAGTGGTTCGTTCCAGCACTTAGGGATGCCAAGGTGGGAGGATTGCTTGATGCTAGGAGTTGAAGACTAGCCTGTGTAACATAGCGAGACCCATCTCTACAAAAAAATTAAAAAGTTACCTTTAGAACTTACGATTTTTATGTGTAGACTCCATATAAGCAGAGGGTCTATGCTTATTCACTATTTATTACCTTCCATAGTCCCTGCACATATAATAGGTGCTTCATAAACAATTTAATGAATGAATAAATTACTGAGAAAACACTGGAAGTTTTTGGGTTAGCATTGTGTTAGGTGCTTGATATGGTCTGGCTGTGTTCCCACCCTTATCTCATCTTGAATTCCCATGTTTTGTGGGAGGTACCTGGTGGGACATAATTGAATCATGTGGGCAGGTTTTTCCTGTGCTGTTCTCCTGGTAGTGAATAAGCCTCACAAGATCTGATGGTTTTAAAAATGGGAGTTTCCCTGCACAGGCTCTCTCTCTTTGCCTGCCGCCATCCATGTAAGATGTAACTTGCTCCTCCTTGCCTTCCTCAATGATTGTGAGGCCTCCTCAGCCATGTGGAACTGGCTGCAGAGTCATTAAACTTCGTTCTTTTGTAAATTGCCCAGTCTCAGGTATGTCTTTTTTTATTTTTTTTTGAGACAGAGTCTGGCTCTGTGGCTAGGCTGGAGTGCAGTGGTGCGATCTCGACTCACTGCAGCCTCCGCCTCCCGGGTTCAAGCGATTCTCCTGCCTCAGCCTCCCAAGTAGCTGGGACTATAGGTGCACGCCACCATGCCCAGCTAATTTTTGTATTTTTAATAGAGACGGAGTTTCACTGTGTTGGCCAGGATGGTCTTGATCTCTTGACCTCGTGATCTTCCCGCCTCCGCCTTCCAAAGAGCTGGGATTACCTACCCAGCTGGGTATGTCTTTATTAGCAGCGTGAAAACAGACTAAAACAGTAAACTGATACCAATAGAGTGGGATGCAGCTGAAAAGATACCCGAAAATATGGAAGCAACTTTGGAGCTGGGTAACAGGCAGAGGTCAGAGCAGTTTAGAGGGCTCAGAAGAAGACCAGAAAATGTGGGAAAGTTTGGAACTTCCTAGAGACTTGTTCAATGGCTTTGACCAAAATCCTGATAATGATATGGACAATGAAATCCAGGCTCATGTGGTCTCAGATGGAGATGAGGAACTTGTTGGGAACTGGAGCAAAGGTGACACTTGTTATGTTTTAGTAAAGAGACTGGTGGCATTTTGCCCTGCCCTAGAGATTTGTGGAGCTTTGAACTTGAGAGAAATGATTTTGGGTATCTGGTGGGAGAAATTTCTAAGCAGCAAAGCATTCAAGAGGTGACTTGGGTGCTGTTAAAGGCATTCAGTTTTAAAAGGGAAACAGCATGAAAGTTTGGAAAATTTGCAGCCTGACAATGTGATAGAAAAGAAAATCCCGTTTTCTGAGGAGAAATTCAAGCTAGCTACAGAAATTTGCATAAGTAATGAGGATCCCAATGTTAATCCCCAAGACAATGGGAAAAATGTTTCCAGGGCATGTCAGAGGCCTTCATGGCAGCCCCTCTCATCACAAGCCTAGAGGCCTAGGAGAAAAAAGTGATTTCATGGGCCAGCCCGGGGTCCCCATGCTGTGTGCAGCCTAGTGACTTGGTGCCCTGCATCCCAGCTGCCCCAGCTGTGGCTGAAAGGGGCCAACCTAGAGCTCAGGCCATGGCTTCAGAGGGTGCAAGCCTGAAACCTTGACAGCTTCCAGGTGGTGTTGAGCCTGCAGGTGCACAGAAATCAATAATTGAGGTTTGAGAATCTCTGCCTAGGTTTCAAAGATGTATGGAAACGCCTGCATGTCCAGGCAGAAGTTTGCTGCAGGGGTGGGGTGCTCATTGAGTTCCTCTGCTAGGGCAATGTAGAAGGGAAATGTAGGGTCAGAGCCCCCCCACAGAGTCCCTACTGGGGCACCACCTAGTGGAGCTGTGAAAAGAGGGCTACCATTCTCCAGACCTCAGAATGGTAGATCCACAGACAGCTTGCACCATGTGCCTGGAAAAGCTGTAGACACTTAACGCCATCTCATGAAAGCAACCAGGCAGTGTGCTGTACCCTGCAAAGCCACAGGGGCAGAGCTGTCCAAGGCTGTGGTTGCCCAGCTCTTGCATCCGCATGACCTGGACATGAGACATAGAGTCAAAGGAGATCATTTTGGAGCTTTAAGATTTGACTGCCATGCTGGATTTTGGACTTGCATGGGGCCTGTAGCCCCTTTGTTTTGGCCAATTTCTCCCATTTGGAATGGCTGTATTTACCCAATTCCTATACCCCATTGTATCTGGGAAGTAACTAACTTGCTTTTGATTTGACAGGCTCATATGCGGAAAGGACTTACCTTGTCTTGAATGAGACTTTGGACTGGAATTTTGAATTAATGCTGAAATGAGTTAAGGCTTTGGGGGACTGTTGGGAATGCATGATTGGTTTTGAAATGTGAGGACATGAGATTTGGGAGGGGTCATGGCAGAATGATATGGTTTGGCTATGTCCCCACCTAAATCCCATCTTGAATTCCCATGTATTGTGGGAGGGACCTGGTGGGAGATAGTTGAATCATGGGGATGGATCTTTCCCATGCTGTTGTGATAGTGAATAAGCCTCATGAGATCTGATGGTTTTAAAAACGGAAGTCTACCTGCACAAGCTCTTTCTTTGCCTGCTGCCATCCATGTAAGACATGACTTGTTCCTCCTTGCCTTCTGCCATGATTGTGAGACCTCCCCAGCCATGTGGAACTATAAGTCCAGTAAGCCTCTTTTTCTTCCCAGTCTCGGGTATGTCTTTATCAGCAGCATGAAGTCCAGCTAATACAGTGCTTGAACATGTAATATCTCAAATCTGTAATGTACTTTTTTTTTTTTTAAGGAGCAAAGAATCTGCAGAGTGTTGTGCTTAGTAAAATGAATTTTGAATCTTTTGTAAAAGATCTTCTTCTGGTTCGTCAGTATAGAGTTGAAGTTTATAAGAATAGAGCTGGAAATAAGGCATCCAAGGAGAATGATTGGTATTTGGCATATAAGGTAATTATCTTCCTTTTTAATTTACTTATTTTTTTAAGAGTAGAAAAATAAAAATGTGAAGAATTTAATTGTGTTTTAGTATTTTAAGTAGATTGTGATAGTAGAATGGTTTGAGACACTTTAATAGCAATTAGCATGTGGTTTTTAAAAAGTTGCAGTTTGGCTGGTCGCAGTGGCTCATGCTTGTAATCCCAGTATTTTGGGAGGCTGAGGCAGGTAGGTTGCCTGAGCCCAGGAGTTCAAGACCAGCCTGCCCAACGTGGTAAAGCCCCATCTCTACTGAAGATAAAAAAATTTAAAAAAATTAGCTGGGGCTATTGGCACACACCTGTGGTCCCAGCTAATCAAGAGGATGAGGTTAGAGGATCACTTGAGCCCAGGAGGTTGAGGTTACAGTTTAACTTTCAGAGGCCAAGGCAGGAGGATTGCTTGAGTCCAGGAGTTTGAGACCACCCTGGGGAATGTAGGGAGATCCCATCTCTATAGAGGGATAGATTAGATAGATAATTTCTGAGGGGAGGGGAGGGGGAGGGCCAGGGAAGGGGAGGGAAAGGGGAGGGGAGGGCAGGGCCAGCAGTAAGGTCATAATAGAGACATGTATCTGTAAGATCCTTATAATAGGTGAGGATGGCCACAAATTAGCGCCACAGATTTGTATTTTTAGTAGAGACAAGGTTTTACCATGTTGGCCAGGCTGGTCTTGAACTCCTGACCTCAAGTGATCCGCCTGCCTTGGCCTCCCAAAGTGCTGAGATTACAGATGTGAGCCACCATGCCCAACCACAAGCATTTATTTATTTATTTATTTATTTATTTATTTATTTATTTAGAGACAGTCTTGCTCTGTCGCCAGGCTGGAGTGCAGTGGCGCCATCTGGGCTCACTGCAAACTCTGACTCCCTGGTTCAAGCTTTTCTCCCGCCTCAGCCTCCCGAGTAGCTGGGATTACAGGTGCATGCTGCAACACCCGGCTAATTTTTGTATTTTTAGTAGAGATGGGGTTTCACCATGTTGGCCAGGACGGTCTCGATCTCCTGACCTCGTGATCCGCCTGCCTTGGCCTCCCAAAGTGTTGGGATTACAGGCGTGAGCCACAGCACTCAGCCAGTTATTTTTTTATAAGAAAACATTTTACTGGCCAGGCCTGGTGGCTCACACCTGTAATCCCAGCACTTTGGGAGGCCGAGGCAGGCGGATCACGAGGTCAGGAGTTCGAGACCAGCCTGGCCAACATGGTGAAACCCCATCTCTACTAAAAATACAAAAATTAGCCAGGCGTGGTGGTGTGCGCCTGTATTCCCAGCTACTGGGGAGGCTGAAGCAGGAGAATCGATTGAACCCTTGAGGCAGAGGTTGCAGTGAGTTGAGATCGCACCATTGCACTCTAGCCTGGGTGACAGAGCAAGACTTCATCTCAAAAAAAAGAGAAAACATTTTATTAATAAGGTTCATAGAGTTTGGATTTTTCCTTTTTGCTTATAAAATTTTAAAGTATGTTCAAGAGTTTGTTAAATTTTTAAAATTTTATTTTTACTTAGGCTTCTCCTGGCAATCTCTCTCAGTTTGAAGACATTCTCTTTGGTAACAATGATATGTCAGCTTCCATTGGTGTTGTGGGTGTTAAAATGTCCGCAGTTGATGGCCAGAGACAGGTTGGAGTTGGGTATGTGGATTCCATACAGAGGAAACTAGGACTGTGTGAATTCCCTGATAATGATCAGTTCTCCAATCTTGAGGCTCTCCTCATCCAGATTGGACCAAAGGAATGTGTTTTACCCGGAGGAGAGACTGCTGGAGACATGGGGAAACTGAGACAGGTAAGCAAATTGAGTCTAGTGATAGAGGAGATTCCAGGCCTAGGAAAGGCTCTTTAATTGACATGATACTGTTTCATTTAAGGAAAAATAATAAAAAAACTCTTTTTTTTGTATCTAATTAAAATAATGTTCTGATGTTTACAGAAACTTTGTATATTTAATTGGACATTAGAACAAGCTGTTTGTTGTGTAAGATTTATTTTACCTCAGATCTTTTCTCCCCCCTTTCCTTTCTGTCTTGTGTTCCAAAAGAGTAATTATTACGGTAAATATTACTGTAATTATGGATTTATCAAATAAGATGCAGTTCTTTAGCATTTTTTGATAAATCGAGTGGAACTTTAGCCTGTTATTTTACTATTTGTTTTATTTTAACTAAATTCTGATTGTGTCATTTTTTTTTTTTTTTTTTGGGACCGAGTCTCGCTCTGTCGCCCAGGCTGGAGTGCAGTGGTGCGATCTCGGCTCACTGCAACCTCTGCCTCCCAGGTTCAAGCAATTCTTCTGCCTCAGCCTCCTGAGTAGCTGGGATTACAGGTGTGTACCACCACACCCAGCTAATTTTTGTATTTTTAGTAGAGGTGAGGTTTCACCATCTTGGCCAGGCTGGTCTTGAACTCCTCACCTCGTGATCCACCCACCTGGGCCTCCCAAAGTGCTGGGATTACAGCCATGAGCCACCATGCTCGGCTTTGATTGTGTCATTTGTATAGGCATGTGGTTTATTATTTAGTTATTTTTTTTTTTTTCTTTGAGGTGGAGTATCACTCTTGGTGCCCAGGCTGGAGTGTAATGGCGTGATCTCAGCTCACTGCAACCTCTACCTCCTGGGTTCAAGCAATTCTCCTGCCCCAGCAGGAGTAGCTTGGGATTACAGGCATGCCCCACCACACCTGGCCAATTTTGTGTTTTTAGTAGAGACAGGGTTCCACCATGTTGGTCAGGCTGGTCTTGAACTCCTGACCTCAGGTGATCTGCCCACCTCAGCCTCCCAGAGTGCTGGGATTATAGGCATGAGCCACGGTGCCCAGCATATTTAGATTTTTTTTTTTTTGAGACTGAGTCTGACTCTGTCACCCAGGCTAGAGTGCAGTGGCACGATCCACGATCTTGGCTCACTGCAGCCTCCACCTTATGGGTTCAAGCGATTCTTCTGCCTCAGCCTCCCAAGTAGCTGGGACTGCAGGCACATGCCAACACGCCCGGCTTATTTTTGTATTTTTATAGAGACGGGGTTTCATCATATTGGTCAGGCTGGTCTCTAACTCCTGACCTTGTGATCCACCCGCCTTGGCCTCCCATAGTTCTGGGATTACAGGCATGAGCCACAGCGCCAGGCCTAGATGTTTCTTAAGGTATGTATCTCCCAAAGATTCTTTTTGTGGTCCTCAAGTACCATAAGCACCGCTGGAGATAACACATGTGATGGGCATTTTTAGCATAGATTGTATCTAAGCAACTTTCCACAAGTAATAGTTCTGTTAAGGGTTGTTATTGTGGCCGGGCGCGGTGGCTCACACCTGTAATCCTGGCACTTTGGGAAGCTGAGGCGGCCGGATCACCTGAGGTCAGGGATTCGAGACCAGCCTGTCCAATGTGCTGAAACCCTGTCTCTACTAAAAATGCAAAGAAAAAAAAAATCTAGCCAAGCATGGTGGCTTGCTCCTGTAATCCTAGCTACTTGGGAGGCTGAGGCAGGAGAATTGCTTGAACCTGGGAGGCAGAGGTAGCAGTGAGCCAAGATCGTGTCACCGCATTCCATCCTGGGCGACAGTGAGACTCTGTCTCAAAACAAAAAAAGAGTTGTTACCGTTGGGACTATTTTTTGAAAGCTTTATGTGAACGTAATTTTATATTTTGATGAAAATTTAGTTTATTGATGTAAAAAGTGTATCAGTACATCATATCAGTGTCTTGCACATTGTATAAACATTTAATGTAGGTGAATCTGTTATCACTATAGTTATCAATGTTATAATTTTCATTTTTGCTTTTCTTATTCCTTTTCTCATAGTAGTTTAAACTATTTCTTTCAAAATAGATAATTCAAAGAGGAGGAATTCTGATCACAGAAAGAAAAAAAGCTGACTTTTCCACAAAAGACATTTATCAGGACCTCAACCGGTTGTTGAAAGGCAAAAAGGGAGAGCAGATGAATAGTGCTGTATTGCCAGAAATGGAGAATCAGGTACATGGATTATAAATGTGAATTACAATATATATAATGTAAATATGTAATATATAATAAATAATATGTAAACTATAGTGACTTTTTAGAAGGATATTTCTGTCATATTTATCTCAAAACCTAAACTGTGTATCAATGATATTAAGCTTTTTTTTTTTTTTGAGACAGAGTTTCACTTTTGTTGCCCAGGCTGGAGTACAATGGCGCGATCTTGGCTCACCACATCCTCTGCCTCCCAGGTTCAAGTGATCCTCCTGCCTTGGCCTCCTGAGTAGCTGGGATTACAGGCATGTGCCACCACGCCTGGCTCATCTTTTTTGTATTTTTAGTAGAGATGGGGTTTCTCTATGTTGGTCAGGCTGGTCTCAAACTCCTGAACCTCAGGTGATCCGCCCGCCTCGGGCTTCCAAAGCGCTGAGATTGCAGGCATGAGCCACTGTGTCTGGCCTATTTTTATAGTTTATGTACTTGGAATTATATAATATATTCTGCCTAGCTTCTTTCATTCAATATTTGTAAGATTTATCCATATTATTGAGTGTAGTTGTGGATTTTTGCATTTATATTTCATAGCACGAGCATGTCAGAATTTATCCATTTTACTTCCCTTCTGCCCGCCACTGCTACTCTCCCCATTTTACCTTTTTTTTTGTTTTTTTGAGATGGAGTCTCAGAATTTCGCTCTGTCGCCCAGGCTGGAGTGCTGTGGCACGGTCTCAGCTCACTGCAACTTCTGCCTCTGGGTTCAGCTGCACGCCACCATGCCTGGCTAATTTTTGTATTTTCAGTAGAGGGGATTTTGCTATGTTGGCCAGGCTGGTCTTGAACTCCTGACCTCAGGTGATCCACCCACCTTGGCCTGCCAGAGTGCTGTGATTACAGGCGTGAACCACCGTGCCCGACCCCCATTCTAATTTTGATGGACATTTGGGTAATTTTCATTTTTGGCTGTTATAAATACTGCTGCAATTACAGTTAATTTTCACAGTTTTTTTTTTTTTTTTTTTTTTTTTTTTTTTTTGAGGTGAGTTTCGCTCTTGTTGCTCAGGCTGGAGTGCAGTGGTGCGATCTCAGCCCACTGCAACCTTCACCTTCTGGATTCAAGCAATTCTCCTTTCTCATCTCCTAAGTAGCTGGGGTTTACAGGCATGTGCCACCATGCCCAGCTAATTTTTGTATTTTAATTTCACAGTTCTGGAGGCTGGGAAGTTCAGAATTAAGGCACTGGCTGATCTGTTGTCTGGTGAGGGCCCACTTGTTCATAGATAACCATTTTCTCACTCTAACCTCACAAGGTTGAAAGGGCCTAATTTTTGTGTTTTTAGTAGAGACGGGGTTTCACTATGTTGGCTAGGCTGGTCTCAAACTCCTAGCCTCGAGTCATCCACCCGCCTCGTCCTCCCGGAGTGCTTGGATTACAGCATGAGCCACTGCGCCCGGCCCCCATTTTAGTTTTGATGGACATTTGGGTAATTTTCTTTTTTGGCTATTCTAAATAATGCTGCAATTACTGTTAATTTTCACCTTGTAAAAACCATTTTCAAATCTCAAGAGATTAACCTTTAGTTTTCTTGGTTTGGATTGGGAAGGAACACCAAGGAAAATGAGGGACTTCAGAATTTATTTTCATTTTGCATTTGTTTTTTAAAATCTTTAGAACTGGATCCAGTGGTATAGAAATCTTCGATTTTTAAATTCTTAATTTTAGGTTGCAGTTTCATCACTGTCTGCGGTAATCAAGTTTTTAGAACTCTTATCAGATGATTCCAACTTTGGACAGTTTGAACTGACTACTTTTGACTTCAGCCAGTATATGAAATTGGATATTGCAGCAGTCAGAGCCCTTAACCTTTTTCAGGTAAAAAAAAAAAAAAAAAAAAAAAAAAAGGGTTAAAAATGTTGAATGGTTAAAAAATGTTTTCATTGACATATACTGAAGAAGCTTATAAAGGAGCTAAAATATTTTGAAATATTATTATACTTGGATTAGATAACTAGCTTTAAATGGCTGTATTTTTCTCTCCCCTCCTCCACTCCACTTTTTAACTTTTTTTTTTTTAAGTCAGAGTCTCACTTGTTCCCTAGGCCAGAGTGCAGTGGCACAATCTCAGCCCACTCTAACCTCCACCTCCCAAGTAGTTGGGATTACAGTTGCCTGCCACCATGCCTGGTTAATTTTTATATTTTTAGTAGGGTTGCGGGGACAGGGTTTCACCATGTTGGCCAGGTTGGTCTCAAACTTCTGACCTTAGGTGATCCTCCCACCTCGGCTTCCCAAAGTGCTGGGATTACAGGCTTGAGCCATCGTGCCCAGCCTACTTTTTACTTTTTTAGAGACTGGGCTTGGTGGAGTGAAGTGGCAAGATCATAGCTCACTGCAGTATTGAACTCCTGGGCTCAAGCGATCTTCCTGCTTCAACCTCATGAGTAGCTGGGTCTACAGGCACAAGCCACCATGCTTGCCTAATTTTAAAATTTTTGCAGAGTTGGAGTTTCACAGTGTTGCCCAGGATGTTCGCTCACTCCTGACTTCAAGTGATTCTTCTGCCTTAGCCTCTAGAGTGGTAGCTGGGATTACAGGCATGAACCACCATGCTCTGCTATTTTTTTTCAAGGTTTTTTTTTTTTTTTTTTTTTTTGAGAGACTGGTATGACTATGTATGCTCCCTAGGCTGGAGTGCAGTGGCTATTCACAGGAAGTGCCATCAGAGTGTACTACAGCTTCAAACTCCTGGGCTCAAGCACTTCTATCATAGTCTCCAAAGTAGCTGGGACTACGAGTGTGTCTCATTGTGCCTTGCTCTCGAATTGCTTTTTTTTTTTTTTTCTGGTTTCAAGCTATCTATGTGGTATTAGTCCTCACTTTATGAATAATTTTGTATACTACTAATAGCAATTTTTTTTTTTTTTTTTTTTTTGAGACGGAGTCTCATTCTTGTCGCCCAGGCTGGAGTGCAGTGGTGTGATCTTAGCTCACTGCAACCTCTGCCTCTCCGGTTTGGGCAATTAGCTGGGATTAGAGGCGCCTGCCACCATGCCCAGCTAATTTTTGTATTTTTAGTAGACATGGGGTTTCATCTTGTTGGCTAGGCTGGACTCTAACTCCAGGTGATCTGCCTGCCTCGGCCTCCCAAATTGATGGGATTACAGGTGTAAACCACTGGGCCTGGCCTAGCAATTTAAAATGACATTCTAAGAAGTTTTATGTCTAAATCTGCAGTAAGTGGCTGGGTGACGTGGCTCATGCCTGTAATCCCAACGCTTTGGGAGTCCAGGGTGGGAGGATGACTTGAGGCCAGGAGTTGAGACCAGCCTGGGCAACATAGTGAGACTCTGTCTCTACAAAAGAAAAAATTAGCGGGGCTTAGTGGCGTGCGCCTGTAGTCTCAGCTACTCGAAAGGCTGAAGTGGGAGGATTCTTTGAGCCCCAAGGGTTCTGGCTTGCCGTGAGCCAGGATGGCACCACTGCACTCCAGTCTGGGCAATAGAGTCAGACCCTGTCTCAACAAATAAAATAAAACTGTAGTAATTATAAAGTGGTTTTGGCTGGGGGAGAAATGTACAGTTGAACATACGGATTAAGAGGTTGAAAGTTGGTCTTAGGAAGAGGAACTTTTTGTGGAAATTTCTTAATATTTGAAGAATATTATGTTATTGTTCCTCTGTTTTTCATGGCGTAGTAAGGTTTTCACTAATGAGCTTGCCATTCTTTCTATTTTATTTTTTGTTTACTAGGGTTCTGTTGAAGATACCACTGGCTCTCAGTCTCTGGCTGCCTTGCTGAATAAGTGTAAAACCCCTCAAGGACAAAGACTTGTTAACCAGTGGATTAAGCAGCCTCTCATGGATAAGAACAGAATAGAGGAGAGGTATGTTATTAGTTTATACTTTCGTTAGTTTTATGTAACCTGCAGTTACCCACATGATTATACCACTTATTGTAATATGCAGTTTTGGAAGTATATGTTACCATTTAACTGTACAGAGTACATAGTAATAGAGTGGTAATTATTTAGATTGATTAAAGAACTCATTTTTTTAAATAAGTTTTTTTTTTTTCACTATAAAAGTTTATTTTATTTGAGATGGTATGGTATCGAACATGTTCATATTGTGTGTAATCGTGGGTAAATTACTCAACCTTTATGTCATAGTTTCTTCACCTTTAAAATGACATTAATAAAAGAGCTACTTAATAGGATTATAAGCATGAGATGATTTAATATACATAAAATACTTACAGTCTGATATATAGGAAGCACTTAACTCTTTATCCTAGAAAAGATTTAAGGTGACCTTAACATATATGTCAGAAAATCTTTAAAATTGTGGAAATAAAAGGTTGTATAATTCTGCTATCCTAAAATTACTAGTATTTCAATATATTTTATTTTAGTCTTTTCTTTTAGATACAAGTTTTAAAACTTTTAAGTGAAGTGTAATATACGTAAGTACTGCTTGATGAATTTAAGGTGATTTCTAAAGCCAGGTTTGTTGGGGAAGAGGAGTGGGATTTAGTGATTTAGAACCAGAAATTGGGGCTGGGTGCGATGTCTCATGCCTATAATTCCAGAACTTCGGGAGGCCATAGTGGGAGAATTGTTTGTGCCCCGGAGTTCAAGACCAGCCTGGGCAACTCAGTGAGACGCCATCTCTACAAAAGAAAAAAAAAAAAAATTAGCTCAGTGTGGTGACATGTACCTGTAGCCCGAGCTACTCGGGAGGCTGAGGTGGGAATATCACCCTGGCCCAGAAGTTTGAGGCTGCAGTGGGCTATGATTGTGCCACTGAACTCCAGCCTGGGCAATGGAGTGAAACCCTGTCTCAAAAAACAAACAAAAAAAGAAACTGAGGCTGGGCACGGTGGCTCACACATATAATCCAGCACTTGGGGAGGTTGAGGCAGGATAATTGCTTGAGCCCAGGAGTTTGAGACCAGTCTGGGCAACAAAATGACACCCCATTTCTACCAAAAAAAAAATTGTTTAAAATTAGCTGGGCATGGTGGCATGTGCCTGTGGTCCCAGCTACATGGGAGGCTAAGGCTGGAGGATTGTTTAGCCCAGGAGGTTGAGGCTGCAGTGAGCCATATTCATGTCCCTGCACTCCAGCCTGGGTGACATAGTGAGACGCTGTCTCAAACAAAAATCAACAGGCCAGATGCAGTGGCTCACCCCTGTAATCCCAACACTTTGGGAGGCCGAGGTGGGTGGATTACTTGAGGTCAAGAGTTCGAGACCAGCCCGGCCAACATGGCGAAACCCCATCTCTACTAAAAATACAAAATTAGATGGGCATGGTGGTGTGTGCCTGTAATACCAGCTACTCTTGAGGCTGAGGCATGAGAATCGCTTGAGTTGGGAGGCAAAGGTTGCAGTGAGCCAAGATTGTGCCACTGCACTCTACCCTGGGTGAGAAACGAGATTTTGTATCAAACAAACAAACAAACAAAAAAAGACGCCCAAAATCAACAACAACAAAAACGATATTGGAATGATTGGATCCCCAAAGATAAATGTTTGAGGTGATGGATATCTCAGTTACCCTGAGTTAAGTATTATACATTGTATACGTGTATTAAAATATTACAAACCCCCAAATGTGTACAATTATGAGGTATCAATAAAAGAGATTGGAAGGACTGGGTAATTTGCAAGTAATTAAGGCAATTTACAATTTTTAATTTTTATTTGTGAATAAGTAGTTATACGTGTCAAAATTCAAAAAGGACAGGTGGATATACAGTGATAAGTCATCCCCCCTTCTCTGTCAGCTCCATAAAGAGCCCCTGTCTTGCATGGCTCCAGGGTCACATTTCCTATTGTATTTTGCCACCACCTGCCCTGGGAGCAACAGTGTTAGTTTCTTGAACATCCTTCCAAGCAGAGTCTGGGCCTACACAAGCAAAACAAGTATGTCTATTCTCTCTCCTCTTTAATTTTTTTAAAGGAAGTGATTGATAATTTAACACTCAAGCTATAGGTCATTGGTTATATTTTTAATTTCCAATTTATGGGAATAGAGGAAGTGTCAGTGATCCCCTTCTGGTTTAAGAACTGGAGGATGCATGTGTTTAGACCCTTTAGAAACCTGAAATGTCACCTAATATAATTATCAGAGTAACACTTTTTAGTAAGCAAGCTATCTATCAAAAGTAGGTTTTTGAAGAAGAGGGTAAGGAAAGGTTACTTTCATGGGACATAGCAATAATTTCTAAAATCTAATGGTTTTACAAGACTTGTTCATTAGAAGTAACATCTGTGAGGATGGCTTTATGAGTCAAAATATTATCTGCTTAATACCCCACCTGTAGGGTAAGAAGAAATGTTTTTTTCTTGGTGACAATTTTTAGCAGCAAGCGGGGAGGGCCTGTGGCTTCCAAGGCCAAACGTTGAAATACCACAGACTAGGAAGAAAAAGATCCACTCCTTATACAGGATTTGTTTGTTTCTTCTTTTTTCTTCATTTTTGTAGAGATGAGGTCTCACTATGTTGCCCAGGCTGGTCTCTCTTTTTTTTTTGAGCCCGAGTTTCACTCTTGACGCCCAGGCTGGAGTGCAGTGGTGTGATTTTGGCTCACCGCAACCTCTGCCTCCCGGGTTCAAGCGATTCTCCTGCCTCAGCCTTCCTGAGTAGCTGGGATTACAGGCATGCGCCACCACGTCCGGCTAATTTTGTATTTTTAGTAGAGATGGGTTTCTCCATGTGGGTCAGGCTGCTCTCGAACTCCCGGCCTCGGATGATCCACTTGCCTCGGCCTCCCACAGTGCTGGGATTACAGGCGTGAGCCACTGAGCCCAGCCATGCTGGTCTCAAGCAATCCACACCCACCTCAGCTTCCAAAAGTGCTGGCATTACAGGTGTGAGCCCCCGTGCCCAGCCTGTTTCTTATAATTATTCCTCTTTCTCAACTCTGTCTGCTGTGGTACCTCATGCTTCCTAGTTTAAGCCTTCTTGGGAGTTCTCAGGAGAAATCTGTTATCTCCCTTACTAAGCATTTGGGATTGATGTTCCTTCCAGGTTACTATAAAACCAAGTTTTTTTTGGTTCTTTTTTTTTTTTCTTTTAAAAGAAATGAGATTTTGTCATGGTTAGCCTGGTTTCAAACTCCCAAGCTCAAGTAATCCACCTTCCTTTGCCTCCCAAAGTGCTAGGATTACAGGCATGAACCACTACACCCGATCTGTACTGTTCCTCTTTCCATTCACTAAAACCTACTTGCAACTATGAGCATATGTTATTGCCATCTAGAAATGAGTTTCTAGGGACTTGTTCCTTTTTGTACTTTATTTAAACAGTCGAATTAGAAATTATTATTATCATTATTTATTTTTTGAGATGGAGTCTTGCTCTGTTGCCCAGGTTGGAGTGCAGTGGCGTGATCTCGGCTCACTGCAACCTCCACCTCCTGGGTTTAAGCGATTCTCCTGTCTCAGCCTCCCGAGTAGCTGGGACTACAGGCATGTACCACCACACCTGGCTAATTTTTATATTCTTAATAGAAACAGGGTTTCACTATTTTGGCCAGGCTGGTCTCGAACTCCTGACCTCAGATGATCCACTCACCTTGGCCTCCCAAAGTACTGGAATTATAGGCGTAAGCCACCGTGCCCGGCCAAAATTATTTATAATAAGCAAGGCATGGTGGCTTGTGCCTGAAGTCCCAGCTACTTGGGAAGCTGAGGCAGGAGGATCACAGGTTCAGGTCCACCCTGGGAAAATAGTGAGAACCTTCCCTATCCCCAGTCTTCAAAAAAGAAAAAAATTTGCTGGAGAAGGTCACACAATGCTGATAGGTCCCATTGTGCTTTCATGCTTTCTAGTTTTCAATGATAACTGGTTGTTACTTTTATTGTCTGACTCATTATAGTGACCAACTCCCGATTTTTTACTTTGCCTTAAGCCTTCAGCTATCTCCTACCTCTAAGCGGATGATTTCTTCCTTAACACTTAAAACCTCAAAATTTATCTGTACTTCCACTCTTTTACTCTCTGGCTCTTTCTCAGAAGAAGAAATAACACTTTTATTTCTTTTCAAAGCCAACCTTTCCATACTTTACTTGGAGACATATTTCTTTTTTTTTGTTTTGTTTTTGTGAGTGGAGTCTCACTCTGTCGCCTGGTCTGGAGTGCAATGGCGCAATCTCCACTCAGTGCAACCTCTGCCTCCCAGGTTCAAGCGATTCTCCTGCCTCAGCCTGCTGAGTACCTGGGCTTACAGGTTAGCACACCACACCCGGCCAAGTTTTGGGTTTTTAGTAGAGACAGGGTTTTGCCGTGTTGGCCAGGCTGGTCTCTAACTCCTGACCTCCCGATCCGCCCGCCTCAGGTGCAAGCCACCGCGCCCAGCCCTAGTGTAGCAATCTTAATCAGAAATATGTCTCTGGCTGGGCGAGGTGGCTCATGCCTATAATCCCAGCACTTTGGGAGGCCAAGGCAGGCAGATCACCTGAGGTCAGGAGTTCAAGACCAGCCTGACCAACATGGAGAAACCCTGTCTCTATTAAAAATACAAAATTAGCTGGGTGTGGTGGCATATGCCTGTAATCCCAGCTACTCAGGAGGCTGAGGCAGGAGAATCGCTTGAACCTGGGAGGCGGAGGTTGCGGTGAGCCAAGATCTCACCATTGCACTCCAGCCTAGGCAACGAGCAAAACTCCATCTCAAAAAAAAAAAAAAAAAAAAAAAGATTGCTATGTTAATCTTATTTATTTATTTATTTATTTTGAGACAGAGTCTCACACTATTGCCAGGGCTGGAGTGCAATGGCATAATCTTAGCTCACTGCAACCTCCGCCTCCCGGGTTCAGGTGATTCTCCTGCCTCAGCCTCCTGAGTAGCTGGGATTACAGGCGCCCGCCACCACGCCTGGCTTATTTTTTGTGTTTTTTAGTAGAGACGGGGTTTCACTACGTTGGCCAGGCTGGTCTTGAACTCCTGACCTTGTGATTTGCCCACCTCAGCCTCCCAAAGTGCTGGGATTACAGGCGTGAGCCACCGTGCCTGGCTTATGTTAATCTTATTTTATATAAAAAGAAATAATATTAAACTAGAAGGCAATAAAAATGCCAAATTCAATACACAAATTATTTTGTCAGCATTTCCACAAGAATAAACTATTTTATATGCTAACATATGTTCAATGTTCCTTACAGAATTCTGACATTAAAAATGAAAAATTACCAAAGCTTCAGATGAATCTATAAATGGACAAAAGAAAAAGCTTAAAAGGATAAAGAGCAACACTCCAAGTGCATGTATAAACATAAGGACTCTTGGGACTTAACCTTTTTAAAAATCTTTAGGCCTAGCACAGTATTTGCTATTTAATGTATCAAATGGGTGGTTTTGACTTCATTAATCCATATATAGGACAGATGAAAAAAAGAATTATAGACTTGTAATTACAGTTCTTTAGGAACCATATTTGCTCTCAGCCTTTTAAATACGCTGTCAGGCAATTCCAGTCAGCACTTTTGAAAAAAACCTACCTACCTACCTACCTACCTATCTATCTATCTATCTATCTAGAGACTGAGTTATAAGACTAGCTAGTTTTTGTATTTTTTGCAGAGACAGGATTTCATCATGTTTTCTAGGCTGTTCTTGAACTCCCAGGCTCAAGCCATCCACCCGCCTCAGCCTCCCAAAGCGCTGGGATTACAGGCGTGAGTCACCATGCCCAACCAATTCCAGTCAGCTCTTAAAATGAAAGCCTAGAAATGGTAGGGTTAAAGAGGGGACAGAATGTTGATTTTAAAATACCTAGAATTTGGCCAGGTGCAGTGGCTGTAACCCAGCACTTTGGGAGGCCAAGGTGGCCGGATTGCCTTGGCCTGCCTCAGCCTCCCAAAGTGCTGGGATTACAGGTGTGAGCTCAGGAGTTCGAGACCAGCCTGGGCAACACGGTGAAACCCCTTCTCTAGTAAAATACAAAAAATTAGCTGCATGTGGCGGCGTGCACCTGTGGTCCCAGTTACTTGGGAGGCTGAGGCAGGAGAATTGCTTGAACCTGGGAGGCAGAGGTTGCAGTGAGCTGAGATTGCGCCACTGCACTCCAGCCTGGGCAACAGAGTGAGACTCTGTCTCCAAAAAAAAAAAACCCCAAGAATTTGATTAATTCTGTTGGAATTTTAAGAGTTAACTGATCCCCAAAATGACTCAGCTGTATGCAATTTAATGCAATATTAATTCGCATGTTGACTCTCAGAATTGCATACAGCTGAGTCATTTTATTGAGTAGGATTGATAAGTATACTATGTTATGCCAACAGTAACTGTGATGCTTCTAAAATTGTGATTTTTAAATTGGCATTGTCACAGAAACAGCAGAGTAGTTGTTTTTTTCTTTAAGCTTCTTTTAGCCAGAAACATAAACTGAAACTGTAATTATTACTGCAATCGTATGTTGAATAGACTTGTGAAACTAGCAATTTATTAGGCTTTTAATGATATCTGGACCAAAGGCTGAGGGAGCTGTGCTGTGTGTATGTTGCTTTGTGCTTTGTTTTTTAGAAGCTTGTCGTTTCTTTGCCATTTTACTTCTTTCTTTTTTTTTGAGACGGAGTCTTGCTCTGTCCCCCAGGCTGGAGTGCAGTGGCGCAGTTTCCGCTCACTGCAAGCTCCGCCTCCTGGGTTCACTCCATTCTCCTGCTTCAGCCTCCCAAGTAGCTGGGACTACAGGCGCCCACCACCACGCCCGGCTAATTTTCTGTATTTTTTAGTAGAGATGGGGTTTCACCATGTTACCCAGGATGGTCTTGATCTTCTGACCTTGTGATCCGCCCGCCTCGGCCTCCCAAAGTGCTGGGATTACAGGCTTGAGCCACCACGCCTGGCCCATTACCCATTACTTGTTTCTTAATGTTACATTCTCTTTCCCTCTTTTTTTTTTTTTGTTTTTTGAGATGGAGTTTCGCTCTTGTTGCCCAGGCTGGAGTGCAACGGTGCCATTTTGGCCCACTGCAACCTCTGCCTCCCAGGTTCAAATGATTCTCCAGCCTCAGCCTCCCAAGTAGCTAGGATTACAGGCACCTGCCACCACGCCCAGCTAATTTTTGTATTTTTAGTAGAGATGGGGCTTTGCCATGTTGGCCAGGCTGGTCTTGAACTGCTGACCTCAGGTGATCTGTCTGCCTCAGCCTCCCAAAGTGCTGGGATTACAGGTGTGAGCCACTGCACCCAGTCCTTAATGCTACTTTATAGGTGAAAATTGTGAAATAACTTAAATTTCATTTTAATTAAAGTTAATTTTTGGGAAATTAACGAAAGGTTGACATTTTATTCTTTTGAATATTGCAGTTGTTATTTGGGTTTAAATTGGGGGGCTTAGGAAGGAAAGAAGCCTGATGGTTGTTTCTGAATTTTCTGAAAATTATGTTTGATATGCTGTATATGAAATCCAGCTTGGAGAGAATATGTCCATTGTTAAGGAAAAATTAATGAAGATTTGATCTAGATAAGGCATTCCAATCATTTGGAAGTGGTTTGAGTATCTTTTTTTCTTTTTTTAATTTGAGACAGAGTCTTGCTCTGTGGAGTGTAGTGGTGCAATCTTGGCTCACTGCATCCTCCACCTCCCGGGTTCAATCAAGCAATTCTCCTGCTTCAGCCTCCCGAGTAGCTGGGATTACAGGTATGGGCTACCATCCCCAGCTAATTTTTTTTTTTGGATGGAATCTTGCTCCCGTCGGGCAGGCTGGAGTGCAGTGGTGTGATCTCAGCTCACTGCAACCTCCACCTCCCAGTTTCAAGCGATTAAGTGATTCTCCTTCCTCAGCCTCCCGAGTAGCTGGGATTACAGGCGTGTGCCACCACGTCGCCACCACGTCTGGCTAATTTTTGTATTTTTAGTAGAGACAGGGTTTCGCCATGTTGGCCAGGCTGGTCATGAACTCCTGACCTCAGGTGATCCACCTGCTTGGCCTCCCAAAGTGCTAGGATTACAGGTGTGAGCCACTGTGCCTGGCTTAAGTTTTGTATTTTTAGTAGAGACGGTGTTCCATCATGTTGGTCAGGCTGGTGTCAAACTCCTGACCATGCGATCCGCCTGCCTCGGCCTCCCAAAGTGCTGAGATTACAGGCGAGAGCCACCGTGCCCGGCCTGTTTGAGTATCTTTTAAAACCAGTAAGGACAAACTAGAGGTGTCAGCTCTCTTCATGGGCTTTGGAGAAACAAGACAAAAAGGAAAGAGATGTTTCGCCGGGCGCGGTGGCTCACTCCTGTAATCCCAGCACTTTGGGAGGCTGAGGACAGCGGATCACCCGAGGTCAGGAGTCAAGACCAGAGCCATTGCACTCCAGCCTGGGCAACAAGAGCACAACTTTATCTCAAAAAAAAAAAAACCAAAAAAGAAACAGGAAAGAGATGTTTTGATTTTTTAAGTCTAGAGTGTTCTGTTCTTACTCTACAGCACTTAGCAGTAGTCCATCTATCCTCCTTGTTTGTTCTTTACAACAAAACCCCATTGGTTCTCTCTTACCAAGTTTGCTTTATTCTTGGTTTATCCTTTGTAAGATGTGAAAGGGATATGAAGAGCAAATAGGAAGTGTTACTCTTGCTGCTTGAGAGAAAGCTGTTTTACAATTTGTTGGCAAACAATTTGTAAAAGTACAACAAAAGTGTGCATTTTTGGCTTCTTATTTATGTTTTATCATTGCTATATCTCATAATTTGTGATTTTTAAAATAACTTTTTATTTGAAAAGCACTACAGGGTCACGTCATGTTTTTAAAAAATAAATTAAGAAGGTAAACACCCGTACTTCTACTTTACCTCTAGTCCTAGTCTATGGTGGTAATCAGTGTTAACAGTTTAGTTTGTGTTCTTACCCTTCCAGGGGTTTTTTTTCTCTATGTATACAGATATATGCATTTTTAAAAACATAGTTAACACTTAAAAACAATATGGGATCGTATTAGGAATACAATCTGTATTCCTTCCCAACAGTATATACAGTTTTTTTCCATTTCACTATGTATCTATTTATAAATTTTTTATTTCTAATAATTTCTCTTGAATAGGTGAGACATCATATAGTATAAAATTCAGTAGAAAATCAGTTTTTCAGAGGTACAAAATTGGCTGACTTTGCACAGACTCCTTTCATTTCACAGGTAGGGATGCACAGCCACCTCTTCCACCGACGAGAGGAAAGGATATGTGTGCCTGTGGGCTCTTCAACTCTGTTGATTAGTTATGATTTATTTTCTGGTCAGTTTGAGAGGAAACAGTGATAAAATACTGGGAACAGGGAAGAAGCATAAGATTATTATTGTTTTTTTTTTTTTTTTTGAGACAGAGTCTTGCTCAGTTGCCCAGGCTGGAGTGCAGTGGTGCGATCTTTGCTCACTGCAAGCTCCGCCTCCCGGGTCCATGCCATTCTCCTGCCTCAGCCTCCCGAGTAGCTGGGACTACAGGCGCCCGCCACCACGCCCTGCTAATTTTTTTTTTGTATTTTTAGTAGAGACAGGGTTTCACCATGTTAGCCAGGATGGTCTCGATTTCCTGACCTCGTGATCCACCCGCCTCGGCCTCCCAAAGTGCTGGGATTATAGGCGTGAACCACCGCGCCCAGCTTTAATTTTTTTTTTTTTTTTTTTTTTGAGACAGAGTCTTGCTCTGTCGCCCAGGCTGAAGTGCAGTGGCGCGATCTCGGCTTGCTGCAAGCTCCGCCTCCCAGGTTCACGCCATTCTCCTGCCTCAGCCTCCTGAGTAGCTGGGATTACAGGCACCCGTCACCATGCCCAGCTAATTACGGGACCTCGCTCTGTCGCCCGGGCTGGAGTGCAGTGGCACAGTCTCGCTCACTGCAATCTGGCAAGTGATTCTCTTGCCTCAGCCTCCAGAGTAGCTGGGACTACAGGTGTGCGCCGCTACGCCCAGCTAATTTTTGTATTTTTAGTAGAGATAGGGTTTCGCCATGTTGGTTGGCCAGGATGGTCTCGATCTCTTGACCTCGTGATCCGCCCTTCTCGGCCTCCCAAAGTGCTGGGATTACCGGTGTGAGCCATCGCACCTGGCCTTCCTACTTTATTAAGATACCTAAGGGATTTCTGTGATTGTTAGGATTCAAATTTCTGTGAGCATAAGAATCAAGCTGTGTGCATAATAATTGCATGGGATTTCACAGCTGGGCCCCATTCCCAGGGATTTTGTATTATCTACCTCCAAGTGATTTTGATGCTGGTGATCCTTGGACCAGACTTGGTGAAGCTCAATGCTTAGCTAGGAAAGCCCCAAAAATTTGCTTTATTGGATTGTGTAATTTGACTACATCCATTGTTTCTTTTTTCAAATGTAGAGTTATATGCCACAAAAATATTTTCCGTAGCAGTAGGCATCCTAATTAATCTCGATGTTTGTTTATAGCCCCATTGATGGGGCTATAAACTTGGCAGCAAATTGTTTTCCCACTAATTTGGCATTTTCCATAAATGTTTGTTTATAGCCCCATTGATGGGGCTATAAACTTGGCAGCAAATTGTTTTCCCACTAATTTGGCATTTTCCATAAAAAACACGTATCTGTTGTTAGCTGCCTAGACGTTAGCTGGACATGGTTTAGGTTACTTTTCTCTTAAAAAGTAAATTTTAATTCAAGTTCCTTTAAGCCAGCAGTCTCAACCTGGGGCAGTTTTTCCCTCCAGGGGACATTCAGCAGTGTCTAGAGACATTTTTGGTTGTCATGCTGAGGAAGAGAGTGTATAGTGGGTAGAATCCAGGGATGCTGTTAAGCATGGAACAGCCCCTTACAACAAAAAATTATGTAGCCTAAAATGGCAGTGTTGCCAAGATTGAGAAATTATGCTTTAAATGTGTTTTTATATATGGCCATTTTGTGTTTACTCTGGAGATAACATGCTTTTCCTCATATAACATGCTTGATAAACATTTTGGTAACACAGGAATTGTAAATGCTGGTGATGTCAGTAAATAGTTAAGAAATTTAGGGCTGTGCGCGGTGGCTCACGCCTGTAATCCCAGCACTTTGGGAGGCCGAGGCGGGTGGATCCCGAGGTCAGGAGATCGAGACCATCCTGGCTAACATGGTGAAACCCCGTCTCTACTAAAAATACAAAAAAATGAGCCGGGTGTGGTGGCAGGCACCTGTAGTCCCAGCTACTCAATTTAGAAAGCAGATTTGTTTCCTTTCTATACCTGTGTAATTTGAGGTTTAGTTTACTGTCACATCGTTTATAAACATAAGGAAGATCGTTGCTCATCTGATAGCATTCCGAACCTTGAGTCATCTGTAATGCCTATGGCCTCCAGAAAAGCTTCTCTAATACTGTACTTAGAGATGTGTAAAATATGTAGGAACATTTTCCCACCTTCGATTGTTAGTTTACCTTTCAGCTTCAGTAATTTACCTTTCAGCTATTACTTTAGTAACATCTTCAACATTGTTTTTCAAACTGCAAGGTGTGACCCAGTAGTGGGTCGTTAAATTAGTAGGTGACAGAGCATTTTTGAAGAATTAAATACAATAGAACATAGCAGAGTGGGCTCACGCCTGTAATCCCAGCACTTTGGGAGGCGAGGCTGGCAGGTCACAAGGTCGGCAGGTCACAAGGTCAGAAGATCGAGACCTTCCTGGCTCTAACATGGTGAAACCCCGTCTCTACTAATAGTACAAAAAATTAGCGGGGTGTGGTGGCATGCGTCTCTAGTCCCAGCTACTCAGGAGGCTGAGGCACGAGAATCACTTGAATCCGGGAGCTGGAGGTTGCAGTGAGCCGAGATTGCACCACTGCACTCCAGCCTCAGCAACAGAGCAAGACTATTTCAAAAAAAAAAAAAAAAAAAAAGAAAGAAAGAAAAAAAGAAAATAGAGTGTATCACATAATTAGAGTAGCAAGTATTGATTTGTGAAACCTATTTTAATCATAGATCTATGTATGTATGTGCTGGATTGTGATGTAAAGACATTTCTTGCTGTGGTTACACTGAAAAAAATGAAAAGTCACTGATTTCCAATAACTTACAGAAGCAGTATGAACTACATATTCTGTCGTTCTTGAAACAAGCTGAGATTTTATTGACTTTGGGAAGCAGTAGAATTATTTTAGTTTTTTAATTAACAGTTTTTGGCTTTGTACTGTCAAGAGGTAATTTTAGAAAGCATTCTAAAAATGTAAGTACTGGATTTGGCAACATTCTTGAACTGTAATTCTGTTTCGTTAAACATCACTATTTACATGTGCAACAGCGTGTCTGTAACAATGTCCCAGTAATGAAATTCTTTCTTCTATTTAAGGCATGTCTGTTTGATAAAAGTCAAACAAAATTGGGTATATGTCAGTGTCTTATGATACTGCTTAATTAAACATTAATTTGACTCTTAGCTAATCAGGAAATGTTTGCCTCACAGTCTTACAGAGCTTTCCACCTTCTAAAAAAGCTAACGTTTCAGAATAGATTCAGGATTCAACCTTCTTTCTGTCTTTTTTTTTTTTTGTTTGAGACAGAGTCTTGCTCTGTTGCCCAGGCTGGAGTACAGTGGCGCTATCTCGGCTCACTGCAACCTCCGCCTCCTGGGTTCAAGCAATTCTCCTGCCTCAGCCTCCCGAGTAGCCGGGGTTACAGGCGTGCGCCACCATGCCCAGCTAATTTTTTTGTATTTTTAGTAGAGACAGGGTTTCACCATGCTGGGTGGCCAGGCGGGTCTCAAACTTCTGACCTTGAGATCTGCCCACCGTGGCTTCCCAAAATGCTGGGATTATAGGCGTGAGCCACCGCACCTAGCCTAGATTCAGGCTGCTTCTTTTTTTTTTTTTTTTTGAGACAGAGTCTTGCTCTTGTTGCCCAGGCTGGAGTGCCATGGCATGATCTCAGTGCACCACAATCTCTGCTTCCCAGGTTTAAGCGATTCTCCTGCCTCAGCCTCCCAAGTAGATGGGATCACAGGCATGAGCCACCATGCCTGGCTAATTTTGTATTTTTTGTACAGACGGGGTTTCTCCATGTTGGTCAGGCCAGTCTCGAACTCCCTACCTCAGGTGATCTGCCTGCCTCGGCCTCTCAAAGTGCTGGGATTACAGGTGTGAGCCACTGCGCCCAGCAGATTCAAGCTTTTTAAATGGAATTTTGAGCTGATTTAGTTGAGACTTACGTGCTTAGTTGATAAATTTTAATTTTATACTAAAATATTTTACATTAATTCAAGTTAATTTATTTCAGATTGAATTTAGTGGAAGCTTTTGTAGAAGATGCAGAATTGAGGCAGACTTTACAAGAAGATTTACTTCGTCGATTCCCAGATCTTAACCGACTTGCCAAGAAGTTTCAAAGACAAGCAGCAAACTTACAAGATTGTTACCGACTCTATCAGGGTATAAATCAACTACCTAATGTTATACAGGCTCTGGAAAAACATGAAGGTAACAAGTGATTTTGTTTTTTTGTTTTCCTTCAACTCATACAATATATACTTGGCAATGTGCTGTCCTCATAAAGTTGGTGGTGGTGACTCACTCTTAGGACACATTCAGATTTCTTTTTTTTTTTTTTTTGAGAAGGAGTCTTGCTCCGTTGCCAAGGCTAGAGTGCAGTGGCACAATCTCAGCTCACTGCAACCTCTGCCTCCTGGGTTCAAGCGATTCTCCTGCCTCAGCTTCCTGAGTGGCTGGGATTACAGGCATGTGCCACCATGCCCGGCTAATTTTTGTACTTTTAGTTTTACCATGTTGGCCAGGTTCGTCTGGAACTCCCAATCTCAGGTGACCCACCTGCCTCGGCCTCCCAAAGTGCTGGGAGTACAGGCGTGAGCCACAGAGCCTGGCCATGTTCAGACTTCTAATAACAGGTTTGTATTGACTCTTAGCCTCATGGCAGAAGCCAAGAGACATGAGACAGCTTAGAAATTTTTGCTTTTTGGAAATGAATGTTAGAGTTACTGGTTTGTGATTAAGGCCTATTGCACTGACAGAGGCAGTGAAAAAGGGTTTGATTGCCAAGGAAGATTCACAGGGCCTAGAATGGCAGTGGTTATGCATCTACAGTTTATTACAGGAGAAGGATACAATCCAGTAGCAGGATTATGGTAAGGATATGCATCACAGTCAAAGGCTGTCATAGCAAGTCATCCAGAGAGTTCGGGTGCAAGTTCCAGTTTTCCTTTGTTGTGTAAAGTCTGTGGTGGGGTGCATTTTCTCTCTCAGAGCAGGATGTGTGCACAGGACACCTTGGAACCTAGGAGCCCAAAATAGAGTCTTCACTGGACTTTTTAATATTTTTCTTGTCAAGCGGACATGTTCCTGTTCTCTAACTAGCCTCTTCAGTGGAGGTCAGAGGAAGAGCCTCATTGAGACCAAGTGCAACTCATCAATCACATGAAACAATGCTGATAAATAAACCACCTAAATATCCCCTGACCCACAAATACAAAACAACACCATTCAATCAGTATTTTTCATGCCTTGATCAGGGGTCATTGCCATGCAGGAACTTTAACAAAACAGTACAGGCTAATAATAGAATTGTTGGAATTAACTCACACAGCACACCTATGAGAGAGAGTTAAGATAGAGGGTCTTGGTGGTCTCTAACAGTTGAATTCAAAGTGAAGTTACCAGAGTAAAGTGAGCAAAGACACATATTAGTACAATATTGGTAGATAAAATCACGTTGCTCTAATAAGCATAGTTTTAAACTTTAACCATGTTTCTCCAGTAATTTTAGTAATTATATTGTTGTTATGTCTAATACATAAAGCATTTTTTACTTTTTTAAAAAATTTTTAGGCAATGTGGGGTCCAAAGTAATTAAAAAAAAATTTTTTTAACATAAAGCATCTTAAAATTTTACTTAATCATGATCACTTAGAACCATTAAAACATACGTTTTGATATTATGGGGAAGCTTCGTTGTTCCTTTGTAGACAGACTTAAAGAAATACAACTTTATGATGACAAGATATAAGATAATTATAGATTTAAATTTTATAGAAACCTTTTCCCTTATCTAGTGCAAGAGGTAGCTAAGTGCTTATTTTCTCAAAGTACTGTGTTATAAAAAGTATTCCTAGTGTAGTCAAAGCTTCTCTTTAGACTGATAAAACTTAGAGCACCTGCATTTACTTCCAACAAAGCAGAATTAAAGAAAATGAGACTTGGCCGGGTACGTTTGTAATCCCAGCACTTTGGGAGGCCGAGGCAGGTGGATCATGAGGTTAGGAGATCAAGACCATTCTGGCTAACATGGTGAAACCCTGTCTCTACCAAAAATACAAAAAATTAGCTGACATGGTGGTGCGCACCTGTAGTCCCAGCTTCTCAGGTGGCTGAGGCAGGAGAATCGCTTGAACCCAGGAGGTGGAGGTTGCAGTGAGCTGAGATCACACCACTGCGCTCCAGCTTGGGCAACAAAAAAAAAAAAAAAAAAAAGAAAAAGAAAATGAGTCTTTACTGGCTGGGCACAGTGGCTCACACCTGTAATCCCAGCACTTTGGGAGACCGAGACGGGCAGATCACCTGAGGTCGGGCATTCGAGACCAGCCTGACCAATATGGAGAAACCCCATTTGTACTAAAAATACAAAATTAGCGGGGCGTGGTGGCGCATGCCTGTAATCCCAGCTATTCGGGAGGCTGAGGCAGGAGAATTGCCTGAACCCGGGAGGCGGAGGTTGCGGTGAGCAGAGATCGTGCCGTTGCACTCCATTCTGGGCAACAAGAGCGAAACTCTCCATCTCAAAAAAAAGAAAATGAGTCTATACTTTGCTGTTTTCATACTCTCTTAGTGTGGTGTAGGCAGCCATGTATCCCCCTTGTGCCTCTATTTCTCCATTCTGTGAATGAGTGTCTTCCACTGCTGTGCTTTTCTGATTCCGTAACCTTTGTTTGTTTGTTTGTTTGTTTGTTTGTTTGTTTTTTATTGATCATTCTTGGGTGTTTCTCGCAGAGGGGGATTTGGCAGGGTCACAGGACAATAGTGGAGGGAAGGTCAGCAGATAAACAAGTGAACAAAGGTCTCTGGTTTTCCTAGGCAGAGGACCCTGCGGCCTTCCGCAGTGTTTGTGTCCCTGGGTACTTGAGATTAGGGAGTGGTGATGACTCTTAATGAGCGTGCTGCCTTCAAGCATCTGTTTAACAAAGCACATCTTGCACCACCCTTAATCCGTTCAACCCTGAGTGGACACAGCACATGTTTCAGAGAGCACAGGGTTGGGGGTAAGGTCACAGATCAACAGGATCCCAAGGCAGAATAATTTTTCGTAGTACAGAACAAAATGAAAAGTCTCCCACGTCTACCTCTTTCTACACAGACACGGCAACCATCCGATTTCTCAATCTTTTCCCCACCTTTCCCCCCTTTCTATTCCACAAAACCGCCATTGTCATCATGGCCCGTTCTCAATGAGCTGTTGAGTACACCTCCCAGACGGGGTGGTGGCCGGGCAGAGGGGCTCCTCACTACCCAGTAGGGGCGGCCGGGCAGAGGCGCCCCTCACCTCCCGGACGGGGCGGCTGGCCGGGCGGGGGGCTGACCCCCCCCCCCCGCCTCCCTCCCGGACGGGGCGGCTGGCCAGGCGGGGGGCTGACCTCCCCGCCTCCCTCCCGGATGGGGTGGCTGGCCGGGTTGGGGGCTGACCCCCCGCACCTCCCTCCCGGATGGGGCGGCTGGCTGGGCAGAGGGGCTCCTCTCTTCCCAGTAGGGGCAGCCGGGCAGAGGCGCCCCTCACCTCCCGGATGGGGCGGCTGGCCGGGCGGGGGGCTGACCCCCCCACCTGCCTCCAGGACGGGGCGGCTGGCCGGGCAGAGCGGCTCCTCACTTCCCAGTAGGGGCGGCCAGGCAGAGGCGCCCCTCACCTCCCGGACGGGGCGGCTGGCCGGGCAGAGGGGCTCCTCTCTTCCCAGTAGGGGCGGCCGGGCAGAGGCGCCCCTCACCTCCCGGATGGGGCGGCTGGCCGGGCGGGGGGCTGACCCCCCCACATCCTTCCCGGACGGGGCGGCTGGCCGGGCAGAGGGTCTCCTCACTTCCCAGTAGGGGCGGCCGGGCAGAGGCGCCCCTCACCTCCCGGACGGGGCAGCTGGCCGGGCGGGGTGCTGACCCCCCCACCTCTCTCCTGGCTGGGCGGCTGGCTGGGCGGGGGGATGACCCCCCCATCTCCCTCCTGGATGGGGCGGCTGGCCGGGCGGGGGGCTAACCCCCCCACCTCCCTTCCGGACGGGGTGGCTGCCGGGCGCAGACGCTCCTCACTTCCCAGACGGAGTGGCTGCCGGGCGGAGGGGCTCCTCACTTCTCAGACGGTGTGGCTGCCGGGCGGAGGGGCTCCTCACTTCTCAGACGGGGCGGTTGCCAGGCAGAGGGTCTCCTCACTTCTCAGACGGGGCGGCCGGGCAGAGACGCTCCTCACATCCCAGACGGGGCGGCAGGGCAGAGGCGCTCCCCACATCTCAGACGATGGGCGGCCTGGTAGAGACGCTCCTCACTTCCTAGATGGGATGGCGGCCGGGCAGAGACGCTCCTCACTTTCCAGACTGGGCAGCCAGGCAGAGAGGCTCCTCACATCCCGGACGATGGGCGGCCAGGCAGAGATGCTCCTCACTTCCCAGACGGGGTGGCGGCCGGGCAGAGGCTGCAATCTCGGCACTTTGCGGGGCCAAGGCAGGCAGCTGGGAGGTGGAGGTTGTAGCGAACTGAGATCACGCCACTGCACCCCAGCCTGGGCACCATTGAGCACTGAGTGAACGCGACTCCGTCTGACATCCCGGCACCTCGGGAGGCCGAGGCTGGCGGATCACTCGCGGTTAGGAGCTGGAGACCAGCCCGGCCAACACAGCGAAACCCCGTCTCCACCAAAAAAATACCAAAACCAGTCAGGCGTGGCGGCGCGCACCTGCAATCGCAGGCACTCGGCAGGCTGAGGCAGGAGAATCAGGCAGGGAGGTTGTAGTGAGCCGAGATGGCAGCAGTACAGTCCAGCTTTGGCTCGGCATCAGGGGGAGACCATGGAAAGAGAGGGAGAGGGAGACCGTGGGGAGAGGGAGAGGAGGGAGAGGGAGAGGGAACCTTTTGTTTTATTCCAGTAGGACCAGCTAGAAACAGAAGGTGATTGACCAGTATTAGGGATGGAATCAGGGTACAATTATGGAGACAGGCTATCTAAACAATTCACTCTCACCATTTAAATCAGCTGTTTGATCATTTTTTTTCCATATATCTTTACCATCGCATAGTAAATAATATCCTTTTTATTTTCAAGAGGGAGTATTGGCCTTAAGTTAGGAACTCTCTTAATTTTTTTCCCCCATCATCCCACCCGCACTTCTTACTCCTTACTTCCTACTTGCTTTTATTCTTTACTGGCTCTTTACCACTGCGTATTTTTAGGTGCATACATCTATTTTTTAAAAAAGCACCCTTGTTCCTGGGTCCTCTTCCAGTACCATCTATTAATATATCTCTCTCCCTCTTTCCACTCCCAGCTGGGTTTCTGAAAGCGTGCACTTCCCATCTTCCATTCATTCATCTGGTTTCCAGCCCTGACCACAGTACTGAAATGGCATTTGCTAGGTGACCTTTATTTTTTTTTAAATCCAGTGAATGCGGTATAGTCCCCCCGCTTTTTTCTTTCTTTTTTTTTTTTTGTTTTTTGTTTTTTGTTTTTTTGAGACAGAGTTTTGCCCTTGTTGCCCAGGCTGGAGTACAATGGCGTGATATCGGCTCACGGCAACCTATGCCTCCCCAGGTTCAAGCGATTCTCCTGCTTCAGCCTCCCAAGTAGCTGGATTACAGGCACCTGCCACCACAGCTGGCTAATTTTGTATTTTTAGTAGAGATGGGTTTTCTCGATGTTGGTCAGGCTGGTTTCGAACTCCCGACCTGAGGTGATCCACACACCTCTGCCTCCCAAAGTGCTGGGATTACAGGTGTGAGCCACTGCGCCCAGCCTTGGTATAGTCTTTAACGAAAGTTCACTGATCTTGAAAATTTTGATCTTGAAACTCTTTTTTTTTTTTTTTTTTTTTTTTTTGAGATGGAGTCTTGCTCTGTCACCCAGGCTGGAGTGCAGTGGCACAATCTCAGCTCACTGCAACCTCCACCTCCCAGGTTCAAGCGATTCTCCTGCCTCAGTCTCCCGAGTAGCTAGGATTACAGGTGCCCACCACCATGCCTGGCTAATTTTTTGTATTTTTTTAGTAGAGATGGGGTTTCACTACATTGGCCAGGATGGTCTTGAACTCCTGACCTCATGATCCACCCACCTCGGACCTCCCAAAGTGCTAGGATTACAGGCGTGAGCCACCATGCCCAGCCTTGAAACTCTCCTAAGGTTATGTTAAACATTTTTGTATTCTTGGTTTTCTTTTTGTTCCATGGGTTATTTCTCTTTATCCTTCTTTTTAGCTTTCTTAAGTGTTCCTTTACCTTATCAAATTCTATTTTTGGCTCCCATTTCACTTAATAAGAGGAAAAGCTGGGATTTTTTTTTTTCTTTTGTGGAGACAGAGTCTCACTTTGTTGCCCAGGCTGGAGTGCAGTGGTGCGATCTCAGCTCACTCCAACCTCCGCCTTCTGGGTTCAAGCGATTCTTGTGCCTCAGCCTCCTGTGTAGCTGGGATTGCAGGCATGTGCCACCACGCCTGGCTAATTTTTGTATTTTTAGTAGAGATGGGGGTTTCACCATGTTGGCCAGGCTGGTCTCGAACTCTTGTCTTCCAAGTGATCTGCCTGCCTGGGCCTCCCAAAGTGCTGGGATAAATTTGAGCCATTGTGCTCGTCTAAGCTGGGATTCTTTGAATGAGTTCTTAGAGGCTTCCTGAAACTTTGTGCAACATTTTGTGTATGTGTATATTTTCTGGGGAAAGGATTTGTAACTTTCTATTTTTTGAGAGGGAGTCTCTGTGGCTCAGGGTGGAGTGCAGTGGTGTGATCTCGGCTCACTGTAACTTCTGCCTCCTGGTTCAAGTGATTCTCCTGCCTCAGGCTCCCAAGTACCTGGAATTACAGGCATGTGCTACCACACCTGGCTAATTTTGTATTTTTAGTAGAGACAGGGTTTCATTATGTTGGCCAGGCTGGGAATTTGTAACTTTCATCAGATATCCCAAGGGATATATGTCTTTCCTGGTAGAGAGGGAAGAAACAAAAAACGTGTGTAAATACCCTCCTCTCCCCCAGAAGGTAAGAAGTACTGCTCTGCACATTCCTTGGGTGATCTTTCTCACTCCCTGGGATAATTAAGGAAGTTAGGGATTGGGGTTGAGGGTAACTTGGCATCCTTCCCCAACCTCCCTGTATAGGCACAGTCTAATATACTTGATGACAGTTTGCAACAAGTCAACAATTTCCTACTTTTCTGGTGTTAGGTTTAAGTTATATAGACCTATGGTGATCATAACATTATCTAAATCAGATGCTTCACATTATAGGTCTTGCAGCTGATGTCCAGTTTAGGTGTTTGAAGTGGCTTAGCCTGGAAAATGTTACAGGGGAAAATCTGCTTTCCATGTGTTATGCTCAGAGCTGTGTTCTTTTCTTTTACACAATATGTTTGACATTTGTTGAATTTTAGGTGTACCCTGGTCATTAGGAACTCCCTAAAGGATCTCTGTGAGGTTTTAAAAAAACAAAACAAAACAAAAAAACAGTGGCATTTTGCAGAACTCAGTATAGCTCTTTACCATACTGACTGCAAGGAGAAAGTAAAAAGTGAGACTAATTTTGCAATTAGTCTCCCAAGTTTCTTTACAAGAAAATAGACCAAAGGTACTATGTTTAAAAGCAAAATCATGGCTTAAAAGTTTTTCTTTTTCTTAATATATTAATATATTGCTATAAATTGAGTATTGCTCTCTTGCTATCTTGTGTTTTTTTGGTTTTTGATTAACTCTAAGCTTAATGTTATTCCTGACAAATAAATAAATAAATAAATAAATAAATAAATAAAGTGAATTCAGAGAGACAGTAGAGGGCAGCAGCCGTTTAGAAAGTAGATTCACATTGAGTGATTACGGCTCTTTTAAATCTTTCTCCACTAAGAGATAGCTAATTTCCGAAAAGGTATACTTGGCCTCCCATATTCCTTATGTCTCTTAAAACTAAAAAAGCTGGGACAAAACTTAAAATAACAGTATTCTACGGTTAGGGCAAATTTCTGATACTGCTTAAAACAATTTACCGAGGTATCTTTATTTTTTTTTGAGACAGGGTTTCACTCTGTCACCCAGGCTGGAGTGCTGGAGCCTTGACCTCCTGGGCTCAGCTCAAGTGTTCCTCTCACCTCAGTCTGCCAAGTAGCTGGGACTACAGGCATGCACCATCATTCCCAACTAATTTTTTAAAATTTTTTGTAGAGATGGGGGTTTCATCATGTTGCCAGGCTGGTCTCGAACTCTTGGGCTCAAGCAATCTGCCCACCTCGTCCTCCCGAAGTACAGGGTTATAGGCATGAGCCACCACTCCCAGCCTCAGATTTTTTTATTGATGAATTTTATTATAACAGCTACAATACTGAGATGCATAACCCTTCCCTTTCCTGATACCCAGTTATCATCTGTTTCTGTTTAATACACTCCTTAAGTACCTCACATTTGCTATTCCCCTGCCCCCCATGGTCTATGCATCTTCTTCATTGAAGTGGTAGTAGTCTTTGTTAGCTCATCTGGTCATGTCATCAATTCAGAGCACATTACCTCTTTAGTTCAGAACACATTAATTGCTTCCCATAATCTTCAGGACACGGCCCCATTTCTTCACGTGGCTTGGCCATTGCTTCCCTGTTCAGCTTCCCCCACACTCCCTCACCTACACCTTCTGTCTCAGTATAGTACTGCTAGTCTCCAGACATGCCATGCCTTTTTATGCTTCTATGCGTGTTTTCCTGTCTTTAATGTCCTTGTCCATGTGATGAACCCCTACTCATTTTTCCAAGATTGAACTCAAATGTCACCTTTTCTGTGAGCTTCTCTGCTCTTCTCATGCAGAGTAGAAGTGTTTATCTCCATTGCCCTTGACCCTAAATAACAGTACATTAGTATAATAATCACATTTTTTACCTGTTTGTGTGCTTTCCTTCTAAATGGAGAATAAGAATATAAAAGTGATTTATTTGGCATTTCTGCAAAGGGAGATGATAAAAAGAATCTGCGTTACTTAGCCTTTTTAAAAAACCCTTAGCCTATGAAGGCTACTATTTAAGGTTTGGTTGGATTTTGTATGTTGGAAATATGTTCTTTAAATCTCATCTTCATCAGTTTATAAAAGCAATATAAGTTCTTTGTAGATCATTATCATGCCATCCAGATGTAGTCATTATTGTTTTGATATAGGTTGTTTCAGTCTTTAAACCAAATTATACACTGTTCCGCTGTAACTCTTGTTTTGAAAACAGATTTGTTCCAATGTGGGTGGTATATTAGGGAACAATTTGAGCATAATGTAAATTTTGAGTTTGCTTATGCACAAATCCCTAGGCAACACTAGGTGAATGCAGAAAAATGCATGCAGCTGAACTCAGCAGTGTAGATATATACAAAAGATACACATACACACGCTCTTCAAATACCTACCTTATTTTCCTGTATGTGTTATGAACCATACCCATTCACATCTGGTATTACAACTTTGCCACCCATTTCAGACAGTATTCCTTTGACCATTCTGCAGTAACTCAGAAGCTGCAGCCCTTTAGAAGTCTACTCCACTGTGGCTCACGTCTGTAATCCCAGCACTTTGGGAGGCCGAGGTGGGTGGATCATGAGGTCAGGAGATCAAGACCATCCTGGCTAACACGGTGAAACCCCGTCTCTACTAAAAAAAAATAGAAAAACCTAGCCGGGCGTGGTGGTGGGCATTTGTGGTCCCAGCTACTCGGGAGGCCGAGGCAGGAGAATGGCGTGAACCGGGGAGGCAGAGCTTGCAGTGAGCCAAGATTGCGCCACTGCACTCCAGCCTGGGCGACAGAGCGAGAGTCCGTCTCAAAAAAAAAAAAAAAGAAAAAAAGAAGGCCACTCCACAAGCAAACCGCAGATGTTTTGCAAGGTGACTTATTTATTGTAATAGTTGTGTATTTCTTAACCATTTCACATGTATAAAACTGTGCTACTACTTTTATGAGGTTCCTGTCTTTATTTTTTTTAACATGTCGCTGGTGAAGGTTCTGAGAGTTGTGGCTTGAACTCCAGTTTTCTCATAAGCACGGTTTTTTGTTGTTTTTTTTTGAAATGGTCTCGCTGTGTTCCCCAGGCTGGAGTGCAGTGGTGTGGTCTCGGCTTTCTGCAGCCTTGGCCTCCCAGCTTAAGCTATCCTCCCACCTCAAGCTATCCTCCCACCTCAGCCTCCCAAATAGCTGGGACTGCAGGCGTGAGCCTTTGCCCACCTAATTTTTATACTTTTGTAGAGACAGTTTTTCCATGTTGCCAGGCTGCTTTGGAACTCCTTAGCTCAAGCAATCAGCCCGCCTTCACCTCCCAAAGTGCTGGGATTACAGGTGTGTCCTACCACACCCAGACGGCTCTGGTATTTACTGCATAGTGTTCTGATTTTTAGGAATACATACGTTGCATTATATAGCAGAACTGGCTGTATTCAAAAGTCTAATAGAAAATATTGATAGGGTGATAATGTATATAGTACTAATTGTCAGTTGCCATAATTTAACTAATATTGTTTTACTTTTTACTTTTTTTTTTTTTGAGATGGGGCCTTGCTATATTACCTAGGCTGGTCTTGAACTCCTGAGCTCAAGGAATCCTCTTGCCTCAACCTCCTGAGGATGTTTGACATTTTTTGACTTTTTTTTTTTTTTTTTTGAGACGGAGTCTTGCTCTGTCTCCCAGGCTGGAGTGCAGTGGCATGATCTCGGCTCACTGCAGCCTCCACCTCCCGGGTTCAAGGGTTCAAGCACTTCTGCCTCAGCCTCCTGAGTAGCTAGGATTACAGGTGTGCACCACCACCACGGCTGATTTTTGTATTTTTAATAGAGATGGGGTTTCACCATGTTGGTCAGGCTGGTCTTGAACTCCTGACCTCGTGATCCTCCTGTGTCAGCCTCCCAAAGTGCTGTGGGTACAGGCGTGAGCCTCCATGCCGGCCGGCTTTTTGGCAATTTAAATAGTTACAGTTACCTATTATAATTGATATTTAGCTAACATCTATTTTTATTTTAATATTCCAGGAAATTATTATGCAGAAACTTTAAAGGTCTGTGTACTTCTCTGGTGTTTTGATTTTTTTTTTTTCTTTTTCTGTGAGTAATTTTCTAAAACTGGTTTCTAGGCCAGGCTATTTATGTCTTGCTTTTTATTTTTTTTGGCGATGGAGTCTCGCTTTGTTGCCCAGGCTGGAGTGCAGTGGCGCTATCTCATCTTGCTGCAACCTCTGCCTCCTGGGTTCAAGCAGTTATCCTGCCTCAGCCTCCCGAGTAGCTGGGACTACAGGCACATGCCACCACGCCTGGCTAGTTTTTTGTATTTTTAGTAGAGGTGGAGTTTCACCGTGTTGCCCAGGCTGGTCTGGAACTTCTGAGCTCAGGCAGTCTGCCTGCCTTGGCCTCCCAAAGTGCTAGGATTACAGGTGTAAGCCACTGCTCCCAGCCTTATTATTTTATTTTTATGGATTCGGGGTATATGTGCAGGTTTGTCCCATGGATATATTGTGTAATGGTGAGTTTTGGACTTCTGTTGTGCCCATGAACATTGTACCCAATAGGTGGTAATTTTTCAATTCTCATCCCTCTCTCTGCCTCTGCCCTTTTGGAGTTCCCAGTATCTGTTAATTCTCTCTGTATGTCCATGTGTACCCATTGTTTAGCTCCTCTATTTTTTATTTTATTTTATTTTATTTTTGAGACAAGAGTCTTGCTGTATCACCCAGGCTGGAGTGCAGTGGTGCAATCTCAGTTCACTGCAACCTTGGTCTCTGGGTTCAGATGATTCTCGTGCCTTAGCCTCCCGAGTAGCTGGAATTACAGGTCCGTGCCACGATGCCCGGCTAATTTTTGTATTTTCAGTAGAGGTGGAGTTTCGCCATGTTGGCCAGGCTGGCCTCAAACTCTTGGCCTGAAGCAATCCGCCTGCCTTGGCCTCCCAAAGTGCTGGGATTACGGTGTGAGCCACTGCTCCTGACCCCATATTTTTTCTTTTAATTATAAAGGTAATAATGTAAAAAGAAGTCAACTCCCAGTTTAACTCTAGCAGAGTAACCAGTGTTAATTTTTTTTTTTTTTTTTTTGAGACGGAGTCTTGCTCTATTTCCCAGGCTGGAGTGCAGTGATGCCATCTTGGCTCACTGCAACTTCTGCCTCCTGGGTTCAAGCCATTCTCGTGCCTCAGCTTCCTGAGTAGCTGAGATTATAGGCGCCCAGTGCCACGCCTGGCTAATTTGTGTATTTTTAGTAGAGATGGGGTTTCACCATGTTGGCTAGGCTGGTGTTGAACTCCTGACCTCGTGATCCACCCGCCTCGATGCTGGGATTACAGGCGTGAGCCACTGAGCCTGGCCAATCCATTCCTTTTTATGGCTGAGTAGTATTCCATTGTGTGTGTGTGTATATATACATATATATACACACATATACATATATATACACGTATATATGTATGTATGCGTATATATGTATGTGTGTGTGTATATATACACATATACATATATATACACCTATATATGTGGTATGTGTATATATATGTGGTATGTATATATATGTGGTATATATATGTGGTATGTGTATATATATATGTGGTATGTGTATATATATATGTATATATGTGTGTATATATGTGGTATGTATATATATATGTATATATGTGGTATGTATATATGTATATATGTGTGTCTGCATATATGTATATGTGTGTATATATACACGTATATGTGTATATATATACGTATATATGTGTATATATACATATATACGTATATATATACACACACACATATATATACACATATGCAGGCACACATATATATACATATATATATATACATACCACAGTTTCTTTATCCACTTGTTGATTCATGGGCATTTGGGTTGGTTCCACGTTTTTGCAATTGTGAATTGTGCTGCTATAAACATCCGTGTGCAAGTATCTTTTTTGTATAATGATATCTTTTCCCCTGGGTAGATACCCAGTAGTGGGATTGCTGGATCAACTGGTAGTTCTACTTTTAAGGAATCTCCACACTGTTTTCCTTAGTGGTTATACTGGTTTACATTCCCACCAGAAGTGTAGAAGTGTTCCCTGTTCACTGCATCCACACCAACATCTATTTTTGATTTTTTGATTATGGCCATTCTTGCAGGAGTAAGGTGGTATCGCATTGTGGTTTTGATTTACATTTCCCTGATCATTAGTGATGTTGAGCATTTTTTTATGTTTGTTTGCCATTTGTATATCTTCTTGAGAATTGTCTATTCATGTCCTTAGCCCATTTTTTGATAGGATTGTTTGTTTTTTTTCTTGCTAGTTTGTTTGAGCTTGTTGTAGATTCTGGTTATTAGTCCTTTGTCAGATTTATAGATTGTGAAGATTTTTTTCCCACTCTGTGGGTTGTCTGTTTTTGTCTGTTTCCTTCTGCTGACTGTTCCTTTTGCCATGCAAAAGCTCTTTTTTTTTGAGACAGAATCTCGCTCTGTCGGCCAGGCTGGTAACAAAGACACAGGTACTGGTAATAACTGCCATGGCTTATTGCCTACATTAATGATGAAAGCAAATGCTAAATTTCAGCTAGAGGCTAGAGAAAATAAGCCTGGAATTTTCTTTTATGTTTATATACTGCTATGAATACCAGGAGTCCTTGGGTTAAGACTGTAGGGCTTTCTAAAGCCTGTGATCACTAGTGGAGAATGTAGCTTTACAAAGTCTAGTTGGAAATTGGCAACTGGGGGTTAGTACAAGTTACAAGGAAGGGATGGAATTTAAGATGCTAGTGAAAGCTTGGAGGATAAGGGAGCAGGTGAACTCATAAGGAAGTTTATGAACTGAGAAGGGCTGCAGCAAAGTGGGCTCATGTGCTTGAGGAGCCAGAGGACATGTTGAGGGTGACATAGGTTCTGAAGTTCGTACAGATACTTATGCAGTATGGATTCTTGGAAAACCTTCTTTAGTCATGTGATAGAAAAATAACAGCTTATGGAAAAAACAGGGTTGAGGCAGACCTGAAAATACATGAAATTTTAAAAACCGCTTCTAACAGAAGCATAACAGACTGTAATAAAAACTGTGGCCTTCCTGGCATTTGCACCCAAACAACAGCATTAGCCAACTCTTTGAAGCCTTAGATCTGTGGCTCTTGTTTTCTCCTTTGAGGTGTAGGTCCTTGAGGGCATTTGCTTCTAATAGAGGCTAGTTTCATCAGAATTAAAAATCTGAACCATGGTATGAAATTCAATTCTTTTTTTTTTTTCTTTTTTGAAAACACTGGCAAATGTTTTGTATCCTTGAGCTTTCCCACATATCTTAACATAGTGAGTGGAAAGTACAGTGGCTGTTAAGCCAACTACTCTGAGGTCTTCACTGCTAAGGCTTACTCTTAATTGTGTGAGAGCTTAACCTTGATCCCTTTAAAACATTAATGGGCTAGAAAAAAAACCATTCATAAACCAGTGCCACCTCTGAATTTTGCTACCACAATTCCCTTATTTACCAATAGTGCATGAGCTAATTTGGAATAAAGAACTAGGCATTGTAGCACAACAGACATTATGTGGGCAAAGTGTTGTTTATATTCTGTCTAAATAGTGCTTCACATGTATGTACTATTTTCTAAATATGTATAGATGCTTTTGTGATTAATAATAAAACATGAATTCTTAAAACAATTTTGCTGACTTCATAGTAGCTTTTCACCGTTTTTTCAGTAGCTGCTAAAATTTCTGGAGAAGTTTGGGAACTATTGTTTTGGAGTGAAATGCAGTGTGTTAGATATCACTTGCAGAATTCTTCTAAGGGTATTTATTGGCGATTAGAAAAAAAATCCTTGTGTTATACCAGTAGTAATACAAAGTAATTGTTCAGCTTCTGTTAAGTGTAAAGGACTATACAAGTATTGTGTATAGTTATCTCATTTATTATTTTCTGGGTAGCTATTGTTATTATTACTTCGTACAAAAAGGGAAAAGGAGGCTCAAAGTATCATGCTCCAGATAACAGAGCCAGTAGGTAGCAGAGCTGGGATTGCTACCCAGGTCTCTAGTCCTGCTTTTTCACACTATATACTCATTGCTTCACTTACTCCTTCATACATGATTCCCCAGCATGTACTCTTTTTTTTTTTTTTTTTTTTTTGTTTGAGATAGAATCTCGCTCTCTGTTGCCCAGGCTGGCAGGCAGTAGTGTGATCTTGGGCTAACTGCAACCTCCATCTCCTGCATTCAAGCAGTTCTCCTGCTTCAACCTCCTGAGTAGCTGAGATTATAAGCCTATGCTACCACGCCTGGCTAATTTTTGTATTTTTAGCAGAGATGAGGTTTCGCCTTGTTGGCCAGGCTGGTCTCAAACTCCTGAACTCAAGTGATCTGCCCACCTCAGCCTCCGAAAGTGCTGGGATTATAGGCATGAGCCATCATGTCCGGCCTCCCCATCATGTACCCTTAAATACCATCAAGCACAGTTCCATTGTGTAAAAACTTGGCTTGATTTAACCTGTTAATTGGAACACTGTCATTAATGGAAATTAGGAATATGAGGTAAGCTAGAGGTTTTATTTTAATGACTTTGGGTTATTAAATCTATAAGAAATGAAATTCATTTAGTCATAATTAATGTCATGTTTCTGCATCTATATTACTTGTTGGGTTTACAGACGAGGTAGTGTATTATTAGTGGGAAGCTTTGAGTGCTACATCATCTCCCTTTCTATAAAATAAATTGAGTACGAAACAATTTGAATTAAAACACCTGAGTAAATAGTAACTTTGGAGACCTGCTGTACTATTTGTACCTTTTGGATCAAATGATGCTTGTTTATCTCAGTCAAAATTTTATGATTTGTATTCTGTAAAATGAGATCTTTTTATTTGTTTGTTTTACTACTTTCTTTTAGGAAAACACCAGAAATTATTGTTGGCAGTTTTTGTGACTCCTCTTACTGATCTTCGTTCTGACTTCTCCAAGTTTCAGGAAATGATAGAAACAACTTTAGATATGGATCAGGTATGCAATATACTTTTTAATTTAAGCAGTAGTTATTTTTAAAAAGCAAAGGCCACTTTAAGAAAGTTTGTAGATTTTTCTTTTTAGTATCTAATTGTAGCACCTTTGTGGACAGTGGATGTAATATTAAGTGACAGATGGGAAAAGGATTTTTAAAAAAATAGCAACTGTTTCAGTGGATGAAATAAAGATTATTAGCAGAGAAAATGAATATTGGGCATAACTGTCCTGGTGAAAGACAATCTCATAAATGAACAATTTCATAATTTCGTAAATGCAACTGCATTTTATTTTCAAAGAGAAGGAAAATTATAGTCACTGGAAACGGAAAGAGAAGTTAGAGGTAAACATAGGACACACAAGAAAACTTTCATTTTGTTTATTTTCTTGTTTTTCTTTTGAGACAGGGTTTCCCTCTGTTACCCAGGCTTAAGTGCAGTGACACTATCATAGTTCACTAACCCCTCAAATTCCTGGGTTCAAGTAATCCTCCTGCCTTAGCCTTAGTAGGTGTAAATACAGGTGTGTACCACCATGCCTGGCGAATTTTAAAAAAACTTTTTTATAGAGATGAGCTCTCGCCGTGTTGCCCAAGCTGGTCCTAAAACGCTGGCCTCAAGCTATCCTCCGGCCTCAGTCTTAGCCTCCCAAAATGCTGGGGTTTCAGTAGAAGCCACCATGCCGGGCCACTTCTGTTTCTTTTCCATGTAGAGTTCTTTGCAGGAGGAGGTTAGAATAGGTGTGCATCTCCTAAATAGTTGTCGAATATAACTAAAAAGTTAACCAGGACTCTAAATACTATTTACTTCTAAAATTTGTTAATTGGGAACATTTAGGGTTTAACTGATCTATATCTTATGTCTTTAACAATTTTGAATGATAATTATATGTAAAGTAAGAACAGTTTGTGAAATAGTTGAAAATATCCTTACATGAAAGTGAATTTTAAAGCACAGTTTATGTAATGTTAATGTTTTGTTTTGTATCTGTTAAAAATTTGTTTATATGAACAAGTTTACAGGTTTACTGTGGTGAGCCCGTTGAATATAGTGGGTTTTTTTTGTTTGTTTTGTTTTTGTTTTTGAGATGAAGTCTCACTCTTGTCCCGAGGCTGATGTGCAATGGCGCGATCTTGGCTCACTGCAACCTCTGCCTCCTGGGTTCAAGCGATTCTCCTGCCTTAGCCTCCCGAGTAGCTGGGATTATAGGCACCTGTCACCAAACCCGGCTAAGTTTTGTATTTTTGGTAGAGATGGGATCTCAGCATGTTGGCCAGGCTGGACTCAGGTGATCCGTCTGCCTCGGCCTCCCAAGTGCTGGGATTACAGGTGTGAGCCACCATGCCGAGCCTGAATATAGTGTTTTTAAGTTGCAGGACTTTAAAAATAATATTTTGAAATTTTTCTAAGTTAAATTCCCTGTTAAAATGGTCATGCAGGAATATACGCTTGCATTATTCATATTAGGGTAACTGTTTGGTTTGCTAGTTGTTAGATTCTTTGCATTCCTTTTTTTTTTTTTTTTTTTTTTTTTTTTTGAGACGGAGTTTCACTCTTTTTGACAAGGCTGGAGTGCAATGGCGCTATCTCGGCTCACCTCAACCTCCGCCTCCTGGGTTCAAGCGATTCTCCTGCCTCAGCCTCCCAAGTAGCTGGAATTACAGGAATACGCCACCAAGCCCGGCTAATTTTGTATTTTTAGTAGAGATGGGGTTTCTCCATGTTGGTCAGGCTGGTCTCAAACTCCCAGTCTCAGGTGATCAGCCCACCTCGGCCTCCCAAAGTGCTGGGATTACAGGAGTAATCCCCCACCCTTTTAAAAAAATGAGACAGAGTTTTATTCTGTCACCCAGGGTGGAGTGCAGTGGTGCGATCATGGTTCACCGCAGCCTTGAATCTGGGCTCAAGTGATCCTCCCACTTCAGCCTCCCAAGTAGTTGGAACCATAGATGTGCATCACCACACCTGGCTGATTTTTAAATTATTTGTAGAGATGAGGTCTTGCTTGTTGTCTAGGCTGGTCTTAAACTTCTGGGCTTCAGCAGTCCTCCTGCCTCAGCCTCCCAGAGTGCTGAGATGATAGACATGGGCCACTGCCCCTGGCCGCATTTTTCTTTTCTTTTCCTTTCTTTTTTTTTTTTTTTTTTTGAAACGGAGTTTTGCCATTGTCGCCCAGGCTGGAGTGCAGTGGCACGATCTCTGCTCACTGCAACCTCTGCCTCCCGAGTTCAAGCCATTCTTCTGCCTCAGCCTTCCAGTTATCTGGGATTACAGTCATGTGCCACCACGCCCAGCTAATTTTTGTATTTTTAGTAGAAACAGGGTTTCTCTATGTTGGTCAGGCTTGTCCCAAACTCCTGACCTCAGATGATCCACCTGCGTCTGCCTCCCAAAGTGCTGGGATTATAGGCGTGAGCCACCATGCCCGGCCCTAACTGCATTTTTCTTAGTATTTGTGGTTTGAGTTAATACTTGCCCTATGTGATGTTGATTTATTATTACTGGATCATTAAGTGAGGTTTAAAGAAGCTAAATGCCATTTGCTCTATGCCCTCTGGATTTTAAAAGTGCATGGGTGTGCACGTGTGTAGGTATAAATGTTTCCATATTCTAGTATATTCTGTGTCAGTGATAGAGCAGTCTTAGAGCTGTCTTTTCCATTTACTTGTAGGTTAAGAAGCCAAAAAAAGTTGTGTCATCATCCCGTTTAGGAAAACTTACATTTTGGCTATTGTTTCCTCTAGTGCTGCTATTAGTGGAATGATTTTAGGTGTTCAACTTTCAGATCAATGGGAGACAGAAATATTGTTCTGAGACATCTGGAAGCCGAATGTGTTTTATTCCTGCCTGTCTGAGGATGTGGTCTTGCCTTTGATAGGGCAAAGTTATTTGTAAACATTGCTTTAAATAAAAACATGTAAAGGTGTTTTTGATGGTTAACAAAAACTATGAGTATAATAGAGCCTAGTCCCTATTACGGACTGGTATTGATCTGGTGTGGGAAGAGTATTGAGCTTTTCAGTGTCACCTACCTGTATTCCCTTGAAGGGACCCAGAGCCCAGGCAAAGCTCTGCTGAGGTCGGGCGTGGTGGTTCACGCCTGTAATCCTAGCATTTTAGGAGACCAAGGCGGGTGGATCACCTGAGGTCAGGAGTTCAAGACCAGCCTAGCCAACATGGTGAAACCCTGTCTCTACTAAAAATACAAAAATTAGCTGGGTGTGGTGGTGCATGCCTGTAATCCCAGCTATCTGGGAGGCTGAGGCAAGAGAATTGCTTGAACCCAGGAGACGGAGGTTGCAATGAGCCGAGATCATGCCACTGCACTCTAGGTGGGTCCCTGAGTGAGACTCCATCTCAAAAAAAAAAACAAACAAAAAAAAAAAAAAAAAAAAACCTCTGCTGAAATGCTACAGTTAATTTTGCCATTTGTGGTCAGCATTCTTCTTCTAAATTGCTATAATCTTGCCTTCATATTATGTGTCTCAAATTTAAGCAGGTATCAGAATGTCCACGGGAACAAATTGCCATGGCTCTAAGCCCAGAATCAGATTCTTCAGATCTGGAGTAGGGCTGGGGAATTTGCATTTCTAACACACAAGTTTGTTGATGCTGTTTGTCTGGGGTCCACGCTTGCCTAACTTCTGATGTGATTTATTTCTGCCAGTTTCTTTTTTTGTTGTTGTTTTATTTTTTTGAGATGGAGTCTCGCTCTGTCACTCAGGCTAGGGTGCAGTGGCATGATCTTGGCTCACTGCAACCCCTGCCTCCTGGGTTCAAGCGATTCTCCTGCCTCAGCCTCCTGAGTAGCTGGGGTTATAGGCACACTGCACCACACCCAGCTAATTTTTGTATTTTTCGTAGAGACAGGGTTTCACCATGTTGGCCAGGCTGGTCTTGAACTCCTGACCTCAGGTGATCCATTGGCCTCGGCCTCCCAAAGTGCTCGGATTACAGGTGTGAGCCACCCACCATGCCTGGCCCTTCCTACCAATTTCTATCCTCCCTGAAATGCTGCACACTTAGGCAGTCACTGGACAATATCTGCCCCAAAATTGGTTTGTATAATTGAGAATATTTAAGAGGTTGTTAAAATTTGAACCACTTTCTATTCTTCTATTAAGTGTACACATCTATTAAAGATCCCCTTGTAGCTCTTTTTATCTGGGCCATCACATTTCTGCCCAGCAGATGCAGAGGCCCTGTCCTCTCTTCCACCTCCCCACTACCTCTCCTTCCCTACTTTTGGACTGTAAAAGCTGTCTTTCTGCAGTTAATTGTTTTATTCTTTGTAGGTTCTACTCGTTGATAATGTTATCTACTGCTATAATAATTACAGACGGCAACAGGATGATCAAATCTTGGATATTTTAAATTTACATTATGCCTTTTTTATTTTATTTTTTTAAAGTCTCTGCTTGACAGCAAATAAGCCTAACGTTCCCTAACAAATGATGATGTCCCATTAATGATTTGATGACTTCCTGTTTGTAGTTTTTATTTAGAGTGCTTGTGGGTAGTTTTTCATAACGACATTTAAAAATCAGGATATAAATAATTTTTTAAGTTTTTTTTTTAGGCGGGGCACAGTGGCTCACACCTGTAATTCCAGCATTTTGGGAGGCTGAGGTGGGCAGATCTTGTGAGGTCAGGAGTTCAACACCAGCCTGGCCAACAGGGCGACACCCCATTTCTACTAAAAATACAAAAATTAGGCCGGGTGCGGTGGCTCACACCTGTAATCCCAGCACTTTGGGAGGCCGAGGCAGGCAGATCACAAGGTCAGGAGATCGAGACCATCCTGGCTAACACGGTGAAACCCCATCTCTACTAAAAATGCAAAAAATTAGCCGGGCATGGTGGCAGGCGCCTATAGTCCCAGCTACTCGGAAGGCTGAGGCAGGAGAATGGCTTGAACCCAGGAGGTGGAGCTTGCAGTGAGCCGAGATGGCGCTGCTGCACTCCAACCTGGGCGAGAGTGCGAGACTCTGTCTCAAAAAAATAAACAAATAAAAAATAAAAAAATTAACCAGGCATGGTGGCGCATACCTGTAGTCCCAGCTACTTGGGAGGCTGGGACAGTAGAATCGCTTGAACTCGGGAGGTGGAGGTTGCAGTGAGCTGAGATCACCCACTGAACTCCAGCCTGGGCAACAGAGCAAGACTCTGTCTCCAAAAAAAAAAAATGTATTTTTCTTTGAAGCTTTTCTACTTTTAAATGTAATGTATAGTATTATAACAAGTGAACAAAATGATACAAAGAAGTATGGCGGGAAAGGTGTGGTAGAGATGGGAAAACATATTTCCTCCAGCCTCTTAGGTTCATTGGAGGAGCTTGGGAATTCAACTGACACACGACAGATTTACAGGAGAAAAGTTTTATTTCAAGTACACATGAGAGCTTCATAGAAAAGAAGTGAAGACCTAAAGAAACAGACTGGAGAGTTCATATGCCATTTTAATAAAGGATAATGTATTAGTCTGTTCTCATGCTGCTAATAAATACATACCCAAGACTGGGTAATTTATAAAGAAAAAGAGGTTTAATCGACTCACAATTGCACATGGCTGGGGAGGCCTTACAATCATGGCAGAAGGTAAAGGAGGAGCAAAGGCACATATTACATGGTGTCAGGCAAGAGAGTGTGTGCAGGGGAACTGCCCTTTATAAAACCATCAGATCTCGAGAGACTTATTCACCATCACAAGAACGGCATGGGAAAAACCTGCCCCCGTGATTCAATTACCTCCCACCGGGTCCCTCCCATGACACATGGGGATTATGGGAGCTACAACTCAAGATGAGATTTGGGTGGGGACACAGCCAAGACATATCAGATAATAAATTGTGGAGAGGCAGTAAGATTGAAGAAAAGAGGTTTGAGCTTCGAGGGGTGGTAAATTGTGGGAAGGTAATTATTTGGGGCAAACTAATGGCACATAAGGATTGTTTTAGTAAGGCTTGTTATGCATACCCAAAACAAGTGCCATCTCCAGTAATTTAAGAGTCTATGGTGATCAAGAGTAGTTCTCTTCCTGCTAGAAGAGGGGTGGGAGAGAACACCTTCACAAAGGGAAATTTATATTCTGCCTTCATGCAGAAAGGGGGCGAGCAGAGAGTTCCTACGTATACTGTTTCTTCATTATCTTCCTCTCAAAAGAATACTTAGGCTAAAGTGGCATGATTTGGGGTGACATTCTGATCCTCTTCAGTGACAATCCTTGATATTTTTCCTTCTTTCTCTCCAGGTAAACAGTGTTAACATCCTGGTATGCTTCCCCCAATTCCATTATACTAACTCTGTATTGTGGGTTAAAGATTTTTTACTTTGATCAGCAGTATTTGAAACATACCTGTTATACTAGATGTACTCTGACTGTAAAATAGTGGTCAGTGTTACTTCTTTAATGATGCTGTGGGATTAAAGGATTTTATTATAAATGCTGGGAAGAGCCTGGATTTGAGGAAGGTAAGCAGTGCAGTTAGGTGGATGTAGACTAGAAGAGGTCATTTGTTCTCATTTCATTGTTGCCCCTATGACATGCCCGTTTCTTTCTTTTTTTTCTTTTTTTTTTTGAGACGGCGTCTTGCTCTGTCGCCCAGGCTGGAGTGCAGTGGCGCAATCTCACCTCACTGCAAGCTCTGCCCCCCGGGTTCATGCCATTCTTCTGCGTCAGCCTCCCGAGTAGCTGGAACTACAGGCGCCTGCCACCATGCCCAGCTAATTTTTTGTATTTTCAGTAGACACGGGGTTTCACCATGTTGGCCAGGGTGGTCTCAATCTCCTCACCTCATGATCTGCCCGCCTCGGCCTCCCAAAGTGCTGGGATTACAGGCGTAAGCCACTGCACCCAGCCTACGTGCCCATTTCTTAAAGTAGAAAATTTAGTAGTTGATGATGTCAGGGAAGAAAAGCTTTTTCTCTGCCTTACGTTAAGTAGTTGGGGGCAAATTAAATTAATAAAAGACAGATTAGTGAGAGAAAAGGCTGTAAGAATTTGGACTTTATATACCATCATAATAGAGGAAGTAAAGGGAGATGAAGGGCACTTAAGGGAAAACAGATGACTTGTAGGAAAGATAAATGAACCCTTAAGAGAATAGATGAGAAATATGAAGGTTTTGTGACAATGTCTGTTTAGGTGGTTACTTCTCTTCTTGTTATGAGAGTCAGTCTTCTGGTTGCTGGAAACTGCTAGGAGATTTATAACAATTGGGCTCTTTCGAGAGGCTCTTCTTTTAAGCAGATAAGGGAGTTCACAAAAAAGCCTGTTCTCAAATGATTTCAGCACACACACACACACACTTACGACACAGTTAAGTACTGTGCCAGTAAGATGTGAGTTGTGCATTTCTTTTTTTTCTCTGAGTAGACTGTTTGAGGTTATTTATATCAGGACTTGTTATGCAGGTAACTGAAAACTCAACATAATCTAGGTTATGTAGTTAAAAGTATGGAGAGAAGGTAGGCTTTATTTAGAGTTGCTTGATCCTGTAGATCTCTTCTACCTTTTGTAATTTTAATTTCAACCAAGGATGGTTCCCTTTTTGGCCCTAGGACCAGTTAGCAGTTGGGGCACCATTCCAAGCAAGAGTCCTGCAGTTTGTAGTGATGGGACCATTTAAACAGTGATTGTGACCAGGGACATAGAATGGGATGATTGGCCCGAGGTAACCATGGTTGGGTATGGAGTCAGCTTCCCTGTAGGAAGAGATAGACAAAGTCTGAGCACTCCTGGGAAGGGGGAGGAAGGGAATAACTGTTGTGTAAATCATCAGCAGTGTCTACTAAGATACCATCTGTAACCATAGGCTTCTATGTTTTATAATATAAGGCTGTCTTTTAAATAAATCAGATTCCCTGTTAAAGATCTGTTCTAGATTCCCTAGGGGGTTGACCTCATATAGTATCTTCTTTTTCTTTGGTTACAAACTTTTAAACTTGTCTGAGGTTATAAGGTGAATTCAACTGTCCACTGTCAATGTAGATATTTTTAATGGATTTAGGGATTTAAATTACATGATTCAGAACCACTTTGAGGAAGTCTAGGGAATATCAGTTGTTTCTGTATAATTTCTGAAAGCTTCACTGTTTTCTAGGTGTGCACTTAATTCATGTGATGAAGGGAACAGTATTTACATGAGTGGTTTGGTTAATTTTTCCCCTCCTAAGCTTAGCTTTGTGTATCGTGCGTGCTTCCAGTGTTTTTGTGGCTGCTTTACATAAGTCTTTTAGAAGTATTTTCTATTTTTGAAGTAAATGTGGATCAAAACCACCCCAAGACAGGATTGAAAAAAAGACAGTTTTTCGCAAGAAAGTAAATAATTTTATTTAGCTTGGGACTTTAAATGATATGTCTTAAATGTAAACATTTCTATACTGCATTTTGGCCATCTTTTGATACTAGTTTTCAGATGCATATTGTTATTTCATTTATTATTGGAAAAGTAGTAACTTTAAACAAATTTTTATTGAAAATGCTGACAGAGGCCGAGTGTAGTAGCTCACACCTGTAATGTCAGCACTTTGGGAGGCCGAGGCGGGCGGATCACGAGCTCAGGAGATCAAGACCATCCTGGCTAACACGGTGAAACCCCGTCTGTACTAAAAATACAAAAAAATTAGCCGGGCATGGTGGCAGGTCCCTGTAGTCCCAGCTACTCAGGAGGCTGAGGCAGGAGCATGGCATGAATCTGGGAGGCGGAGCTTGCAGTGAGCCAAGATCGCGCTACTGCACTCCAGCCTGGGCAACAGAGCAAGACTCCATCTCAAAAAAAAAAAAAAAAAGAAAGAAAATGCTGACCAAAAAAAATGAAATAGTTTTAAAGAAGCCACAGTTGTGTGATCCTGATACAACTATATCATTATTGTATGAGTATATATGAGTTATAAAAATAGTATATGTAAATGCTTCATAATTTTTATTATTAGAAATGAAAAAGTATAACAAGGGGGGTATTCATATTCTCTCCACTTAGAATTAACCCTCAACATGTTGACATCTTTGTTTATAGTAATCCTTTTTTGTTTTTTTTGTTTTTTATTATACTTTAAGTTCTAGGGTACATGTGTACAATGTGCAGGTTTGTTACATATGTATACATGTGACATGTTGGTGTGTTGCACCCATTAACTCGTCATTTACATTAGGTATATCTCCTGATGCTATCCCTCCCCCCTCCCTCCACCCCTCAACAGGTGTGTGATGTTCCCCTTCCTGTGTCCAAGTGTCCTCATTGTTCAATTCCCACCTATGACTGAGAACATGCGGTGTTTGGTTTTTTGTCCTTGCGATAGTTTGCTGAGAATGATAGTTTCCAGCTTCATCCATTTCCCTACAAAGGACATGAACTCATCATTTTTTATGGCTGCATAGTATTCCATGGTGTATATGTGCCACATTTTCTTAATCTAGTCTGTCATTGTTGGACATTTGGGTTGATTCCAAGTCTTTGATGTTGTGAATAGTGCCGCAATAAACACACGTGTGCGTGAGCCTTTATAGCAGCATGATTTATAATCCTTTGGGTATATACCCAGTAATGGGATGGCTGGGTCCAATGGTATTTCTACTTCTAGATCCCTGAGGAATCGCCACAGTCTTCCACAATGGTTGAACTAGTTTACAGTCCCACCAACAGTGTAAAAGTGTTCCTATTTCTCCACATCGTCTCCAGCACCTGTCGTTTCCTGACTTTTTAATGATCGCCATTCTAACTGGTGTGAGATGGTATCTCATTGTGGTTTTGATTTGCATTTCTCTGATGGCCAGTGATGATGAGCTATAGAAATCCTTTTTAGAAACAACAGAGCCTTGTTGTAAAACAGGTAAATGTACGTGAGGACTTCAAAAAGTTTGTGGAAAAATGGAATTAAAAGATAAAATTTAAAAACACATTTTAAATTTATTTCCCAACATAAGCTCCTCAAGTTCAAGACACTTTTATAAATGATGATCTCAGCTGTTTAGTTCATCCGTAAAGAACTGAGGGTACTAGAAATTTTACCATGTCAATGCAGTCTCTTTACATTACTAACTAAAGAAAAATAGGTGCTCTTTAAAGATCTTTTAAGATTAGGAACAAAAAGAAGTCAGAAGAAGCCAAATCAAGGTGGATGCTTAACGACTTTCCATAGAAACTTACAAAATTGGCCTTGTTTGATGAGAAGAGCGTGCAGGAACGTTGTCATGGTGGAAAAGGACTTTGATGATGCTTTCCCTGGCATTTTTCTGCAAAAACTTGGGATAACTTTCTCAAAACACTCTAATAATAAGCAGAGCTTATGTTCTTTATCCCCCCAGAACATCAGCAAGCAAAATGCCTGAACATCCCAAAAAACTGTTGCCATGACCTTTGCCCTTGACTGGTCCACTTTTGCTTCGACTGGACCACTTCCATTTTTGGTAGCCATTGCTTTGATTGTGCTTTGTCTTCAGGATGGCATTGGTAAAGCCATGTTTTGGCTCCTGTTACAGTTCTTTGAAGAAATGCTTCAGGATCTTGATCCCTTGTTTAAATTTCTATGGAAAGCTCTGCTCCTGTCTGCAGTTAATCTGGGTGCAACAGTTTTGTCACCCATCAAGTGAAAAGTTTGTTCAGCTTTAATTTTTCAGTCAGAATTGTGTAAACTGGACCAATTGTTGAGATGCCTGTAGTGTTGGCTATTGTTTCTGCTGTTAGTCATTAGTTCTCTTCAATTAGGGAATGAACAAAATTAATTTTTCCTGAAAAATTGATGTGGATGGTCTGCCGCTGTGGGCTTCATCTTCGACATGGTCTCATCCCTTGTTAGAACAAGTTATCCGTTTGTAAACTGCTGATTTCCTAGGAGCATTGACCCCATAAAATTTTCATAAAGCATCAGTTATTTCATTATTCTTCTATGCAGACTTCACTATAAATTTGCTGTTTGGTCTTACTTCAATTTTAGCAGAACTCATACTGCTCTGACATCTAAACTGATGTCTTAGCCTTCATAGTGTCTCTGACTAGATCCTATTCAGACGTGTTATAGCAAATTAGTAAAGTTTATTTTGGTGCCAAAAACTTTTGAATCCACGCATAGTTTTTTCACAACACATTTTCCATGAACTTTTTGAAGACCCTTCATATATTATAAGAAGAAAGTTAAAAATATCCCCTGCATCTACTACTCAGAAATAACCACTGTTAACATTAAGTCTGTTCTCAACTCTAGGCATTATTGAGGGTTTTGAGGACAGGTCTTGAAAATTTCTATGGCTACCTTTTACTGGGTGGAGACTAGCATGTATAGTTGACCGCATAGGTTAATCCCTCCACTCAAAAAGCCACAATTTTAAAGTGTAGTATTCACTAGCATTTAGTATATTCACAGTGTTGTGAAATGACCACCACCATCTAGTTTGAAAATATTTCATCACAACCAAAAGAAAACCTCATATCTATTAGCGGTCTCTCCTGTTTCCCCAGACACCGGCAACCACTAATGTACTTTTTGTCTCTGTGGACTTGTCAGTTCTGGACATTTTATATAAATGGAATCATGTGACCTTTTATGATTGACCTCTTTCACTTAGTATAATGTTTTAGAGGCTCATCCACATTGTAGCATGTGTCAGTACTTCATTTCCTTGTGTATTGGTCCATTCTTGTACTGCTATAAAGAAATAGCTGAGACTGAGTAATTTATAAAGAAAAGAGGTTTAATTGGCTCATGGTTCTGCAGGCCGTACAGGAAGCATGATGATGGCACCTGCTCAGCTTCTGGGGAGGCCTCAGGAAATTTAAAATCATGGCAGAAGGGGAAGTGCGGCGTCTTACATGGTGGAGCAGGAGCAAGAGAGAGAAGGGGGAGGTGCTCCACACTTTTAAACAACTAGATCTCAGGACAAGTCAGTCACTATAATGAGAACAGCACCCAGGGGAAACCGCCCTCACGATCCAGTCACCTCTCACCAGGCTCCACCTCCAGCACTGGGGATTCCAGTTCCAATTCAACATGATACTTGGGTGGGGGCACATATCCAGACCATATCTCCTCGTATAGCTGAATAGTATTCCCTTATATGGACATACCACATTTATTATTAATTTATTGATTGATTGACAGGATCCTGCTCTGTTGTCCAGGCTGGAGTGCAGTGGTTTGAGCATAGCTCACTGCAGGCCTTGAATTCCTGGGCTCCAGTGATCCTCCCACCTCAGCCTCCTGCGTACCTGAGATTATAGGTGTGTGCCACCACACCTGGCTAATTTTTTTTATTTTTTAGCAGAGACAGGGTTTTTGCTATGTTTCCCAGGCTGGCTTTGAACTCCTGGGCTCAAGCAATCCTCCTGCCTTGGCTTCCCAAAGTTGTAGGATTACAAGTGTGAGTTTAGAGAGGTATAATTTCTTACTCAACTTCAAGTATTTTATTTCTCTTATCATTTGTTGTTTGGTTTGTTAATTATTTGGAAGTATATTTTTAAATTTCCAAGCTTAGTGTGTGTCAGTTTCATAAAAGTTCCCCATGTATTTAAAAATTGGATGTGTACTCTAATTTTGGGATTGCTTTTTCATTGTCTATATATGCTTGCTAATTTTTGATCTGCTGGGTTACTGAGAAGGATGTGGGTTTCTCCATCTAGTTCTATTTTTGGTTAATATGTTAGGCACAGAGCTGTTGTTTTTTTGTGGTGAATTGAATCTTCATCATTCTTTAGGGACTCTGTCCTTAATAATGCTTTTTTTGCCTTACATTTTGTTTCATTGTAAGAGAGCTATGTCAGAGTACTTTTTAAAACACTTTTTAATATGGTATATATTTTTTTCTTTTTTAATGAGGTTTTTTAACCGTAAGTTTAAGCAAAATAAAGCTTAATAACTGGATTTTATTTAGTTTTAAATTTAATTTGATTTTTTTTTTTTTGAGACTAAGTCTCACTCTGTCGCCCAGGCTGGGGTGCAGTGGTGCGATCTCAGCTCACTGCAGCCTCCGCCTCCCGGGTTTAAGTGATTCTCCTGCCTTAGCCTCCCTAGGAGCTGGGATTACAGGCGTGCGCCACCACGCCTGGCTAATTTTTGTATTTTTAGTAGAGGCGGGCTTTCACCATGTTGGCCAGTCTGGTCTCGAACTCCTGACCTCAGGTGATCCACCTGCCTCAGCCTCCCAAAGTGCTGGGATTACAGGCATGAGCCAACACTCCTGGCTAATTTAATTCGATTTTTTTAGTAGCAGTTTTAGTCTATTATGTTTGTTGTAGTTACTAGTATCTTTGGATTTATTTCTACCTAATTATTTGGTGATTCCTCTTCTTCCTGGTTCCACTTACACATTAAAAAAAAAAACAAAAAAAACTTAGAATAGAGATGGTGTCTCACTATGTTGTTCAGGCTGCTCTCAAACTCCAGGGCTCAAGTTATCCTCCTGCCTTGGCCTCCCAAAGTGCTGGGATTACAGGTATGAGCCACCATACCTGGTCCCCCTTGCCCATTCTGTTTTACTTTTGTATTGCTTGGGTTTCTAAAATTCCATTTTGTCCTCTCCCTTTGCTCTTCCCCAATCCTATCTCATCACACACACTGGTTTGGAAGATAGCCACTTTTTTTTTTCCAATGTGTTTACTTATCTTATCAGAGTCAAAAGCCTATCAGTATCTTCTCAGATATCCCAAAAAATACTAGGACCTTAAGACACCTAAAATCAGGTTACATTTCTTCATAATTGTCTAGTATTCTAGTTCTATCAGTTTTACCTCTCAGATCTCCATTCTGTAAGTCAATGTTAAGTTTAGATTTGTCCATATGCATACGAGTTTCTTTGGTATTCAATACTTCCTGTATATTTTTAAGAAGTTCCTTTGTTGGAGGTCTGTTAGGTTTTATTTGTTTGAAAATGTCTGTATTTCACCCTTGTTCTTGAAGGATGGTTTTTCTAGGTATACAGTTCTTTTTTTTTTTTCTTTGATACAGTTTTGCTCTTGTTGCCCAGGCTGGAGTGCAATGGTGCGATCTTGACTCACTGCAGCCTCCACCTCCCAGGTTCAAGTGATTCTCCTGCTTCAGCCTCTCGAGTAGCTGGGATTACAGGTGCCCACCATCACACCTGGCTAATTTTTGGTATTTTTAGTAGACGGGGTTTCACCATGCTGGCCAGGCTGGTCTTGAACTCCTGACCTCAGGTGATCTACCTACCTTGGCCTCCCAAAGTGCTAGGGTTACAGGCGTGAGCCACCGTGCCTGACAAAGGCCTAACTTTCCTTCCTCATTCTTTTCATCTTGTTTCTTGGTTTCATCATCCCATTTTTTAGTTTCTTTTCAGTCTCCTTTTGTGTAGCCTGAAGCAATAACTGTGTTTCTGATGCCTAGGTAAGTATACTGTAGGTAGGCTGATACTGTTCAGCTAGTACATAGTAGAAGTCAGATGTCACATTTTTAGAATACTCCAGTTCTAGATAAGAATACCTTGTTGGGTGATATATTTTATTATCCTGGATTGTTTGGCGGATGTAATGGATTGCTGAAGACGCCCAGTTTCCTGTGTGGCCCTTGAGTATTTATTTTAGTAAGTTAGAGGCTAGTTGTTCACTTTTCCCTTGTTTAACTGGGGACTCCTCAGCAGCCCTTTCAAAACAGTATAACCTCATCTGAGAAAGGAAAATGTAAGGATATTCATTAAGTTTTCTTCTCTCCAGATTTGGGATTATTTTTAGGAATTCTCAAGAGTTTTGTTGACTTACCAACTAGGTTTCTTGAAGATGGTGAGTGAGGATAGGAACTTGGCCTGGTTTGGCTCACCTCTCAGATTCATTGGAAGAGGCAAGTTCATTAGCACAGTTTCAGTCCACCATTACAGCATTTTTTTCCTGAATTATTATAAGTCTTAGTCAATATTTCCAGATAATCATCATTATCTGTTTAAATTACTGCACAGTATTCTATTTTACTGATGTACCATTGTGCAAATACTATGATGTTTTATTATTTTTAAGTTTTGCTATAACAGATAAGTCTGCAGAGATTTTATTCAGCTCTGTATTGTTTTGCTTCTGTTGCATTGTTTCCTCAGATTGAATTTCTAGGAGTAGAATTGCTATGTCAAAGAGAATAACAAGTATCTCTGAGCCTTGCCGCATACTGCTTTTTTCATTTTTAAAGGTTATACCAAGTTAGAGTCTCACTAGAACTGAATGAGTGTACTAATTTTACTGTAGCTAGTTTCTTTTTTTTTAAAAAAAAAAAAAGCTGTAGAATAATCTCAAGGTTGCTTAAATATTTCTGTCTTTTATTCTTACAGCATTTCCTGTGGATTAGTTCACTACTTATTTTCTTATCTGTGAGTTGTAAGTGCTTACACATGCCCACTTGATGACCTTGATGTTTTCTTACACATGGAAGCAAGTGCTTTTTGTAAAAGAATATATTAACCTTTATCTTTTTACATTTTGTGAAGCTTTTTTTTTAATGTTTCATCTTTTAAAAATTAGGTTTATTCAGAATTTTAAATTTTAATATTATATTGAATTTCTTTTGGTTGGTTTAAATTGAGAAAGTTATTTTATGTATATTCTCTTTTTTTGCTAGCTTTCTGTAATTTGATTTTAATTCCTTATTCCTTGCATAGTTTGCTTCTGGTATGTTAAAGTGTGCTCTCTCTAAGTGGGTAGTAATTAGGAACAATTTATCTCAACCTCATTTATTGAATGTTTTAAATCAAGAGAACGGACTCTGTTATATTAAGCTTCTATATATAATTGTCTGTTTCACTGTAATGCCTAGTAAGGATACACTTCATTCTTTTTTTAGATGTTCTTTCACAATTTCATGTAAATTTTAGTTGTTTTGTTTCAAAAAACAATTCCTATTGAACAATCTCTAGGAATAGATAGCTTAATAATAATATTAGATCTAGTTTTCTCTTTTCATAGTTTACCTCTTCTTTCTTTTCTTTCTTTTTTTTTTTTTTTTGAGACGGAGTCTCGCTGTGTCGCCCAGGCTGGAGTGCAGTGGTGCGATCTCTGCTCACAGCAAGCTCCGCCTCCCAGGTTCGCGCCATTCTCCTGCCTCAGCCTCCCAACTAGCTGGGACTACAGGTGCCCCCCACCACTCCTGGCTAATTTTTTTTTTTTTTTTTTTTTTTTTTTTTTTGTATTTTTAGTAGAGACAGGGTTTCATTGTGTTAGCCAGGATGGTCTCAATCTCCTGACCTCGTGATCCGCCCACCTCGGCCTCCCAAAGTGGATTACAGGCGTGAGCCACCGCGCCCAGCCTCTGTCTCTCTTTTCTTTTTCTTTTTCTTTTCTTTTCTTTTCTTTTCTTTTCTTTTCTTTTCTTTTCTTTTCTTTTCTTTCCTTTCCTTTCCTTTCCTTTCCTTTCCTTTCCTTTCCTTTTCTTTTCTTTCTTTTCTTTTCTTCTCTCTTCTCTTCTCTTCTCTTCTCTTCTCTGTCTTTTTTTGACGAGTCTCAGTATGTCACCTAGGCTGGAGTACAGTTGCACAATGTTGGCTCATTGCAACCTCTGCCTCCCTTGTTCAAGTGATTGTCCTGCCTCAGCCTGCCAAATAGCTGGGACTACAGGTGCGCACTGCTACGCCCGGCTAATTTTGTATTTTTAGTAGAGATGGGGTTTCACCATGTTGGCCAAGCCGGTCTCAAACTCCTGACCTCAAGAGATCCACCTGCCTCGGCCTCCCAAAGTGCTGGGATTACAAGTATGAGCCACGATGCCAGTCCAATTCTTGTGTAGTTTTTTAATCAGCTGAATTTAACATTCAAATTCTTCTTTTAAATCTTCCAATAGGCAGTTATCTTTATAAAGATCCTATATAATCAAGACTTTGTTTCTGAATATTTTATGTATGTTTTTGCTACTGTAAATGAGATCTATTTCTCATTGTGGTTTCTTGCTGTTATTACTGGTAAGAATTTAGTGAAACAAAGTACTTAAGAGTATGTCTTTAAATTGTGAGATTTTGATGAACTTTTAAGAAATAAAATTCTTTAGTTTCTTAGAGCTTTTTGAGATTTCTAAGGTAGATCCTTGGTTTGGGCAACATATAACTATTACAAGTTTTGCACATTGAACGTTATTTGGTAATTTTTAGAGAGGACATTTTAAATGTTTAGGAAAAATATAAATAAAATGTAGAATACTATTGGGGGCATATACATCATCAGCACTGTAACTGTTTCATATGAATCATTTTTGTACATATAGAACTCTAAAGTCCTAATGAACAGAATTTTACATTTCTATAAATAGAAAGTCCTTAATAGTTGTGACTGAATAACTTATGGATAGCAAATTATTTAACTGAAAACAGTAAAATTTAAGTGGGAGGAAATATTTGCTTTATAATTTCTGTCTTTACCCATTATTTATAGGATTTTGTCACTTTGTTCTGTTTGCAGGTGGAAAACCATGAATTCCTTGTAAAACCTTCATTTGATCCTAATCTCA